>NC_000003.12:137644967-137947998 GCF_000001405.40 Homo sapiens
TTTTCTTTCCTATATTTTGGAACAATGTATATGGCATGAAAATTATCTGTTCCTTAAAAATTTGACAAAACTCATCCTTAACACTGTCAGGAACTCATGCCCTTTTTAGAGGTATAATTGTTTTATTACTCCTTCAATTACTTCTGTGATTATTGTTCTAGTCAGGTTTTTTGTTTTTGAGCAAATTTTTATGATTTATATTTCCCTAAGCATTTTTGTCTATATTTTTAATTTATTGGAATAAGGTTGTACTTTGTAATTTTATCTCCTATGTATGTTGTCATGTTTCTTTTAAATTTTTGTTTATTTATGCCTTCTTTCTTTTTTCCTTAATTGTATTTGCCAAATATTTATATAGTTTAGTAATCTTGTATTTTCAAAAACCAGCTTGTGGTTGCATTTATCTACTCTGCTTTTTATTTCATAATTAAATAATTTCTACTTTCATTTTTACTAATTCTTTTTTCCTAATTTATTTGGAGTAATTTTGTTGTCATTTTTCTAGTTTCTTAAATTGAATACTTAGCTTATTTTTAATATTTATTGTGTTCTAATAAATTCTTGTAATGCTGTGCATTCTCCTCTGTCTCTGTCCCTACTCATAGACTTTAGTAAGTGTGTCCTTAATTTTGTGCATTTTCAGAATTGGTAATGACCATTCTTACCTCCTTTTCAGCTACAAAGTTATTTAGAAACATAATTTTTTATTTTCAAGGACAAAGTTTTCCTTTGGTTGTTAATTTATATTTTTATTGCCTTGTGATCAATAAGTACAAATCATATAAGTTTTCTGGAATTTGTCCAGTTTTTTTGTAACCTAAAACATGGTCAATTTTGCGAAGTCTGTTTGGTTTAAAAATAACGTTTTCTCTATCAGAGTAAGGCAAGTATGTTAATTATGTTAGGCAACTTTCTTTACATTCCTTCATTCATTTCATTTTATCCTATTACTTCTAATGATTGTGAGTGTAGTAAGTTAAGGTTTTTCACTGTGATTATAGATTTATTCATTGACCCTGTGTTTCTGTTTGGTTTTGCTTGGTTGTGAGGTAGATAGATTTTCTAGTGACCTATCTCTCAGTTCCTATCAAATGTGTGTTAGAACACATGCCAGGTGCCTTAATGTTTCTTTCATATTTTGCTTTCTAGGAGAATTGCTCAGCTTGGTCTTCTAGCTTACTTGTTTCCTCTTTAACTGTTTCCATTCTGCTACTCAAACTGTCTATTTAATTTTTGGTTCAAAAATAAACATTTTAGTTTTCCATATCTCTAGTTGATTATTATGGATACAGAAGCCTCTATGACTCTCTTTTAATTATGTTTATTCTAATGTCCTGGTTTTTTTGCTTTTAATTAGGCTAATTTCCTGGTAGTGGCCCATGAACTTACTGAGTTTGTGGCATCTCTTTCATAGCCTTGGCTTTCCTCAAATGTTCAGGGACTCTTCCTTGTATGCTCATCTCTGTGTGTGTGATCCCCTTAGCCAGCCTCCAAAGATTGTTGGGAGGCAAAGAACATGCATCAGGCAGTGTGAGCCAGGAGTTGGATTCCTGGATATTGGGTTCTTATGGAAACACCAGCCTCCTGAAGCACTGTACTTCCTCCCTGACTAAAAGCCCATCCTCCTCCATTTGTGGCTTGTTGCCTGCCTTGACAGATGACCAAGTTGAAGTCATGTTCCCCTGCCAGAGGAGGTTCCTGCTTTGGCCCCTATACAACCACACACACACATTATCAGCTGTCCCATCCAGTCCCTCTTGCCCAGGGATCTTCCACCTGAGGCTTACTGCTCCCCAGCAACCACACCCTCCTGTGCAGCAATGCTCTTCTGCACATATTTCCTGCTTCTGTCTGATTCCATCTGACTTTCATCTCTCTAGGATTCCCCATAGTTTCGAATGCATTGATGACACCTCTTATTTTACATTCTGGGTTTGGATTCTTTTTCCATAAGAACTACATCTCTTTTCTATCATTCCCACAGACTTGCAGAAGGGGAGATGAGTCTGTAGTGTGTACTTTTAAATTGGTTAGCGACTGTTTGCTGTGAAATGGGCACTTCCCCTAGACACTACTTACATGTCCTTGAAACAATGGTTTTTTAAAAAGGGGCCTTGGAATTGATACTGGATAGAGTGTGGGTAGAAAGAATTCTTGTGACTGTTGAACATGCATTTTTAGGAAAAGTACATGCATTTACCAGAATACTGGTGTTTAAAACAAATTAGAACACCAGGCGATTGGTACCCACTCCTATTCCCTGGTGGCTGCTGTAGGAAGGGCCGTGGAGGCTGGGCTTCCTGGGCTAGGCTAGGAGCAGCTGCGCCTATTTAAATAAGAGAGAGGGAAGGGAGGGCCAGTCTATTTACAGGTCAACAGCAGCCCTGCTATCTGATGCCTTGTGGAACTAATTCCTAATTGGGGCAGTGTTTGTCAACACTGACAGGACCCTAATACACTGTAATCGCTCCAGCCACAAGCTCCGATAGAGATCTTAATCTCCACACTGTGTCCCCTTCATAGGCAGCAGGCCTGCTGCCACCCCCTCCTTCCCCTTCCTTGGCTCTGTCTCTCTCTCAATCTCTTTTCCCTCCACCCCCACTCTTTTGTATCATTTACTTCTCTATTGCCATCTCCCTTTGTCTCTCATTCACAGGCTGGTTCTTTCTTTCTTGCACTCTTTGTAGGGTCTTGGATCTCCCGCTCCATCATTCTCTCTCATTCTTTGTCTGGAACATGCATCATATTTAAATCCTCAAGAGTCCCCAGAGTTTAGGCCACATTTAGTTTTAATATGTGGGTGTTTAATAATTCATTGTAAAAAAATCTCTGAAATCATTTAGGAATTTAAATTATATTTTGGCAAATTTTTATAAATAGAAGTGGAGGGTTAAGATAAATATTTGTGGTAAATGGAAACTGCATGGCTTTTTTTTTTGTTGCCTATAGTTTGCTAATTTTGCAAAATAAGTGTCTACCCTTAACCAGTGTCCTGGTTGGTAATATTTGCAGCATAATCTGAACTAGGTCTTGGAAGCAGAACCACACACAGCAGGCACTGCTGAATCAGGGTGAAGCCTGACTGTCAAATACCTGTGCTGAGAGACCACATGGAGACTGCCCCAGTTCCCATATCTAAAGAGACCTGGGTAGAAAGCACTGGCCACGTGTGCACTTGAGTTGGAGGCACTGTGAGCAGATCCAGGACAGGAGGTAAAAGAGTCACTCCATTTCATTCCTTTTCAGTCAATTTTCAATTTTGCCTCCAAAATGGCCTGTTAAGACTTGAGTCACACTATTGACCCTGGGTCTAAAGCATCGTCACTTTTCTGGATTATTGCTAGTAACCTCCACCTCTCTCTGTCCTTCAAATCCCCTCTTGAGGATGTTCCTTATGGAGGTTGGTTGTTCTCATCTTTAGAGTCCCAGCTCAAATTTATGCCTTTACAGAGAGGTGAAACCCTACCACCCTAACTAGAGTATGTGTAGCTCTCCATACACCAGTTACTCCCTGTGTCCTTATCCTGTTTATTTTCTCCACAGCACTTATTATAAATTGTAATTACTTCATTTGTTTCTTTTTTCTCCAGGAGCATAAGCTTCTTGAGGACAGGAACTATATCTTTACCTCACCATGATACCTCACTACAGTACCTGGCATACAGTAGGCCTTTAATAAATATTTGCTGAATGGATGAATGAAGGGATGAATGAATAAGGAACCAAGGAATGGGGAGATCATCCTCTAATCTCACTATCTCCTAACAATAGTGATCATAATTCCATTGCTTTAATTTTCTCTCTTCTTAAAGATTCTTAGTGACCTATATAACCAAACCCACACTTCTGAATTTCTTTTTTGAGATCTCTTAAAATTTTTCCCAGTCTCTCCAGCCAGCCTTGTTGATGTAGTTCTCATAATTTCCCATGTAGAACTCTGGGCTCCATTCATGCTCTCTCCTGTGTACCTTTGCTCAAACTGTTCCTCTTCTTCTAGGACGTCAGGAAGCTGAGAGCAAGGCATGTGTCATCCTTCTCCGCATCCCTAACCCACAACAGACTTTTCAAAACATCTCTTAATGGTTATTGGCACTACTGTTCACCAGATTTTTCAGAGCTGGCTCTCAGACTATATTATCACATTCTTCAGACAAGAATGCCCTCACCTACAGGTGTCATGAAGCTAAATTTACAACCAACACAACAACCTCACATTCAGTTCCCATGGAAACTCCCTATGCATTAGTCTAACCTCAGGTTTTTGGGGGCCAGGCTGTAGAATAGTTTTTCTTCTTAAGCTGCAGATATATCTAAATAATTAAGAAAAATGTGTGGCAACGTGAGGCACTAAGGAAGGGAGAGCTGGAATCACTGTAAAGGAAAAAAAAAAAAAAGACACAAAGGACATTCTAAAAGTAGAAGAGATACAAGCACATCCCCAAAGCCTGGGTCTAGAGATGAGAACTGGCGAGCCAAGGTGGCAAGCAAAAGTAACTGAGGGCTAGTAAATAGGGAGTGGGCAGAGAGTTGCAGGAGGCCTGGGATTGTGGTCTCTGGGGAGTGCCTTAGAGCCAACTGAGGCATAGCTCAGAGGTAGGTCAGGGATGGGGAGTGCTCCTTCTTTTTCCTTGTCTTCCTCTCTGTCAGCCTCCTCCCTCTCTTTGCCCTCCTCTGTCCCCTAGTTCTCCTCCATGCCTTCTACTTCTCTCCCTCCTCCTTGACTTTCTTTTCCTGCTTGTCTCACACTGACAAATCCATTCTTGCACATGCTGATACTTTTCTCCCTTTTTCGTACACTCTCTTTCTCATACACAAATGGGGCTGAAGGCACATCACCAAACCACTACAGAACTTCCCACCTTCTTTTAAGGGACACAATCAATGCCTTTCCGAGATATACTTACAAGACCCCCAAAAAATAAGTCCTAAAAGTGCAGCACTCTGAGTGTTCGCTGTCACATGCTTTTGGTTTTTCCTTCTCCCAGTAGCTCACAAAGTCTTCCTACATCAGTCCCAGCCATGGATACACTTACCTGTGATTTATTGATGATAATTGTAGGAAAGCCATTTGTAATCAAACGTTAAACAAAGACATTCTCTCGCTGAGAGGGAGTGATAACGCACCATTTAGTAATTTTTGTGCAGTTGGTAATTTGGAGAATGAATGATAATTTCTGAGCCTTGAAAAGCCACATTGACAATGCCTGGTGCTATTCACCTAGTGAATAAAGACACCTTCCTCTCTATGTCTTGTGATAAATTTCTTTTATTAGGGTAACTTACGTGGGACTTTATCTTAATGGTCTCTCATATGGGGCAGTTGTGCTTTGGCCGTTAGGCTGTTTTTCATCACGCCTTAAACACAGGGCTCGGAGAAAATAAATAGCAATAGTAGTTCCAGGAAGCTCTCAGGCAGCTCAGCTGCTGCAGAAATTAGGCTCTAAAACTCACAGTTTTGCCCAATCTCAACTGGCAAAAAAATATTAACAGAGGAAATGGGTCCCTACACTCTCAAGGGGATGGTGAGGCTCCCTCACCTACCCACCATTCCACTCCTGCTTGCCCTTCCTCAGTGACTGCCTACTTGTGCAGTTTTCCATCTAGTTTCCCCTCTTTGTCCCCATTCTCCATTATGTTCTCTTAATTAAACTTTTCCCTGTGTTAACTCAGTCAGTATCCTTCTCAGTGTGGAAGGAAGTTTATGGTATATCCAGTAACTAAATAGATGTTATGTTGGCCAGAACAGGTTCTTTGCAACCTGCCTTCACCAGAGAGAAATCCTGGCAGGAGGTCAGAAGAATCTGGGGAAGAGCAGCCACCCACTCCATACCACATCAGCATATTCTTATGACACTGACAACACTGCCCCATTGACAACCTGCTTCCATTACCAGTTATGTATATCTCACTGCATTCAGCAGAGGCAGGCTGCCTTTAGGTACTGGTCTTCTGAGTACTCTCCCTGAAAGAGGCAGGCTGCCTCAGTGTGCCTTTCACTAGTTAAGGGCCTTGTTATAGGTATTGTGACCAACCCTTCAGATGTCAAAGAATACCCATGAATCCTGTCCTTGGGTCATTTTCCCTTTCCCACAGTCTCCCAATCCTTAACCCTGTCTCCAAGCCCCTCACCCAGTTCCCACCTCCAACAGTGTCACAAACCCCCAAAAGGGCTGTCAGTCATTCTCTGCCCCTCCCAGTTTCTCTGCCAGGTAGGAAGAGTAGGAGAGAGGAATGGAGGGAGGCTATCTTAGTGAGCCAGTAGCACAACTAGGAAACCATAAGACATCTCAACTGCCTTAGTATACTAACATAGTAACTGTCTCTTTCTCAGCCTTGAATTGAGTTACAGATTTCCTTTCATTGCTTTAGCCTAGGACACATAGCTCCGGGAGATGGGGGGAGAAATATTAATAACACCTAACATCTAATTCACATTTACTGTATGTTAGGCATTGTACCAAGAACTTTTCATTTATTATGTCATTTAACCTTCACACCATCTTTACCAGGGGGATACTACTATTATCTGTTTTTATTGGTGGAGAAATGCTGAGAAGGCCTATGTTACTTGCCCAGAACTAGTAATTCTTGGTGCTGGATTTGGAACCCACAATATCTGACTGGAAAGCACTCACTTTTTTCCTCTCTGCTGTTCTGACAATGGCAATCTCCTCCAAACACACTCTAAGTCCTCATAAAGGGGGCTAATACATGCCCTCTCTACCATGTGTGGGTAAAGAGAGATGGCTCGTCTAAGTCCATTTTGTTGAGTCCCCAGACATGATGCCACCACACACCTCTGAGATGCTGGTGGATTTCCCATCACCCTCAGTGGGGAGCTGACACTTGTTTCTCTCCCTCAGAGGATGGATCAGCTCCTGCTCAGAGATACCTATCATTTATTCCTCAATCATACCCTCTTCCTCACTGGAGAAGTACTGGCCATGTCCCATGAGCTCAAATACTATTCCTGCAGATGCAAACCCATAGAAGGGAGTCTACCATCCACCCAACTTAAGGAGTCACCACTGTCTTTCATCCTCAAAGAGCAGCCAGTCTCATAACTGCCCTCCACTCTCTACCCATCTCCCCTGTGTCTGGCCATGGAGTAACAAGGTTGTGTTTTGGTCTAGTTTAGATACTGACTATAAATTCTATCTTGGGCTTTAAAGGTCATGTCCCACAAGAGGGCAGATTCCCTCCCACTGATTGCCAAGGAGAGAGAAGATTATTGTGATATTGTGATGTACCACCTTGACACATTCCCACTCCACCCTTTCCAATCTCTGGTTGTCTTATAAGCTAGTACGGACCTTAACCAGGCTACCCCCAATTAATGTATCTTTTGTCATTATGAAGAACCTGCCAATTCCACAGCTATCTCTAGTCTGTTGTTCCTGGTGCAGAACCATAGTATCACACTGTCTTTTCTTTCTTGCAGTGTTGTGTTGAACTACCAGTGTGCTAAGCCATCCTTCAGCTTATTGATCTTACCCATACTACCTCTTTCTTTGCCCCAAATCAAAGGTCAGTGGGCAGCCAGGGATCCTACTGAAAAAAAACAAGAAATGGGGGCTACATCAGAGGTAGCATTCTTACTGTTACATAACTGTAAACACAGATCCTATGTATTACCCCCATGAATGTTACTGCTCTGGGTATAGAATTGCAAGTATTTTAAAAATAATGTTCTGTTAAAGCTTTTGATTTGTAAATCCTTCCTAGAATGGTAGGGAATTCTGTAAAGTAATGTAGGAATGACCTACTATACTCCACCACAGTCAGAGCTACCCATCAGGATTCTTGTTGGAACAAATAGAAAGACAGACAAGGATCTCCAAGCAAAGGAGAACAAGTAGCATAATAAAGAAAAGCAAATTTAAAAATATGGTTGTCTCATTTACTGGTAACCTCTGAATGGATTATGTCTCAGACTAAATACCCAATCAAGACTGTGGTACCAGCAAATCCTTTCAGTTGGTCAAACTGACTCAGAAGGAAGAGGATAAGGCAAGGCTTTCCCACCTACACCTGATAGATTCAAAATACCCACATTTAAACAGAGAAATACAGAAAGGAACTAGGGGGACAAACACAGTTTAAAAAAATGCAGCAACAGGTATTGACATACAATGTGGACTCCAATCAAATAAGTAAAAAAAAAAAAAAAAAAAAAAGGCTAAGTTTTTGAGAGTGCTGTGTTTATTTCCTTCTTCCCCCAAATGTGCTAAAGGTCAAAATCAACCTCTATTCTATGAGAAGGAAGTGGGCTGAGTAAGCTGCTGAAACACTAAGGAGGACATATTCTTCAATGCGCACTTCAGATGTGGCCAGGAGGAAAGAAAGAATTTTAGAGAACAATGGATGAGGAGCTACTCCCTAGTAACAGGATCAGGAAGATGCCTCAACCCCAGCAGATTAGTCCCATGCAATATGTAGCAGCAAGATTTTAAGATTGCTTCATGCCTGCCTTTGCTGTGTCTCCCAATTTTCCCCTTAATGAAGGGTAGCTGTACTTTGGTTATCTCGTTTGTGTTCCAAGGTTGTTATTGGATATAGAATGGGGATATATTGTCTTTTTTAGCTCATAGGTCTCTGAATAAAGAGGCATGTTTTAAAACAATGGATGGGTGTAATCATTTGTTTCTACCTTAATGCTAGAAGCATCTTTCATCAAATAGCTCAATGATCATTGCATTGAATGATTGTTGTATTTCATTCCCTTCTCTATAGAAAATAAAATGCAAGCCCACTACATGGACCATAAAAGTTCAATATGTAGTAAAAATTATTAATAATGTTTATTGTTCAATGTTTTAGAGTCAATCTGTGGACAAAGCACAGAAGACTTGTTTGTGATTGCAGAACAAAATGCAAACATCAGCAACCTTGACAATGAGAAAGAAAAAGTGAGCTTATGAAAAGAGGAAGGAAGGGAGAAGTCTGGCAAGATGGCCAAATAGGAACAGCTCTGGTCTGCAGCTCCCAGCGAGATCAATGCAGAATGTGGGTGATTTCTGCATTTCCAACTGAGGTACCTGGTTCATCTCATTGGGACTTGTTGGACAGTGGGTGCAGCCCAAGGAGGGTGAGCCGAAGAAGGGTGGGGCGTTGCCTCACCTGGGAAGTGGAAGGGGTCAGGGAACTCCCTCTCCTAGCCAAAGGAAGCCATTAGGAACTATACTGTGCACTCTGGGCCCAGATACTGTGCTTTTCCCACAGTCATTGCAACCCACAGACCAGGAGATTCCCTCCAGTGCCTACACCACCAGGGCTCTGGGTTTCCAGCATAAAACTGGGCAGCCGTTCGAGTAGACACCAAGCTGGCCACAGGAGTTTTTTTTTTTTTTTTCATAACCCAGTGGCATGTGGAATGCCAGCAAGATACAACTGTTCACTTCCCCAGAAAGGGGGCTGAAGCCAGGGAGCCAAGTGGTCTGGTTCAGCGGGTCCCACCCCCATGGAGACCAGCAAGCTAAGATCCACTGGCTTAAAAGTCTCATATTCAGCACAGCAGTCTGATCTCCACTCGACCTGGGGTGTTCGAGCTTGGTTGGGGGAGGGGGGTCTGCCAGTGCTGAGGCTTGAGTAGGAGATTTTACCCTCACAGTATAAACAAAGCTGCCAGCAAGTTCGAACTAGGTGGAGCCCACCACAGCTAAACAACGCCACTGCAGCCAGACTGTCTCCTCTAGATTCCCTCTCTGAAAAAAAAGACAGCAGCCCCAGTCAGGGACTTACAGATGAAACCCCCACCTACCTGGGACAGAGAACCTGGGGGAAGGGGTGGCTGTGGGTGCAGCTTCAGCAGACTTAAGCGTCCCTGCCTAGAAGCTCTGAAGAGAGAGCAGATCACCCAGCATGGCGTTCGAGCTCTGATAAGGAACAGACTGCCTCCTCAAGTAGGTCCCTGACCCCCATGTATCCTGACTGGAAGACATCTCCCAGTAGGGGGCTACAGACACCTCATACAGGAGAGCTCTGGCTGGCATCTGGCAGGTGTCCCTCTGGGACAAAGCTTCCAGAGAAAGGAACAGGCAGCAATCTTTGCTGTTCTGCATCCTCTGCTGGTGATACCCAGGCAATCAGGCTGTGGAGTGGAACTCCAGCAAACTCCAGCAGACCTGCAGGAGAGGAGCCTGACCGTTAGAAGGAAAACTAACTAATAAAAAGGAATACTATCAACATCAACAAAAAGGACATCCACTCAGAGACCCTATCCAAAGGTTACCAACTTCAAAGACCAAAGGTAGATAAATCTGCAAAGATGGGGAGAAACCAGGGCAAAAAGCCTGAAATTCCAAAAATCTGAATGCCTCTTCTCCTCCAAAGGATCACAACTCCTCACCAGCAAGGGAACAAAACTGGACAGAGAATGATTTTGACGAATTGACAGAAGAAGGCTTCAGAAGGTGGGTAATAACAAGCTCCTCTGAGCTAAAGGAACATGATCTAACCCAATGCAAGGAAGCTAAGAAACTTGAAAAAAGGTTAGACAAATTGTTAACTAGAATAACCAGTTTAGAGAAGAACATAAATGACCTGATGGAGCTGAAAAACAGCATGAGAACGTCGTGAAGCATACACAAGTGTCAATAGCTGAATTGATCAAGCAGAAGAAAGTATATCACACATTGAAGATGAACTCAATGAAATAAAGCAAGAAGACAAGATTAGAAAAAAAAGAGTGAAAAGAAACAAACAAACAAACCCTCCAAGAAATATGGGACTACGTGAAAAGATCAAACCTACGTTTGATTGTTGTACCTGAAAGTGATGGGGAGAATGGAACCAAGTTGGAAAACACTCTTCAGGATATTATCCAGGAGAACTTCCACAACCTACCAAGACAGGCCAACATTCAAATTCAGGAATTACAGAGAACACCACAAATATACTCCTCGATAAGAGCAACCCCAAGATACATAATAGTCAGATTCACAAAGGTTGAAATGAATGAAAAAATGTTAAGGACAGCCAGAGAGAAAGGTCAGGTTACCCACAAAGGGAAGCCCATCAGAATAACAGCAGATCTGTCAGCAGAAACCCTACAAGCCGGAAGATATTGGGGGCCAATATTCAACATTCTTAAAGAAAAGAATTTTTAATCCAGAATTTCATATCCAGCCAAACTAAGCTTCATAAGTGAAGGCAAAATAAAATCCTTTACAGACAAGCAAATGCTGACAGATTCTGTCACCACCAGACCTGCCTTACAAGAGCTCTTGAAGGAAGCACTAAATATGGAAAGACACAACCGGTACCAGCCACTGAAAAACATACCAAATTGTAAAGACCATTGACACTGAAGAAACTGCATCAACTAATGGGCAAGATAACCAACTAGCTAGCATCACAATGGCAGGATCAAATACACACATAACAATATTAACCTTAAATGTAAATGGGCTAAAGGCCCCAATTAAAAGACACAGACTGGCAAATTGGATAGAATCAAGACCCATCAGTGTGCTGTATTCAGGAGACCCATCTCACATGCAAAGACACACCTAGGCTCAA
The DNA here is from genome assembly GCF_000001405.40 of Homo sapiens. Taxonomy (NCBI): domain Eukaryota; kingdom Metazoa; phylum Chordata; class Mammalia; order Primates; family Hominidae; genus Homo; species Homo sapiens. The sequence goes on from NC_000003.12 coordinate 137,656,488, forward strand.
AATAAAGGGATGGAGGAATGTTTACCAAGCAAATGGAAAGCAAAAAAAAGCAGGGGTTGCAATCCTAGTCTCTGATAAAACGGACTTCAAACCAACAAAGATCAAAAGAGACAAAGAAGGGCATTACATAATGGCAAAGGGATCAATGCAACAAGAAGAGCTAACTAAATATATATGCACCCATTACAGGAGCACCCAGATTCATAAAGCAAGTTCTTAGAGACCTATAAAGAGACTTAGACTGCCACACAATAATAGTGGGAGACTTTAACATCCCACTGTCAATATTAGACAGATCAACGAGACAGAAAATTAACAAGGACATCCAGGACTTAAACTCAGCTCTGGACCAAGAAGACCTAATAGACATCTACAGAACTCTCCAATCCAAATCAACAGAATATACATTCTTCTCAGCACCACATTGCACTTATTCTAAAACTGGCCACATACTTGGAAGTAAAACACTCCTCAGCAAATGCAAAAGAATGGAAATCATAACAGTCTCTCAGAACACAGTGCAAACAAATTAGAGCTCAGGATTAAGAAACTCACTCAAAACTGCACAACTATATGGAAACTGAACAATCTGCTCCTGAATGAATGCTGAGTAAATAACGAAATTAAGACAGCAATAAACATGTTCTTTGAAACCAAAGAGAACAAAGACACAATGTACCAGAATCTCTGGGACACATTTAAAGCAGTGTGTAGAGGGAAATTTATGGCACTAAACGCCCACAGGAAAAAGCAGGAAAGATCTAAAATTGACACCCTAACATCACAATTAAAAGAACTAGAGGAGCAAGAGCAAACAAATTCAAAAGCTAGCAGAAGACAAGAAATAACTAAGATCAGAGGAGAACTGAAGGAGATAGAGATACAAACAAACCTTCAAAAAATCAATGAATCCAGCAGCTGGTTTTTTGAAAAGATCAACAAAATAGACCATTAGCCAGATTAATAAAGAAAAGAAGAGAGAAGAATCAAATAGATGCAATAAAAAAGGTAAAAGAGATATCACCACCAATCGAAAAGAAATACATAATAGCATCAGAGAATACTATAAACACCTCTATGCAAATAAACCAGAAAATCGAGAAGAAATGGATAAGTTCCTGGACACATACACCCTCCCAAGACTAAACGAGAAAGAAGTTGAATCCCTGAATAGACCAATAACGAGTTCTGAAATTGAGGCAGTAATTAATATCCTACCAACCAAAAAAAAGTCAAGGACCAGACGGATTCACAGCCAAATTCTACCAGAGGTACAAGGAGGAGCTGATACCATTCCTTCTGAAACTATTTCAAACCATAGAAAAAGAGGGAATCCTTCCTAACTCATTTTATGAGGCCAGCATCCTGATACCAAAACCTGGCAGAGACACTACAACAACAACAAAATTTCAGGCCAATATCCCTGATGAACATCAACGCAAAAATCCTCCATAAAATACTGACAAACTGAATCCATCAGCACATCAAAAAGCTTATCCACCACGATCAAGTCAGCTTCATCCCTGGGATGCAAGGCTGGTTCAACATATGCAAATCAATAAATGTAATCCATCACATAAACAGAACCAATGACAAAACCACATGATTATCTCAATAGATCCAGAAAAGGCCTTTGACAAAATTCAACAGCGCTTCATGCTAAAAACTCTCAATAAACTAGGTATTGATGGAACGTATCTCAAAATAATAAGAGCTATTTATAACAAAACCCACAGCCAATATCATACTGAATGGGCTAAAAACTCTTAATAAATTAGGTATTGACGGGACGTATCTCAAAATAGTAAGAGCTATCTATGACAAACCCACAGCCAATATCATACTGAATGGGCAAAAACCTGAAGCATTCCCTTTGAAAACTGGCACAAGACAAGGGTGCCCTCTCTCACCGCTCCTATTCAATATAGTGCTGGAAATTCTGGCCAGGGCAATCAGGCAAGAGAAAGAAATAAAGGGTATTCAATTAGGAAAAAAGGAAGACACATTGTCCGTTTGCAGATGACATGATTGTCTATTTAGGAAACCCCATCATCTCACCCCAAAACCTCCTGAAGCTGATAAGCAACTTCAGCAAAGTCTCAGGATACAAAATCAATGTGCAAAAATCACAAGCATTCCTATACAACAATAACAGACAGACAGCCAAATCATGAGTGAACTCCCATTCAAAATAGCTACCAAGAGAATAAAATATTTAGGAATCCAACTTACAAGGGATGTGAAGGACCTCTTCAAGGAGAACTATAAACCACTGCTCAAGGAAATAAGGGAGGACATAAACAAATGGAAAAACATTCCATGATCACGGACAAGAAGAATCAATAATGTGAAAATGGCAATACTGCCCAAGGTAATTTATAGATTCAATGCTATCCCCATCAAGCTACCACTGGCTTTCTTCACAGAATTGGAAAAAACTACTTTGAATTTCATATGAAACTAAAAAAGGCCCTGCATAGCCAAGACAATCCTAAGTAAAAAGAACAAACATGGAAGCATCATGCTACCTGACTGCAAACTATACTACAAGTCTACAGTAACCAAAACAGCATGGTACTGGTACTAAAACAGATATATAGACCAATGGAACAGAACAGAGGCCTCAGAAATAATGCTACACATCTACAACCATCTGATCCTTGACAAGCCTGACAAAAACAAGCAATGTGAAAAGGATTCCCTATTTAATAAATGGTGTTGGGAACACTGGCTAGCCATATGTAAAAAGCTGAAACTGGATTCCTTCCTTACACCTTATACAAAAATCAATTCCAGATGGATTAAAGACTTAAATGTAATACCTAAAACCATAAAAACCCTAGAAGAAAACCCAGGCAATACCATTAAGGACATAGGCATGGGCAAAGACTTCATGACTAAAACACCTAAAGTAATGGCAACAAAAGCCAAAATAGACAAATAGGATCTAATTAAACTAAAGATCTTCTGCACAGCAAAGGAAACTATAATCAGAGTGAACAGGCAACCTACATAATGGAAGAAAATTTTTGCAATCTATCCATCTGACAAAGGGCTAATATCCAGAATCTAGAAAGAACTTAAACAAATTTACAAGAAAAAACAAACAACCCCATCAAAAAGTGGGTGAAGGATATGAATAGACACTTCTCAAAAGAAGACATTTATGCGCCAACAAACATGAAAAAAAGCTCATCATCAGTGGTCATTAGAGAAATGCAAATCAAAACCACCATGAGATACCATCTCACACCAGTTAGAATGGCGATCATTAAAAAGTCAGGATACAACAGACACTGGGGAGGATGTGGAAAAATAGGAACACTTTTACACTGTTGATGGGAGTGTAAATTAGTTCAACCATTGTGGAAGACAGTGTGGCAATTCCTCAAGGGTCTAAGGGTCTAGAACTAGAAATAAGATTTGACCCAGCAATCCCATTACTGAGAATATACCCAAAAGATTATAAATCATTCTACTATAAAGACACATGCACAAATATTATTGTGGCACTATTCACAATAGCAAAGACTTGGAACAAACCCAAATGCTCATCAATGATAGGCTGGATAAAGAAAATATAGCACATATACACCATGGAATACTATGCAGCCTTAAAAAAGGATGAGTTCATGTCCTTTGCAGGGATATAGATGATGCTAGAAACCACCATTCTCAGCAAACTATCACAAAAACAGAAAACTAAACACTGTATGTTCTCACTCATAAGTGAGAATTGAACAATGAGAACACATAGACACAGGGAGGGGAACATCACACACTGGGGCCTGTCAGGGGGTGGGAAGCTAGGGGAGGGATAGCATTAGGAGAAATACCTAATATAAATGATGGGTTGATGGGTGCAGCAAACCACCATGGCACATGTATACCTATGTAACAAACCCGTACATTCCGCACATGTACTCCAGAACTTAAAGTCTAATAAAAAAAAAAAGAAAGAAAAAAAAGAGGAAGAATTGGAGAGAAAGCTTAAAAGAAAATGGAGAGTTACTATTATCAGTATCTTATAAAGTGGGTAGTAGACAGATACTGTCTAACGTTGACAGGACAAGAGATGACAGTTTATGTACATATAGGGTGGAGCCAAGATGGCCGAATAGGAGCAGCTCCAGTCTACAGTTCCCAGCGTGAGTGAAGCAGAAGACGGGTGATTTCTGCATTTCCAACTGAGGTACCGGGTTCATCTCAATGGGGAGTGTCAGAAAGTGGGTGCAGGACAGTGGGTGCACTGCAACGAGCGTGAGCTGAAGCAGGGCGAGGCCTCACCTCACCCGGGAAGTGCAAGGGGTCAGGGAATTCCCTTTCCTAGTCAAAGAAAGGGGTGACAGATGGCACCTGGAAAATTGGGTCACTCCCACCCTAATACTGCGCTTTTCCAAAGGTCTTAGCAAATGGCACACCAGGAGATTATATCCCACGCATGGCTCAGAGGGTCCTACGCCCATGGATCCTCACTCATTGCTAGCACAGCAGTCTGAGATCAAACTGCAAGGTGGCAGCGAGGCTGGGGGAGGGGCGCCCACCATTGCCGAGGCTTGAGTAGGTAAACAAAGTGGCCAGGAAGCTCGAATTTGGTGGAGCCCACCGCAGCTCAAGGAGGCCTGCCTGCCTCTGTAGACTCCACCTCTGGGGGCAGGGCATAGCCAAACAAAAGGCAGCAGAATCCTCTGCAGACTTAAATGTCCCTGTCTGACAGCTTTGAAGAGAGTAGTGGTTCTCCCAGCACACAGCTTGAGATCTGAGAACAGGCAGACTGCCTCTTCAAGTGGTTCCCTGACCCCCAAGTAGCCTAACTGGGAGGCACCCCCCAGTAGGGGCAGACTGACATCTCACACTGCCGGGTACTCCTCTGAGACAAAACTTCCAGAGGAACAATCAGGCAGCAATATTTGCTGTTCACCAATATCCGCTGTTCTGCAGCCTCTGCTGCTGATACCCAGGCAAACAGGGCCTGGAGTGGACCTCCAGCAAACTCCAACAGACCTGCAGCTGAGGGTCCTGACTCTTAGAAGGAAAAGTAAACACAAAGGACATCCACACCAAAACCCCATCTGTACGTCACCATCATCAAAGACCATAGGTAGATAAAACCACAAAGATGGGGAAAAAACAGAGCAGAAAAACTGGAAACTGTAAAAATCAGAGAGCCTCTCCTCCTTGAAAGGAACGCAGCTCCTCACCAGCAATGGAACAAAGCTGGACGTAGACTGACTTTGACGAGTTGAGCAAAGAAACCTTCAGATGATCAAACTACTCTGAGCTAAAGGAGGAAGTTCGAACCCATTGCAAAGAAGTTAAAAACCTTGAAAAAAGATTAGACGAATGGCTAAGCAGAATAACCAATGCAGAGAAGTCCTTAAAGGACCTGATGAGCTGAAAACCATGGCACGAGAACTACGTGGCAAATGCGCAAGCCTCAGTTGCCGATTCAATCAACTGGAAGAAAGGGTATCAGTGATGGAAAATCAAATGAATGAAATGAAGTGAGAAGAGAAGTTTAGAGAAAAAAGAATAAAAAGAAACGAACAAAGCCTCCAAGAAATATGGGACTATGTGAAAAGACCAAACCTACGTTTGATTGTTGTACCTGAAAGTGATGGGGAGAATGGAACCAAGTTGGAAAACACTCTGCAGGATATTATCCAGGAGAACTTCCCCAATCTAGCAAGGCAGACCAATATTCACATTCAGGAAATACAGAGAATGCCACAAAGATACTCCTCGAGAAGAGCAACTCCAAGACACATAATTGTCAGATTCACCAAAGTTGAAATGAAGGGAAAAATGTTAAGGGCAGCCAGAGAGAAAGGTCGGGTTACCCACAAAGGGAAGGCCATCGGATTAACAGCTCATCTCTCAGCAGAAACTCTATAAGCCAGAAGAGAGTGGGGGCCAATATTCAACCTTCTTAAAGAAAAGAATTTTTAATCTAGAATTTCATATCCAGCCAAACTAAACTTCAGAAGTGAAGGAGAAATAAAATCCTTTACAGACAAGCAAATGCTGAGAGATTTTGTCATCACCAGGCCTGCCCTAAAAGAGCTCCTGAAGGAAGCACTAAACATGGAAAGGAACAACTGGTACCAGCCACTGCAAAAGCATGCCAAATTGTAAAGACCATCGAGGCTAGGAAGAAACTGCATCAACTAACGAGCAAAATAACCAGCTAACATCATAATGACAGGATCAAATTCACACATGACAATATTAACCTTAAATGTATATGGGCTAAATACTCCAATTAAAAGACACAGACTGGCAAATTGGATAAAGAGTCAACACCCATCACTGTGCTGTATTCAAGAATCCCATCTCACATGCAGAGACACACATAGGCTCAAAATAAAGGGATGGAGGAAGATCTACCAAGCAAATGGAAAACAAAAAAAGCCAGGGGTTGCAATCCTAGTCTCTGATAAAACAGACTTTAAACCAACAAAGATCAAAACAGACAAAGAAGGCCATTACATAATGGTAAAGGGATCAATTCAACAAGAAGAGCTAACTATCCTAAATATATATGCACCCAATACAGGAGCACCCAGATTCATAAAGCAAGTCCTTAGAGACCTACAAATAGACTTAGACTCCCACACAATAATAATGGGAGACTTTAACACCCCACTGTCAACATTAGACAGATCAACGAGACAGAAAGTTAACAAGAATATCCAGGAACTGAACTCAGCTCTGCACCAAGCAGACCTAGTAGACATCTACAGAACTCTCCACCGCAAATCAACAGAATATACATTCTTTTCAGCACCACACCACACCTATTCCAAAATTGACCACACAGTTGGAAGTAAAGCACTCCTCAGCGAATGTAAAAGAACAGAAATTATAACAAACTGTCTCTCAGACCACAGTGCAATCAAACTAGAACTCAGTGCAATCAAACTCACACAAAACTGCTCAACTACATGGAAACTGAACAACCTGCTCGTGAATGACTACTGGGTACATAACAAAATGAAGACAGAAACAAAGATGTTCTTTGAAACCAAAGAGAACAAAGACACAACATACCAGAATCTCTGGGACACATTCAAAGCAGTGTGTAGAGGGAAATTTATAGCACTAAATGCCCACAAGAGAAAGCAGGAAAGATCTGAAATTGACACCCTAACATCACAATTAAAAGAACTAGAGAAGCAAGAGCAAACACATTCAAAAGCTAGCAGAAGGCAAGAAATAACTAAGATCAGAGCAGAGCTGAAGGAGATAGAGACACAAAAAACCCTTCAAAAAATCAATGAATCCAGGAGCTGGTTTTTTGAAAAGATCAACAAAATTGATAGACTGCTAGCAAGATTAATAAAGAAGAAAAGAGAGAAGAATCAAATAGACACAATTAAAAATGATAAAGGGGATATCACCACAGATCCCACAGAATTACAAACTACCATCAGAGAATACTATAAACACCTCTACGCAAATAAACTAGAAAATCTAGAAGAAATGGATACATTCCTCAACACATACATCCTCCCAAGACTAAACCAGGAAGAAGTTGAATCTCTTAATAGACCAATAACAGGCTCTGAAATTGAGGTAATAATTAATAGCTTACCAACCAAAAAAAGTCCAGGACCGGACGGATTCACAGCCAAATTCTACCAGAGGTACAAGGAGGAGCTGGTACCATTCCTTCTGAAACTATTCCAATCAATAGAAAAAGAGGGAATCCTCCCTAACTCATTTTATGAGGCCAGCATCATCCTGATACCAAAGCCTGACAGAGACACAACAAGAAAAGAAAATTTTAGACCAATATCCCTGATGAACATCGATGTAAAAATCCTCAATAAAATACTGGCAAACCGAATCCAGCAGCACATCAAAAAGCTTATCCACCATGATCAAGTGGGCTTCATCCCTGGGATGCAAGGCTGGTTCAACATATGCAAATCAATAAATGTAATCCAGCACATAAACAGAACTAATGACAAAAAGCACATGATTATCTCAATAGATGCAGAAAAGGCTCTTGACAAAATTCAACAACGCTTCATGCTAAAAACTCCCAATAAATTAGATATTGATGGGATGTATATCAAAATAATAAGAGCTATCTATGACAAACCCACAGCCAATATCATACTGAATGGGCAAAATCTAGAAGCATTCCCTTTGAAAACTGGCACAAGACAGGGATGACCTCTCTCACCACTCCTATTCAACATAGTGTTGGAAGTTCTGGCCAGGGCAATCAGACAGGAGAAGGAAATAAAGGGTATTCAATTAGGAAAGGAGGAAGTCAAATTGTCCCTGTTTGCAGATGACATGATTGTATATCTAGAAAACCCCATTGTCTCAGCCCAAAATCTCCTTAAGCTGATAAGCAACTTCAGCAAAGTCTCAGGATACAAAATCAACGTGCAAAAATCACAAGCATTCTTATACACCAATAACAGACAAACAGAGAGCCAAATCATGAGTGAACTCCCATTCACAATTGCTTCAAAGAGAATAAAATACCTAGGAAACCAACTTACAAGGGATGTGAAGGACCTCTTCAAGGAGAACTACAAACCACTGCTCAATGAAATAAAGGAGGATACAAACAAATGTAAAAACATTCCATGCTCATGGGTAGGAAGAATCAATATCGTGAAAATGGCCATACTGCCCAGGGTAATTTATAGATTCAATGCCAACAAGCTACCAATGACTTTCTTCACAGAATTGGAAAAAACTACTTTAAAGTTCATATGGAACCAAAAAAGAGCCCACATTGCCAAGTCAATCCTAAGCCAAAAGAACAAAGCTGGAGGCATCACACTACCTGACTTCAAACTATACTACAATGCTACAGTAACCAAAACAGCATGGTACTGGTACCAAAACAGCGATATAGACCAATGGAACAGAACAGAGCCCTCGGAAACAATGCCGCATATCTACAACCATTTGATCTTTGACAAACCTGAGAAAAACAAGAAATGGGGAAACGATTCCCTATTTAATCAATGCTGCTGGGAAAACTGGCAAGCCATATGTAGAAAGCTGAAACTGGATCCCTTCCTTACACCTTATACAAAAATTAATTCAAGACAGATTAAAGACTTACATGTTAGACCTAAAACCATAAAAACCCTAGAAGAAAACCTAGGCAATACCATTCAGGACATAGGCATGGGCAAGGACTTCATGTCTAAAACACCAAAAGCAATGGCAACAAAAGCCAAAATTGACAAATGGGATCTAATTAAACTGAAGAGCTTCTGCACAGCAAAAGAAACTACCATCAGAGTGAACAGGCAACCTACAGAATGGGAGAAAATTTTTGCAACCTACTCATCTGACAAAGGGCTAATATCCAGAATCTACAATGAACTCAAACAAATTTACAAGAAAAAAAGCAAACAACCCCATCAAAAAGCGGGCAAAGGATATGAACAGACACTTCTCAAAAGAAGACATTTATGCAGCCAAAAAACACATGAAAAAATGCTCATCATCACTGGCCATCAGAGAAATGCAAATCAAAACCACAATGAGATACCATCTCACACCAGTTAGAATGGCGATCATTAAAAAGTCAGGAAACAACACGTGCTGGAGAGGATTTGGAGAAACAGGAACACTTTTACACTGTTGGTGGGACTGTAAACTAGTTTAACCATTGTGGAAGTCAGTGTGGCGATTCCTCAGGGATCTAGAACTAGAAATTCCATTTGACCCAGCCATCCCATTACTGGGTATATACCCAAAGGATTATAAATCATGCTGCTATAAAGACATATGCACACGTATGTTTATTGCGGCACTATTCACAATAGCAAAGACTTGGGACCAACCCAAATGACCAACAATGATAGAGTGGATTAAGAAAATGTGGCACATATACACCATGGAATACTATGCGGCCATAAAAAATGATGAGTTCATGTCCTTTGTAGGGACATGGATGAAGCTGGAAACCATCATTCTCAGCAAACTATCACAAGGACAAAAAACCAAACACCGCATGTTCTCACTCATAGGTGGGAACTGAATAATGAGAACACATGGACACAGGAAGGGGAACATCACACACTGGGGCCTGTTGTGGGGTTGTGGCAGTGGGGAGGGATATCATTAGGAGATATACCTAATGTAAATGAGTTAATGGGTGCAGCACACCAACAGGGCACATGGATACATATGTAACTAACCTACATGTTGTGCACACATACCCTAAAACTTAAAGTATAATAAAAAGAAAATAAATACATAAATCAAGTTATAAGAACAGAATATATATATATAATATTAGGGATAGATAAGGGGAAAATTGTGTATGTGACACAAATCTCTTATGTGTAGTGAAAAATCCATGTATGTTATCTAAAGTATATAAATCAAGAAATTGAAGTATAAACACATTATATCAAATTATAGCATAAGACCTACAAGAAAAAAATTATTTTAAGAACTAAATCTGGTGATTAGTACTAGAAATAAGGAGTGGTGAGACAAGAGACTACCTATTTTCATCATAAGAATTTCTGTCCCATTTTAATCATTACCATGTAGATATATTTATTTAATGAAAACCAAATAAACAGAGCTATTTTTATGAGCAACCTTTAAAAAACATTTTTATTGAAGTGTAACAAGCATACTGTCAAGTGCACAAATCTTGATTGCACAGCTCAAGAGCAAGATATAGAATATTTCCAACACCCTAGAAAGCTCCATCCCATTCAATACCCCAAAAGTAACCACTATTCTGACCTCCATCACTACAGATGTTTTACTTGATTTGATAATTATATAACTGAAATCATCCAGTATATACTCTTTTGTTTCTGGTGCTTTTTGTTCTCTCGTGTCAGTGAGATTAACTCATGCTGTATGTAGTTGTTGCCAGGTAGTATTCCATTATACGACTATAACAAAATTTATTCTTATGTTTTGTTGATTGATAGTAAGGTTATTTGTAGCTTAGAGCTATTATGAATACAGCAGCTATGATCATTCATATATGATCTTTTGATGTACTCTGCACACATTGCAATCTATCCATCTGACAAAGGGATCTAACAAACAGATCTAACCAGTCTAACCATCTGATGTCTTTTGATGTACTCTGCACACATTGGCTGTATACCTAAAAGTGAAATTGCTGAGTTGTAAGGTAGATGTGTGTTTTAGATTTTGCCAAACTGTTTCTAAGCATGGCTGTATCAATCCCATCAGCACGCATAAATGTTCCAGTTGCTCAACATCCTTACTAACACTTACTACTGTCAGTTTTTTTCATTTTAGCCTTTCTAATATACATATAGTAGTATGTCATTATGGGTTGGACTGGCATTTCTCTCATAACTAATGAGGTTGAAGATCTTTTTATGTTACTGACCATTTGGATATCTTCTTTTGTGAAGTAACTGTCAAGTATTTGCCCATTAAAATAATGTTTGTCTTTCTTTTTCTTGTTCTTTATATATGTTACGTTCCTTATATGTGCCATGTACATGCCAAATAGATATAGACGTAAATATAACTATACATGGCAAATAACATATTCTCCTACTTCTACTCTGCGGCATATATTTTCCATTTCATTCTAGTATTTTCTAGTAAACAGATGTTCTTAATTTTATTGAAGTCCAAGTTATCCATCTATTTTTACAGTTGCTGTTGTTGTATCCTATTTAGAAATTTATATCTGCCCCAAGGTCATAAAGATACTTCTACAAAGTTGTCTTTTGAGAAGTCTTATTGTCCTGTCTTTCATATTTAAGTTTTAATACTTCTAGGATTCTCTCTCTCTCTCTCTCTCTCTCTCTCTCTCTCTCTCTGTGTGTCTTCTTTTTGTTTTCTACTGCATCCAAACAGCCCTTTTTTGGAGTGGAGGGCACAGAAGTCCCACGACAGGTGGAAGACAGACCCTAAAGGAGAAAAATTTTCTCTATCAGTTTGCTTGCAGCTATTGCTTGGGCAACCCAGTCTCAGATAATCAGATGATTCTGTCTGAGTTGAAAGTGAGTTCTACAAATGCGCAGTGGGGCCCTGAGGGAGCCAAAAGTCCAGAACCACAGAAGCAAGTTTCTGGAGCAAAGCACTCCTGGCTGTTAGCAGCAGTGCCAGAATGGTGTCTTTAGCAGATTTACAGTGAGGTCTTCCTCACCAATTCTTCAAGTGTAGTTCTCCATCCCCATCCCTGTAGATTTTGTGATCTACCCAATATCCTTCCAAAATTTTTCTTTTACTCCAATTAGCACAGGTTTCATGTGAGATCAAGAATTCTGTCTGATAAAAGCAACAAATTCAAAACTCTACAAAATGACATAGTCAAGAAAACCACATGCCCACTGGAAGCTGGAGTTACACAGTTATACAGATCCTCATTTGAACTGGGATTAAAGACATTTCTCAACCATTTCCATAAGCTTCTCTGTGGCTGGGGACAGTTAAAGGAAGGCCCGTCTGAGGGGTAGAGGCAGTGCTGACAATTGGCCTTCAGCACCAGTTACGGGGTCCTAGCCGTTCGTGAGACAGGCTAATTTGAACACAAAGTTCTAACCCTTTACCCTATTCCCAACATTACCAGGGACTGCTATAGACATTTTGCTGTGCCTGTTATCTCTGAAGAGAAATTCAGTAAAACAAAATTTTTAAATAATAAACATTAAAATTAATAGAAAATTTCAAATTGTGTTGAAATTGTCTTAATTAGGAGGAATTTTTAAACATCTCTTTATGATGGAGTACTTTGGAGCATTGATATCAAGCAAGAGGACTTAAAGAGCCTTGTGGAGGAAAGCAAACACCCCCAGAGTTGCAATTTTTTTTTTTTTTTTTTTTTTGCTAAGGGATTCTCTGCCGCCTGGGGCATGATGTAGGCAAAACTACATTCTTTGAAAATGTCCATATTGTTTTCCCCTTCTCCCTTTCCTAAACCCTTACCCTAATACTGTATATTAACTTCATAAAGCCAGTGTTTTCCTGATACCTCTTCTGGAAAACGTCTATCCCTTCCCAAATCCAACCACACTCCTTCAATCCCCTGGAGCTCTCTCTCACTCTCTTTCTCTTTCTCTCCTTCTTTTGCATTCCTGTGTCATCCTGGGTTCACCCTTATAATAGCATTGATGGCAGTATTCTGTAATCAATGATTTACTATATGTCCCACCCACTGGACTATGAACTTCTTGAGTGAGGATCACATGTTGTCTAGTATTCTGGCCCCAGGGACTTACCCAGAGGAATATCTGTTGAGTAAATGACCCAATGAATGGCCAAGTAAATAGAATAACTCAACCAGTCATCTTTACTCAAACATTGGCTTTAACTAAAGTGAACATGTAATTTATTCTCTTAACTGTGACCCTATTGAGCAAGAAAGGAAGTGATCATTGGACAGTACACTGGGATGACATGCATTCTCCAGGAACAGTCTGAGCAACCGGAAACAGATGGTTACCCTAGCTTTAGCCCATTCTACCCAGGCTGATTTTACCTTCTCTTGCCATTATATAATGAAAGTGAACCATTGTGTCCTTATCTTTTATAATGAGCACTCTATATAGTGAGGTGGGACTGACGCTTGAGTTAGAGATCAGAATAAGGGATAATGATTAGAAAGTCATTCTCATTTACCCAGAGGGGGCAAGCAAAAACCACAGGAGAGATCCAAGAGAGAAGTGTTGACTGAGATGACAGAGACTCAAATTCAGGTACCTGAACACAGGACACACTTGAAGGGAAGAAAAAAGAGCCGAGCCAGAGGGCTCACTAATTATTTCACATATATTTGTTCATTTAATTTTCACCTTATGGAACCCTGTAAGATAGGGTGATACTGTTACTCCTACTTTATGGATAACCAAACTGAGGCACAGAGCAGAAGTGACTACTTCCTAGCTCATAAAGTCAGAAAATGGCAGAGCAAGGATTCAAAGTCAGTTTGGTGGGATTCTAAAGCCCATGACTCTAGCCAGGATAGAACAGGTAGAAAAGAATTCAGGAAAAGGGGAGTATTTAACACTGTCAAATTCTTGGAGAAGTCAAGGACAAGAAAGCCTGGTTAAAGGTCATCACATTTGACAACTGGGAGACTAATCATGACCTTTCCGTGGTCATATTAAGGGAGATTAATAGAATGAATTGATGGGGACAAAAAGTGGGCAAAGAACGAACATGAATAGACATTTCTCAAAAGAAGATACACAAACATCCAAGAAACATGAAACAATGTTCAACATCACTAATCATCAGGGAACTGCAAATTAAAACCACAGTGATATACTATGTTCCTCCTGCAAGAATGACCATAATTTAAAAGTCAAAGAACAATAGATGTTGGCATGGATGTGGTGAAAAGGGAACACATTTACACTGCTGGTGGGAATGTAAATTAGTACAACCACTATGGAAAACTGTATGGAGATTCTTTAAAGAACTAAAAATATAACTATCATTCAATTCAACAATCCCACTCCTTGGTAACTACCCAAAGGATAAGAAGTCATATGAAAAAGACATATGCACATATATTTTTCTAGCAGCACAATTAATAATTGCAAAGATAAGGAATCAGCCTAAGTGCCCATCAACAAATAAGTGGATAAAGAAGATGTGGTATGTATATATACCATGGAATACTACTCAGCCATAACAAGGAATGAAATAATGGGATTTGCAGCAACCTGGGTGGAATTGGAGACCATTATTCTAAGTGAAGTAAGTCAGGAATGGAAAACAAAACTTATCCATGTAACAAAAACCACCTCCACCCCAAAAACGATTAAAATAAAAATAATGAATTGGTGGGGAACAAGTGGAGATAATAATATAATAAAAGATAATTACAGGGATATGACTTCATAACAATATACTTATGAATATATGTGTATCTGATCTATCTACCTATCTATCTCCATAATAATAATTCAGCTAAATTGCCTAACCTGATGGTAGGATTTCATTGCAAATTGGAAAATGCAATGAAAAGGAGCAAACTATGAGCTCTATGAGGGCAGGAACCACGTCTTCTTCATCACTATATTCCAAATTTACTGCTATACCCAGATGCCCAATATGTGATGAATTAATAAATAAAAATGAATAAAATGAGAAAGAAATAAAGGAATGAGCCAAAGTCAGGGTAAGAGGAATGGTTCATGTTTACACCTTGCTTGTTCTTTACAAATAGTACAGATCTACCACTGCTATCTATTTACCACGGGACAAGAAACACTTTCTGTACTTTTGCTTAAGGTCCCATAACTTGTGTCAGTGAAAACAGTTTTTCATCTTTTCCATTTTTTTCCTCTAACCCTTTCCTTACCTACCACTATTTTTTTCTCAAAAGTTAACTTTTATTCCATATCCTCAGATTCCAGGCTTCTTAAAACTGGTAGAGCATTCATTCTGCCTATCTGCATATCTGTCAGGAAATATTTTTAAAATTACATTATAATAGGAAATCAAGGGCTCCCAGAAGACATAGTAAAGAGCAGTGGTGATTTACCCATTTCCAAAGTAGAGAACACTTACTTTTCTGTGTTGGACTCCTAGCAACAGAGAAGGCATAGGAGGGATGAGTATTCTATGAATTTGGTAGTGGGTCCCAAATAGATCCACAGAAATGGGAGATCTTAAATATAGTCCCAGTAATAATGAGTGAGGGGAAATTGACAGAAACCAGCTCTTTCTAAGATAACACATTCCCAGAATCAATAAAAGGTCAGCAGGAGTTAAACATCTAAGCTGATAAAGGACAGATCACTAAGGACTCTGGGTTTTGAAAAAATCTCCAGAGAATGTAGCATATTGAAAGATACTCGATGGATCTGTTTTTCTTGGAAGCAAATAACTCACTGTACTTTGCATACAACATCTGCTACCCCTAGTCCCCATCAGCCAGACCTCATTCAACAAAACATTTTTTATACAGCATTTATCAATTTATTGCTCACATAATGTTTTTAGATAAGCACAATAAATATCTTTAAAAAAAAAAGCCTAAAAGTCAGTAGTCATTCTTCTAAATAGAGAAAGATGACTCTCATAGGCAAAGGCATGGGGAACTCTTAGCTACATCCACAAATTCTCTGTCCCCACTCACCCTTCAGAGGCAATCAGCCTCTACTCCCATTCGAATTCTACAATTAATCTTCCCAGGAACACATTTTCTCACCTCCCTCTCACCTTCCCTCATCCAATGGAACAGAAGAGGAATCCCAAGAGAAATGACTTTCCTAAAAATTCAAGCCTTTAAACATGGATATACTTTTACAATATTTACATCATAAAAGCAAAATTATGTTATTTGTGTACCATGCAATTCTCATTGGTCAATACTTAATTGGGTGGGGTAGAATCTTGTCACTAAAGATATGACATAATTTGAACTCTAATAAGCAAACTATTGGATTTGACTCTAACACTGGAAAATGAAACAAAAGGATAATGTGGCTCTTCAATATTACACTGGAGCATCATCAAACAGACCCACAGGAGGACTCCTTAATTCTCTAGGAGAATAACCATGGTCAAAACCACAATGAGGAATTATTTTACACAAGTTAAGGTGGCTATTATCAAAAAGACAAAAAATAACAAGTGGTGGTGAGGATGTGGAGGAAATGGAACTCTTTTTTTTTTTTAATCAACTTTTAAGTTCCGGGGTACATGTGCAGGATGTGCAGGTTTGTTACATAGGTAAACATGTGCCATGGTGGTTTGCTGCACATAACAATCCATCACCCACATATTAAGCCCAGCACCCATTTGCTGTCCTTCTTGATGCTCTTCCTCCCCCAAACCTGCTAACAGGCCCCAGTGTGTGTTGTCCCCCACCAATGTGTCCATGTGTTCTCATTGTTCAGCCCCCACTTATAAGTGAGAACACGTGGTGTTTGGTTTCCTGTTCTTGCGTTAGTTTGCTGAGGTTAACGGCTTCCAGATTCATCCATGTCCCTGCAAAGGACATGATCTCATTTTTTTGGGGGCTGCACAGTATTCCATGGTGTGTATGTCCCACGTTTTCTTTATCCAGTCGACTGTTGATGGGCATTTGGGTTGATTCCATGTCTTTGCTATTGTGAATAATGCTGCAATGAACATACACATGCATGTATCTTTATAATAAAATGATTTATATTCCTTTGGGTGTATACCCAGTAATGGGATTGCTGGATCAAGTGGTATTTCTGCTTCTGGATCTTTGAGGAATCACCACACTGTGTTCCACAATGGCTGAACTAATTTACATTCCAAAGGGAACTCTTATATACTGTTGGTGGGAATGCAAACTAGCACAACCACTAGGGAGAACAATATGGAGGTCCTTCAAGAAACTACAAATAGAACTACCATATGATTCAGCAATTCTACTACCAGGATTTTTTCCAAAGGAAAGGACATCATATATCAAAAATACATCTGCATCTTCATATTTATTGCAGCACTACGCACAATAGCCAAGATATGGAATCAACCTAGGTGTCTAATAATAGATAAATGGATTAAGAATATGTGGTATATACATGCCATGGAGCACTATTTAGCCATATAAAAGAATAAAATTCTGTCATTTGCAGTAATATAGATGGAACTGGAGAACAGTACGTTAAGTAAAATAAGCCAGTAACAGAAAGTTAAACATTACAGTTCTCACTCATATGTGGAAGCTTTAAAAAGCTTGTTTTATAGAAGTAAAAAGTAGAACAGAGGATACTAGAGTCTGAGAATGGTAGGTAGAGGGAGGGATAGGGAGGATAAGACTCAATGCTGTCCTGAATTCAGGTCTGACCCAGCACAGTCCCAGTGGTGGTAGCCACAGATGTGCTTGTGTCACCCCTCCTCTAAATCCAGGTGGCTCAGCACAGAAAGAAAGAGAGACTCCATTTGTTTGGGAGAAAGGGAGGGAAGAGAACAAGAGCATCTGCCTGTTAATCCAGACAACTCTTCTAGATCTTATCCAAGACCACCAAGGCGGTACCTCTACAAGTCTACAAAAACACAGTGTTAGTGGGCTTGGAGTATCGCTTAATGCAGGTACAGCTGCAGCGACCACAAACTTAGGTTACAACACCCAATTTCCTTCAAATATCTGGAAAATCTTATAAAAAAGGATGAGTATAAATGAGCCCAGACTGTGACGACTACAATAAATACCTAATTCTTTAATGCCCAGACACCAATGAACATGCACAAACATTAATATCATTCAGGAAAACATGACATCACCACATGAACCAAATAAGGCACCATGGACCAATCTCAGAGAAACAGAGATATGTGACCCTTCAGACAGAGAATTCAAAATAGCTGTTTCGAGTAAACTTAAAGAACTTCAAGATAACACAGAGAATGAATTCAGAATCCTACCAGATAAATTTAACAAGGAAATTGAAATAATTTAAAAGAGTCAAGCAGAAATTCTGAAGCTGAAAAATGTTAACTGGCACTGAAAAATGCATCAGAGTTCTTTAACAGCAGAACTGATCAAGCAGAAGAAAGAATTAGTGACCTGGAAGACAGATTTTTTGAAAACAGTCAAATGAGACAAAAAAAAAAAAGAATAAAAGATGAAGCACACTTACAAGATCTAGAAAATAGTCTCAAAAGGGCAAATCTAAGAGTTATTGGCCTTAAAGAAGAGGTAGATATGGACATAAAGGTAGAAAGTTTATTCACAGGGATAATAACAGAGAACTTCCTAAACCTAGAGAAAGATATCAATATCCAAATACAAGAAGGTTATGGAACACAAGCAGATTTAACCCAAAGACTATCTCAAGATTTTTAATAATCAAATTCCCAACTGTAAAGGATAAAGGATCCTAAAAGCAGCAAGAGAAAGAAACAAACAATGGAGATCCAATATGTCTGGCAGCAGACTTTTTAGTGGAAACTTTACAGGCCAGGAGAGAGTGGCATAACATATTTAAGGTGCTGAAGGAAAATATTTTTATCCTGGAATAGTATATCTGGCAAAAATATCCTTCAAACATGAAGGAGAAATAAAGACTTTCCTGGACAAACAAAAGCTGAGGGATTTCATCAACACCAGACCTATCCTACAGGAAACGCTAAAGGGAGTTCTTCAATCATAAAGAAAAGAATGTTGACAAGCAATATGAAATCATCTGAAAGCATGAAACTCACTGGTAATAGTAAGTATACAAAAAAAACCCACAAAATATTATAACACTGTAATTGTGGTGTGTACACTACTCATCTGTTAAGTAGAAAGATAAAAAGATGAACCAATCAAAAATAATGACTACAATGACTTTTCAGGACATAGATAGTGCAGTAAGATATAAATAGAAATAAAAATTTAAAAGTGGGGAGAAGAGGCCAGGTGTGGTGGCTCACACCTGTAATCCCAGCACTTTGGGAGGCCGAGGTGGGTGGATCACAAGGTCAGGAGATTGAGACCATCCTGGCTAACATGGTGAAACCCCATCTCTACTAAAAATACAAAAAATGAGCCAGGTGTGGTGGCGGGCACCTGTAGTCCGAGCTACTCAGGAGGCTGAGGCAGGAGAATGGCATGAACCCAGGGGATGGAGCTTGCAGTGAGCTGAGATCGTGCCACTGCACTCCAGCCTGAGAGACAAAGCAAGACTCCATCTCGAAAAAAAAAAAAAAGTGGGGAGAAGAAGTTAAAGCATACAGTTTTTATTAGTTTTCTTTTTACTTGTTTGTTAGTTTATATAATCAGCATTAAGTTGTCATCAGTTTAAAATAATGAGTTACAAGATATTATTTGCAAGCCTCATGGTAATTTGAAATCTAAAAACATACAATGGATATACTAAAAATAAAAAGCAAGAAATTAAAATACCAGAGAAAGTTATCTTCACTAAAAGGAAGATAAGAAGGAAGAAAAGAAAAAAGAGAAGACCACAAAATGACTGGAAAACAAATAACAAAATGGCAGGAGTAAATCCTTATTTATCAATGATAACATTGAATGTAAATGGACTAACTCTTAGATCAAATGACATAGACTAGCTGAATGGATAAAAACAAAAAACAAAAAAAACCGAGAATCAATGATCAGTTGACTACAAGAAACATAATTAAACTATACAGATATATATAGACTGAAAATAAAGGGATAGAAAAAATTATTTTATGTAAATGGAAACCAAAAAAGGGCAGGAATAGCTATACTTACATCACACAAAATGGATCTCAAGACAAAAACTATAAAAACAGACAAAGAAGGAAAGAAGATCATGATATAATGATAGAAGTCAATTCAGCTAGAAGATACAACAATTATAAATATATGTACACCCAAAATTACAGCACCCAGATATATAAAGCAAATATTAATAGTGCTAAAGAAAGAGAGATAGACTGCAATACAATGATAACTGGCTACTTCAACACCCCACTCTCAGCACTGGAAAGATCATCCAGACAGAAAATCAATGAAGAAATATCAGACTTAATCCATACTATAAGGCCAAATAGACATAACAGGTATTTATAGAACATTTCATCCAAGAGCAGCAGAATACACATTCTTCTCCTCAGAATACGGATCATTCTCAAGGATAGACCATATGTTAGTCCACAAAACAAGTCTTAAAATATTCAAAAAATTGAAATAATATCAAGTATCTACTTTGACTACAAGGGAATAAAACCAGAAATCAGTAACAAAAGGAATTTTGGAAACTATATGAACACATGGAAATTAAACAATAAGCTCCCAAATGACCAGTGGGTCAATGATGAGATTAAGAAGAAAATTGAAAATTTTCTTGAAACAAATGATAATGGAAATACAACATACAAAAACCTATGGGATACAGGCTGGGTGCGGTGGCTCATGACCGTAATCCCAGCACTCTGGGAGCCTGAGGTGGGCTGATCACTTGAGGTCAGTAATTCAAGCCTAGCCTGGACAACATGGCAAAACCCCATCTCTACTAAAAATACAAAACAAAACAAAACCCATGGGATACAGTGAAAGCAGTACTAAGAAAAATTATAGCTATAAGTGCCTACATCAAAAAAGAAGAAAAACATCAAATAAACAACAGAAAAATGCATCTTAAACAACTAAAAAAGCAAGACAAATCACACCCAAAGTTAGTACTAGAAAAGAAGAAAGATCAGAGCAAAAGTAAATGAAATTGAAACAAAAAATACAAAAGATCAATGAAACAAAAAGTTGATTTTTTTAAAGATAAACAAAATTGACAAGCCTTTAGCCAGACTAAGGAAAAAAGAGAGAAGCCCCAAATAAATAAAATCAGAGATGAACAAAAATAAGACATTAAAACAGATACTGCAAAAATTCAAAGGATCATTACAGGCTACTATGAGCAACTACATGACAATAAATTGGAAAACTTAAAAGAAATGGATAAATTCCTAGACACCTACCAACTACCAAGACTAAACCATAAAGAAACTGCAAACCTGAACAAACCAAATTAACAAGTGGCAAGATTGAAGCTGTAGTAAAAAAACTCTCCCAGCAAAGAAAAACCTGGGACCTGATGACTTCACTGATAAATTTTATCAAACACTTAAAGAAGAACTAATACCAATCCTATTCAAACTATTACTAAAAATAGAGGAAGGGGGAATACTTTCAAAGTCATTCTATGGGGCCAATATTACCATGACACCAAAACCAGACAAAGACAAGAAAGACAGACAAGAAAAAGAAAGAAAGAGAGAAAGAGAGAAAAGAAGGAAAGAAAGAAAGAAAGAAAGAAAGAAAGAAAGAAAGAAAAAGAAAGAAAGAAAGAGAGAAGGAGAGAGGGAGGAAGGGAGGGAGGGTGAGAAGGAAGGGAGGGAGGAAGGAAGGAAGGAAGGAAAGAAGGGAGGGAGGGAGAGAGAAAGAAAAAGAAAGAAAAGAAAGAAAGGGAACTACAGGCCAATACCTTGGATGAATGTTGATGCAAAAATCTTCAACAACATACTAGCAAACTGAATTCAACAACACATTAAAAAGATCATTCACCATTACCAAGTAGGATTTATCCCAGAAACGCAAGGATGGTTCAATATATGTAAATCAATCAATGTGATACATCATATTCACAGAATGAAGGACAAAAACTATATGAACATTTCAACTGATGCTGAAAACCCATTTGATAAAATTCAACATCTCTTTATGATAAAAACCCTAAAATAACTGGGGATAGAAGGAACATACCTCAACAGAATAAACACCACATATGACAGACCTACAGCTAGTATCTGAATGGGAAAAAACTGAAAGTCTTTTCTCCAAGATCTGGAACAAGGTAAGGATGCCTACTTTCACCATTGTTATTCAACATAGTACTGGAAGTCCTAGCTAGTGAAATCAGACAAAAGAAATAAAGGAAATCCAGACTGGAAAGGAAGAAGTCAAATTATCCTTGTTTGCAGATCATGCGGTCTTATATTTGGGAAAACATAAAGACTCCACCAAAACACTATACATTATTAAAACTGATGAACCAATTGAGTAAACCTGCAAGATACAAAAGCAACATACAAAAATCAGTAGCATTTCCATATGCCAACAGTGAACAATCTGAAAAATAAATCAAGAAAGTAAGTAATCCCCAAAAGTCTCAGCTGGCAAGACGGCTGAATAGGAACAGCTCTATCTGCAGCTCCTGGTAAGAATGACGCAGAAGGCAGGTGATTTCTGCATTTCCAATTCATCTCATTGGGACTGGTTGGACAGTGGGTGCAGCCCACAGAGGATGAGCCGAAGCACAGTAGGGTGTCACCTGACCCAGGAAGAGCAAGGGGTCAGGGGATATTCCCCCTCCAGACAAGGGAAACTGTGAGAGACTGTACCAGGAGGAATGATGCACTCCAGCCCAGATACTGCACTTTTCCCATGGTCTTCGCAAGCGGCAGACCAGGAGATTCCCTCTGGTGCCTACACCACCAGGGCCCTGGGTTTCAAGCAAACACAAAACTGGGCAGCCATTTGGGCAGACACCAAGCTAACTGCAGAAGCTTTTTTTTCATACCCCAGTGGCACCTGGAACACCAGTGAGACAGTACCCTTCACTCCCCCGGAAAGGGGGCTGAAGCCAGGGAGCCAAGTGGTCTGACTCAGCAGGTCCTGCCCCACAGAGCCTAGCAAGCTAAGATCCACTGGCTTGAAATTCTCGCTGCCAGCACAGCAGTCTGAGGTCAACCTGGGTCACTCAAGCTTGGTGGGGGGAGGGGAGTCCACCATTGCTGAGGCTTGAGTAGGCAGTTTTACCCTCTCAGTGTAAACGAAGCCACAGGGAAGTTCAAACTGGGCAGGACTACCACAGCTCAACAAGGCTCCTGTGGCCAGACTGCGTCTCTAGATTCCTCCTCTCTGGGCAGGGCATCTCCGAAAAACAGGCAGCAGCCCCAGTCAGGGACTTATAGATAAAACCCCCATCTCCGTGGGACAGAGCACAGGATTATAAATCATTCTACTATAAAGACACATGCACACGTATGTTTATTGCAGTACTGTTCACAGTAGCAAAGACTTGAAACCAACCCAAATGCCCATCAATGATAAACTGGATTAAAAAAATGTGACACATATACACCATGGAATGCTATGCAGCCATAAAAAAGGAAGAGTTCATATCCTTTGCAGGGACATGGATGAAGCTGGAAACTAGCATTCTCAGCAAATTAACACAACAACAGAAAATCAAACACTGCATGTTCTCACTCATAAGTGGGGGTTGAAAAAAGAACATATGGACACAGGGGTTGGGGTGGTGCATCACACACCAGGGTCTGTCAGGGGGTGGGGAGCTGGGGGAAGGATACTATTAGGAGAAATACCTAATGTAGATGATGGGTTGATGGGTGCAGCAAAGCACCATGGCACATGTATACCTATGTAACAAACCTGCACATTCTGCACATATACCCCAGCACTCAGTGTAATAAAAAAAAGAGAAAGTAATCCCAGTTATAATAACTACAAATACAATTAAATAACTAGGAAATATCCAAAGAAGTGAAAAATATCTACAATGGAAACTATAAAGCACTGGTGAAAGAAATTGAAGAAGACACACAAAAAAATGGAAGGATATTACATGTTCACGGATTGGAAGAATTGATATTGTTAAAATGTCCATACTACCGAAAGCAACCTACAGATTCAATGCAATTCCTATCAAAATATCAATGGGATTCTTCACAGAAATAGAAAAAACAATCCTAAAATGTATTTGGAACCACAAAAGACCAGAAATAACCAAAGCTATCCTGTGTAAAAAGAACAAAACTGAAGGAATCACATTACCTGACTTCGAATTATACTACAGAGCTACAGTAAACAAAACAGCATGATACTGGCATGAAAACAGACACATAGACTAATGGAACAGAATAGATAACCCTGAAACAAATGTGTAGATCTACAGTGAACTCATTTTTTACAAAAGTGCCAAGAACATACAATGGGGAAAGAACAGTCTCTTCAGTAAATGGCTGGGAAAACTAAACATTCATATGCAGAAGAATGAAACTAGACCCCTAACTCTCACCATATACAAATATCAAATCAAAGTGAATTAAAGACTGAAATCTAATACCTCAACCTATGGCACTACTACAAGAAAACATTCGGGAGACTCTCCAGGACACTGGACTGAGCAAAGATTTCTGAGTAATACCTCACAAGCACAGGTAACCAAAGGGAAAATGGACAAAAATGAATCACAGCAAGATGAAAAGCTTCTGCACAGTGAAGGAAACAAGCAACAAAGTGAAGGGACAACCCACCAAATGGGAGAAAATATTTGCAAACCATCCATCTGGCAAAGAATTAATAACCAGAATATATAAGGAACTCACAGAACTCTATAGGGAAAAAAATCTAATAATCTGATTTTTAAGTGGGCAAAAGACCTAAGTAGACATTTCTCAAAACACATACAAATAGAAAACAGGCATATGAAAAACTGCTCAACATCACTAATCATCAGAGAAATGCAAATCAAAACTACAATGAGATATCATCTCAACCAGTTAAAATGGCTTTTAGCCAAAAAACAGGCAATAACAAATGCTAGCAAGGATGTGGAGAAAAGGGAACCCTTGTACACTGCTGGTGAGAATGTAAATTAGTACAATCACTGTGGAAAACAGTTTGGAGGTTCCTCAAAAAACTAAAAATAGAGCTAACATATGATCCAGCAATTCCACTGCTAGGTACATACTCAAAAGAAAGGAAATCGGTATATTGAAGAGATAGCTGCAGTCCCATGTTTATTGCAGCATTGTTCACAGTAGCCAAGATTTGGAAGCAACCCAAGTGCCCATCAACAGATAAATGGATAAAGAAAATGTGGTACATATACACAATGGAGTACTATTCAGCTATAAAAATGTATGAGATCCTGTAATTTGCAACAACATGGATAGAACTGGAGGACATTATGTTAAGCGAAATAAGTCAGGTACAGAAAGACAAACTTCACATATTCTCATGCATATGTGGGAGCTAAAACTTAAAACAATTGAACTCATGGAAACAGAGAGTAGACAGAGGTTACCAAAGGCTGGGAATGGTAGTGTGTGGGATGGTGGGTGAGGGGCGTGGTTAGTGAGACAAAGAATAAATGCTTGAGGTGATGAATACCTCATTTAGCCTGGTGATAATCGTGTAATTATTACACATTGTATGCCTGCATCAAAATATCTCATACACCCCATAAATATATATACCATGTACCCACAGAAATTAAAAATAAACCAGTTTTTAAAAAGAAATTATTGTCAAATAAAATGTGATAACAATATTTAAGTTATGCTTAAATAATGAGTCTTTATATCTTAGAAAGACACATCTGAAAAATTTATAAAATGAAATGGTATGATGTCTCAGATTTGCTTCAAAATAACTCAGGAGATAGGGAATGGTTGAGACTACAAATGAAACAAGATTGGCCACAAATTGATAATTATGGAAAATAAATGACAGGTACATGGGTGTTTATCATACTATTTTCTCTACTTTTACATATGTTTGAAGTTTCCCTCAATTAAAAGTTTTTAAAAAGTCAAGTCCAATTTAAATAAAATCTTTAGTGCAATTTAAACCTGTCATTTCATTTATATCTTGTCTTTGACATTCCGCCTCCCACCCCCACATTCAGGTTTAAGCTTTTGGTGGAAAAATAGGGATAGTGGGATAAGATATGTTTTTTTCTTTTTCTTTTATCCAATCCCTTCTACCTCCTACCCCAACTGGGGGCAGATCAGGGAGAAAAAAAATAGAGGAAACGTGGGTAATACTTTTCTAATTTAGATGGGAATGTTGGTAAGTCCTCCTCAGTTGTTAAATGTCTTTCTCATTGCAGGAGCCCAAATCCTGTCTCTCTCTTTGAAGGAGTGCCCAACAGACAAACACTGTCTCACTGCCTCATTTCCTGATGAAGATGTTCTCTTTAGCTAACCACTTGCAAACACTCTAAGATTTTGCTTCAATGACACAGCCCTAAGGTGCTCAACAAACTTCCTTTTTAGAAAATAACTTTCTTCCATTGATTGGTTCTTTTCAAGGCAACTCTCTTTTTTAAAAATTTATGCTATGGATTTTACATGATGCAAGAAATACAAATATTTGTCATGTGACTACAGGAGACCTCTTTGGTGTTTATATAGAAAAGTCTTGGGTTTCTAATATCAAGATCATACTTTGATTATTACCACCCTAGCTGAATTCTGATACTTAGAAAATGCAATTACCTTTTTTACTTGTATTCATTTATATTTTCTAAATAAGATATGACACACTTATGAGATAGGTTGATGGATAATGAGAGCTTTTTAACAGCTTTATTGAGGTATGATCGACATACGAAAATTATATATATTTAAGGTGAATAACTTGATGTTTTGTTCTACATAAACATTGTGAAATGATCAACACAATTAAGCTAGTTAACATATCCATGATCTCTACATAGTAGAGGTATTGTGTGTGTGCATATCATATATATTAATACGTGTGTGTACGTGTATATATGTGTGTGTGTGTATGTGTGTGTAATTCAGCCTTATAAAACAAAAAAATGCCTGTGCCTGTGATCCCAGCTACTTGAGAGGCTGAGGTGGGAGAATCACTTGAGCCCAGGAGTTTGAATCCAGCCTGGGCAATATAGCAAGACCCCATCAGAAAAAAAGGAAGGAAATAAGGAAATCTTGCTACTGGAGACAACATGGATGGAGCTGGAGGGCATTATACTAAGTGAAAAACAGCAGTACACAGAAAGAAAACTACTGCATGATCTCACTTAGATGTGGAATCTAAAATAGTCAAATTCATAGAAGTGAGTAGTAGGATGGTGGTTGCTAGGGGCTGGGGGAAGGGGAAATCGGGTGATGCTGATCACAGAGTACAATGTTTCAGTTATGCAAGATGAATAAATTCTGGAGAGCTAGCATACAGCATGATGAAGATAGTTATCAAGACAGTGCTTGCCTGGTTACCTCCCATGGCATCACCGCAGCCTACAGGTAAGATCACTAACCCTTAACCACCAAATGAAGTGAAGGTCACTACCTCAGCTCCCCTCTCTCCAGCCAATCTTTCCATCCATTTCCCTGGGAAGCAGTTTCCAGGCCTTGAACTCCAAGTGACATATCAGTCTCCCAAGAACTCTCCTCTCAAGTCACACTCTGCCAGCAGCACAGGAAGTGAAATGAGGGTCTCCCTTTCTCTTCAGCACCCCCAATCTCTCTAAGTCATTCTTTTGGGTTGTTTCTCATTTAGCTAATGTAGGAGAAGAGCACTTCTAACCTTCCCCTACCAATTCCTTTCCAATGTTCTTCCTCAAAGCACGCTCTAAGCTTCTGTTACATAAGCCGTTGGAGGAGAAGCTACTAGACCAGTATGACCACCACTTGGCAAGCCCTTGGGAGATTTATTTTAAACTGTATCAGACATTTTC
Source organism: Homo sapiens (assembly GCF_000001405.40). Lineage (NCBI taxonomy): Eukaryota > Metazoa > Chordata > Mammalia > Primates > Hominidae > Homo > Homo sapiens. The sequence goes on from NC_000003.12 coordinate 137,684,396, forward strand.
CCAGGTTTGTCAACCAAGTCAACAGGAAAAGTCCCGTTCAACATCCTGTCACTCTCATATTACTTCCAATACTTACCACACCCTGCAAGGTGCATATGTTTCACAGGTAAGAAAACAGATGCTCAAAGACTTGCCCAGGATCACTTGGCTTTTGACTCATGAGACATGGATTTGAACCTGAGATGCCTGACCTTAAAGCCCACACCCTTTGCACTATACCTCAAGATACTCTGGCTCACAGATTAAATCAATCAAAATGCCTTTTTTTCATTCTCAAGCTAAAATATTGAATAATACCCCAATGAGCTGCATAGGACTGCTTCGAGTTCTGTTGCCAGAGAGATATAGTATCCACAGTCAAACTGTCAAATTGCTGGAACAAAAACAAACAAACAAAATATTATCTGCCAAGGAATACAGCAGCAGATTAAGGGCAGTCATTTCTGTTCTTTTCACAGCATCTGTATGAGCAAGATATTGAGAATATTAACCTTGCTTCTGTAAACCTTCATCCAAAAAGTTGCCTGATTTTTGTCCCAGCTATCCTGCTCTGCCTCTCATAAACCTGTCTGGTCACATGTCAGTGGGGTTTTCAGAAACTACAGGACCCAGGAGACAAGGAAGCTGTTGTCCCCATGTTTTTATTATGATTATTGGAGTGGGGAGCACATCCTCTTGGCCCACAGAAATGTACAAACCTTGCCCCTCAAACCCTAGAAGTCTAGCCACCCCCACTGCTGCTCTTTCTTTCCCTCCATCCATCCCAAACCACTCCTGTCAGCCCCCACCTTTAGACTTCCAAGACAAATTCACTATCATTTACCCCCAAACTGTTCTGCCATCACACCTTTTCTAAGTGAATGGCACACCAGAACAGGCCACATAATTTGTGGGGCCTGGTGCAGAATGTAAATGCAGGACTCTTTGTTCAATGATTAGGAATTTCAAGACAGCAACAGCAGAGCATTAAACGAAGTGTGGGGCCTTGTATGACTTTAATTAAGACCTTCAACTCCTCTGTATTACAGTTTATTATTTTCTCATCAGTTGTCCCCACTACACTGTGACCAACTTGAGGACGGAAGATGCACCTTAATCAATTTTGTGTCCTGGCGCTAGCTCAAGCTGGCACAAAGTAGGCTTTCCATAAGGACTGAAATGAATGAATAAATGGGCAAGAGTGTCACTTTTCTTCCACAGCTCTGACCCTGCAAGCTCATTCTGCCTTCTGAAAACGGAAGGAGCAGAGCTGCCCACCTGGAAGTTTGCCAGGATTGGGGCCTATCACGGATGCATGAAACACGCCCATGAAGCTGGTCTTGGGCACCACTATCCACCAGTCACTCAAGCCAGAAACCAGGACATCTCAGTTCCCCGCAGCCCCAACATTCCTTGGCCCCTCATTCACACATATAATAAACTACCCTATTCTATCAATTCTAAAGTTGTAAAAGCACTCAAACTCCTTCTTTCTGTCCTCACTGCCACCACCTCACTTCAAGCCTGAATCATTTTTTACTTGATGTATTAGTTAGGGTAAGGGGCTGACTGCTGTAGCAGAGAGACTCACAATGCAGTGGTCAGAGATTGAAACCAGGTTTATCTCACTCCAAAGCACAAGTCCTTAACCTATACCTGTATTTTCTAAGAAATTGAAGAATATCCTTAAAAAGTGGGACTATAAGAGTATATTATCCAGGGCTCCTTTGGATGCAAGTGATATAAATCCAACTTAAACTAAAAAATAGAGAGGAGGAGGAATTTATTGGTTTCCATAACTAAAGAGTCCAGAGGACAGCTATTTTCAAGCACAGCTAGATCCAGGCATTTGAACAATGTTATCAGGGAGCCATCTCTTGACTTTACTTTTCTTTGTTTGTTGGCCTCATTCCTTCCTACTGCAAATGGCTTTCTTCAGGTGGCAATGGAAGATGAAATACAAGCAGCTCCAGCTCACATGATCGCTTTCATTCCAAGGCCTGGTCCCCAGCTTTGTAGACCTGGATACTTGATCTGACCAGGGTCAGGAGTTGGTGGGACTCAGGAAAGCCAACTTATGCCAATGACAGGACCCTCACAGAGTCATTAGGATGTTCATTAGGATGTTGGTATATTAATTTACAGTGAAGCATTTCAAAACAGGACTCATGGTCTGGAGGCACAAGCCTTGCAGTAAGCTATAAGTCGCACCCACTTCTCTGGCTGAGCAGTGGTTCCTGAAGCTTCCCTGTGGGGAAGCTTTTATGTACCCCAATAGACCCCTTGCCCTAGGGAACTTCCAGTGGGATGGCTCTTCTCCTTCCATTCTCTTAAGGCAGAGTGAGTTTGCAGTGTCAGAGCTCTGGAAGACCGGTGACACTCTTTTTTAACTTATTTACTCCACCCTCATAGAAAACCCACTGTGTGCTGGCTTGAGCTAGCATCAGGACACAAAACTGATTAAGGCAAATTATCTGCCCTCCAGTTGCTCACAGTATAGCAGGGGTGACTGACAAGAAAATAAACTGCAATACAGATCTGTTGAAGGTCTAAAGTTAAGTACAAGATGCAGTGGGGAACATCTAAAATAATGGAGTCCTGGACTGTTCTAGCATTCATCACACTAGGTTTTAGAGCACTCTACGTTCATCTGTCTGTCCCTTATGAGAATATGAACCTTTAAAGGGAAAGGATCATGTTCTATTTCTCTCTATATCCCTAGCACTTAATGCACACTATGGAAATAATAAATGTTTGAACCAAATAAAGGGGTAAAATTAAAAGACTGAGAATTTTTTTTTTCAATATCTGTTAAGCACTCACCAAGTTCAAGGCTCTGTGATTGGTGTGAGGGAAACACAAAGATGACCTATTCTCACTGGGAGAGGGCTCATGGCACTGGAGTTTTTGGAAGTCAGCTGAGACCTCTTACGAACTGGAGTGTTGTGTCTAAAGACCAAAAGTTTCACCCTACTGTCTCCTAGAAGAATTGAGCCTGAGCATAAACTAATTACTCTTCTCTGCCCTGCAACTGAATAGACAAATACCTCTTTAGTTAGTCATTAGGATCTAATCAGAGTAATTTCCATACAAGAATGTGTGTAGATTGAGTTTGTTCTCCAATTGTAACATTTGTGAAATTCAACCACAATTCTACTTATTAATAGTCATTAGGGGTCTATAAATAACGCACAATCCTTTAGGTTAAAAAAAAAAAGCTGTGAGCTTAGCTGGTTTGAAATGTAAACAGGCTATTCATGAATTTGCACACTGTAATTCCCTGTTTGGCCTCTGGCCAACATTCATTCCCTGGAAGTGGCCACTGATAGAAACGTTGTATGTCATCTGATGATGAGTCCTGGCAGGTCAAGATCTAGATTTGTAGATTTACAATCCAGTAGTCTGCAACTCTCTTTCACCCATTAACTTAAGAAATATTGATTGATCCCTTCAGCATTTGGGTGCCGTGGGTGGTACATGTATGGATGCAGCACAAGTCCAGCCAGGAAAGAATTTAAATTCTGCTGTTAGATGTGGACCTGGATATTAGCAACGTCCAGCAGGGATGCAGGTGGGGAAGGAACGGGAAGGGGGAGTCAGTCTAAGCAAAAGAAGCTGAGATCAACAGCTTAGAGCACAAAATTGAACATTATAAAATATTCCAACTTTTTAAATTGGGAGACTTGACATAAACTTCCACATTTCTAACTTCTCTTGTAAAGTAAGGAGATCTGACAGCACTGAGGCCACCTTCCATTCCTTCTAGCAGCAATCAGTTGTGCCAAGTGTTTCAAAATTCCCCACAGATATTAATCTTCAGGATTCTGGAACAAGAAACTGAAATATTATATTCAGAAATTCCCCACAAATCATGTTGTTCTCAAAAATATTTTCAAAATTCTTCATATACATTACTCATTATTGTGGATATTTTTAAAATTCTTTAATAAATGAATATTGTTTAGCTGTATTTGCAAATAAATGTAGGCCATAGTAAACACTACAAAGGCCAGGGAGAATCACTGGGTAGTACCAAATGGATCTAGCAAGGTTCACTGCACTACACAGAACCATATGTCAAAATTGCCTATTAAGGACTGACTTTGCTTTGAAATTTGTTTTTTCTTGGAACAGCCATTCACAGGATTTAAGTATGCTATTCATATAAACTTACTAATATTTATTTTATTTGGAAGATTGACACACTCTAAGTAGAATACAAGGCCACAAACACACACTTAAAATATGGGACAAGTCATAAGAAAGATTGACCAATTAGATCATAAAGGCTACTTAAATCTTCATCACTTCTCTCCTCCATGCTCCTGTACTTATTCCTTGAAAAGTTAACCTTAATCTTCAATTCCATATATCAGCATTTACTGCTCCTGTTTTCAACTTGACATCAGCGATTTCTTTGAACCAGTTATATCTACATTGATTGTTAAAGTTTGATTCTTGGCAAAGAGCTGTAATACCTTTTCTTGACTTATTGACTGATTTTTCTCAGGATTCTGGATTCAGAGAAACATGCATTTTCTAAGAAATCCTAGAACAGAATTCCTGCATGGAGACATGAGTTGGATCTCAGCAGCAGCTACTACCTTAGTTATGGAATGTGTGTTGTGTAATTCTCCGGAGTTCACAGTAGCCTTTACTTCTGTCCTCTAAATTGAGACCAAGTGTTGGGTACCATTGATCATGCTTCTTCCAGTTATATGATCTGCCTGGCTCCAACTTTTTCTCTGGGCTTAGGGGGATGAAGGCCAGGGACATTCAGAGACACTGCAAAAGGAGCAGCTGCTTTGAGTCAGGTAAGTATAGACCATAGGGAAATATTGCTGGAACATCATTAGTTGTCAAGCTAAGACATTTATCTTACCTGGTGGGAAGCTATTGAAGGTTTTAGAGAAGTGTGTCCCACCACCAAAGCCATGCTTAGGAAGATCAATCTGGTGCCAGCCTGTAAGATGGCCTCAGAGGCCATGGGCGGAAGCCAAGCAGTCCATAATGGGGATTTCTTGCAGGAGGGAATGAAAGCTTGAAACAAGGCTCAGGCAGTAAACCAAAGAGGAAAGGAAGGACACTGAGTCCCCTGTGAGGGAGAGTGGGCAACACCTGGCTACTCATTGGAAGGGAGTGCTGAGGGGAAGGCTCTGAGGTTTTGAATCTACAGGTTCTGAGCCATCCAGCCAGAATAAGGACTCCAGAGAAGGGAGTACCAAGGCCACCGGACAATAAGGTCCAGTTGCCCTGGGTCCCCCTCAGATGTGTTCACAGGCAGAGCGATGAGGAAGGGGTCCTGCACATCTTCCACACCTTTGCCCTATACACATCTCACTTTCTTCTCCCTTTTACAAAGCTCTCAAATTTCAATTGACACCATCTTCATATCTGCTAGCCATAGAAAGGCAGATAAACTTTATTTCAAAGAAAGGACTCTTACAAGTGATTAAAATCTTTTATTCACCCCCTCGCCATTAATATGGTCTATGTTCCAGCCAGGGAAAAAGATGGGATGCTGTCTCCAATGCAAGGACTTGCCTAGTGTCCTTATAGGATTTTTGTATAAAACTTCGACTGGTGTCCTCACCTCAAGTCCCAGGCCCACAGCACACCTGCTTCCCACCAGGCTGCACACTGCATCCATCAGGCCCTCTCTGAGTCCTCCCCAGCCCTCCTCAACCCTGAATAATTCAAGTCCTTCACAGAGCCCTAGCTGCAGCTACCCATTACCTGGGAGAGTTAATAAGAAATTCACCTTCCCTCCCTGGCACAAATGACTTCCAGTCAGTTCATTCTCACAGGAAATAAATTTTAAAATGGAAATTAAACAAAACAATTGCTAGCAAAGGTAATAACATGTCACCCCTGCAATCTGCCTCTGAGAGGAATATATTACTATTCCAAGATCGCAGCGGGCTTAGGGAACCACCAACCACCCAACCCGCTCCAGGCTGCAGGGTTTTGCAGTGCTGGGTGGGCTGGCCCTGTGGCTCAGGTGTCCATGCACTGGTGCCCATCAAGCTGCTGAATGGATCTCAAAACCACATATCTACTCCTCAAAACACATGGGCTACACATAGGTAAAGGCCTCTGCACTCACTTCTGAGTTCTCTGTGGCCTAGAGTTGTGATGCCTTTGTCCCTAGGACTGTGCCCAACACCAGTCAAGACTTCGGGGACTATAACACAGTGATTAGGAGACAAGATTGTAGTGGATACAGGCTCTTTCATTTACTACCTGTGTGACCTTGGGCAAATTACTTAAACTCTCTAAGCTTTGGTTCCTTATCTGTTAAATAGGATAAAAAAAAAAAAAAAACCTACCTCTTAGGATTACTATGAAAGCAAATAAATTAATGCTTGCAAAGCCCAGTGCTTCACAGATCATAAGTGCTCAATAAATGTCAGCTTTTATTATTATTCTATTTTTTAAAGGCCTCCAGGGTTGAGACAGATATTCCACAATGTAAAGCAGGTCCCATGTGATTTATTATTTAGAATTGTATATTCTATTTAAACATGCAGTGTGTTTCTTTAAAAGGCATCATATCTTTAAACAAAACTTACAGAGTTGGAAATCTGAGTCAGGAGTTGAGTAACAAAATTGAGTAGAGATGTCTGTTAAACAGCTTAGAATTCACGGACCAGAAAAATCACAAAACTTGAATTGAAATGCTACTAGAAGTGGTTCCAGGCTACATACATATAAATGTACAGGCAGGATTGCTTATTTTTTACTGGAGGAGAAAAACCTGAGACAATATTTATATAAAAAGAGATAAAGACTGTAATCAAATAACTAACCGGAAGGACTAAGAAAGCAACATAACTCCTACTTGCTGATTCATATAAGCACGTAACTAAAGAATATTGACATGATAGAAAAACCCTCACAGCGATTTGGATGCCAAACTTTGTCTGTGTTCCAAAGTGAATGTTTTTATCCTGTGGGGAAGTTTCATCATGAATCAGGTTGTTTTTCACTTAACCCTGGGATAAAGGATCAGTTAATTTTACAAGAAAGGTTTAAATAAAAGCTAGATGAAAACCTTAAAGTTTGACATGACTATATCTCCACCTTGTGATGGAATACTATGTGGCCAGTAAAAATGATGGCAGAACTGTTAGTGGGATGTACATACCACCTAGCTGAAGGACAATTCGACAATACATATATTTAAAATATTTAGGAATTTGTGCACCCTTTGATAGAATTCCATCTCCATTACTTAATTTTAAGAAAACAATCTTGACAGTATATAAAGAGAGAAGCACAATGATATTGAGGATCTTCATCAAAATGTTTTTCATTGTCATTAAAAGTTGTCTATAAGTTAAAAAATGAACATTAAAACATTTGATCAACTGTTTAGCTCATATGGATGTGTTTTCTTGCTATTATTTGATAAAATTTTCCCCAGTCACATCCTACCTTTGTGTTTTATCTTGCCCAGGTCTATCAGGTGCCAAGCAAGGAGATACTTTAACAGTGATTGAGCTTGAGCTCTGGGGCCACAGGGCCATGGGTTTGAATCCTACCTTTGCTGCTTGCCTGGTGCATGTTCCTTAACTTTTCAATCTCTTCATCTGTAAAATAGGAATGATAATAATACTTACCTAATAAGGTTAGGAAGAAGATTAAATGAGTTAATGTGATATCAATTATACAGAGTAAGGCCCAATATTTACCGTGTTCCAATAAATGTTAGCTATCATCAATAGAGCCTTTTTTTTTTAAGACAGAGTTTGGTTCTGTCACCCAGGCTGGAGTGCAATGGCATGATCTCAGCTCACTGCAACCTCCGCCTCCTGGGTTCAAGCAATTCTCCTGCCTCAGCCTCCTGAGTAGCTGGGACTACAGTCATGCACTACCACACCCGGCTAATTTTTGTATTTTTGGTAGAGACGGGGTTTTGCCACGTTGGCCAGGCTGTTCTCAAATTCCCAGCCTCAGGTGATCTGCCTGCCTTGGCCTCCCAAAGTGCTGGGATTACAGGCATGAGCCACCGTACCCGGCCAATTCAGCCAATATTTCTGACATCATCACATCAAACACATCTGGACTCTAAATCCCATGAGCCCTCAATTAATATTTAGCTAAATCACTTGTGAAATTGTCAGGAACATGAACATGATTGGATGTTCATGTTCCTGATAATTCTTCAGTGCTTACACTGATGATCTAGAAATGGTGACACTTCGCAGAAAATCAGAGATGATACCCTCTCTCCCTAGTACACTCCTCAGTATAGAGCTCAACATTCAAAACAACCTTAGACATTCCTTAGACCCAAAAGATCCAAGACCAGGGTCTGCAAAGCATAGACAGCCAAGAGTCAGTGTACCCAGCCTGTTCTTCTAGGAATCTTCTGCTGGACCAAATTCTAGGAATAAACATCAATCCGTTAGAGCAGGGGCCCAAAGTAGATAGGAGCCCTAGCCAGAATCCATATTACCCATTTTAGTCCACACTGTGTTTTAATTTTTCTAAACATGTCAACAATTAGTTAGTAGGTTCCACATTAACATTTCAGGCTTCTGAAATACAAGAAGAGTTGGCCACACCGGGCCCTCATTTCCCAAAGGCAGTAATCCCTGGAAGCTGAGCAGCAGCTGCCCCCTTCAGGCAGGGCATGGGATCTCCAATCTGCCACAGTCTCGGTCCACTAGCTTGACTTACCTATATTTGCTGAGCCCTGAAGGCACTTGGTTTTCTGACCCTGCTCCACACCATGCATTTGTGTGTGTGTGTGTATGTGCACATACGTACGTGTGTACACACCTGTGGTGGGGAAGGGTCTTGGCTGGAGTATATTGTTGGGAGTCTCCTAGGACTTAGGAATGTTTTAAAAGATGGAGGCAGGCTTTAGCAGCACCAATGGAAGTGCTTTTAAGTAAGCAGGATATTTGGGGTGCAGGGTTTCTAAACACTACTTGCAAGCTATGACTGTGTGGGCCAGGCCGTAGGCAGTCTCGCAGGGCTGGTTAGAAGTTACAGAATTCCTGTGCTGTCCCCTGTCAGCAAAGTGCTGAGACAACAAACTTAACCTCTCTGTCCAGAGTGAGCCTATCAGCCATGGTTATTAAATCCCACAAAAGGGAGAAGAGGAGAAGTGAATAGGGCTGAAAGAAAAAGCACTTTCCCCATTTGGATAGCTGTGCAGAACAGGAGCTGCTGGAGAAAGGCACGGAGTGTAATTGCTGGCCTGAAAGAAAAAGAAAAACTATAAAAGGAAAGAAAGAAAGGCGGGGGGAGGAATTGATAATGAACAATTTATTCTCAGAGCTAACAGTTAATTAATTCTGAAAATATCTGTCAGGCTAATAGAAATGGGGGGAGGGCTATGCCACATACACAATTAATAAAATAATAATAACAAAAAAGGAAAGAAAAAAGATTTTTTAAAGGTGTTACTATCTTCTTACAGGCTGGGCCCTTGGCTTCCCAATGTCATTTTCAACACAATTTTTTCCCCTCCATCTCTTTTCAGAAATTGTTCTCATGAATGATTTATATATGTCTAGTTATCTGGAGTGATTTCTATGGACCCCAGCGCATTGCTGCATAATTGTTAATTTTAACGCCATAATAGCTTCAGATGGAGGAAGAGATTAGGCATTTATTGCACAATTAAATGAAACATACTTGAGAATCACAAAGGGTTCCATAATTATTTCAGACCATTAATAAAATGGGCATTAAATTATATGGGACACAAAAGGGAAAGGAAATAGATTTTCATTACAGCAATAGAAGCTGAGAGTAGTAATAGATCCTTGTTGAATTATCTTTCTCTCTCTCTCTCTGAAATTAATTGTTGCCCAGCTTATTTCAAAGCAAAATAAAGGAGGGGAAAAAAAGTGTTTTAAAGAACCTCTGATGAAAGGGCTTTGTTTGATGGGGACAATAGCCAGTGATACACTCCAAAAAACAAGGTAATCTTTGATTCTGGCTCCTTGCCTTTAGTTCTGAAGACTTAAAAGGCAGTGTATTCAGCAGCATGGGGCTTCCCCACCCCTACCCAACTCCCAACACAACATGAAGATTCGGGTGGGATAGGGAAAGGTGGGGATGTCAAGGAAGGGTGGGCCACTGCTTCTCTTTTCAACTGCTCCTGAGGGGAGAACTCAGACCATTATACATGACTCCACACTGCTTGACGACACTAAGATTATCCAGCTTGAACTTCTTGAAAGAGAATAAAAATGGAAGGAAAGTCACTTCATTCATTGTGTTATTTATTCAACATGTGCTAATCTTCACACCAATATTATGAGGAAGGTACTATTATTATCCCCATTTTACAGTTGAGGAAACTTGAGATGGTTAAGAAATTTCCCAAGGTCCTACATGCACTAAAACAGCATTTTAAAACAAAGGAAACAGTGTCCCTGCCCTCAAAGTACTCATTTTCTAGTCGGGGGAGACAGACAAGCGCACAGAAAAGTCTGATACCATGTCACTTACTGCTGGACCTGTGAGCTGCACCCAGACGCCAGCACAGATCTGTTGTTGCAGCAGCAGAAAACGCAGTGGGATGAAGCCCTCCCTCTCCTTTTCCTTCACTGTACTAACGTTATATCTTCCCAACAGAATTCAAGCCAGTGCTCCCTCCATTACTGTAATGTGATCTACCTTTGTCCCTTGGGGGTCCTGTGAGCAGGATCCCTGCCTAACTCTCTTTGGCATTAATGGCAAGATGACAAAAGGAGGCCAGCGTCCCTGGAGTGGTCTTCAATCCACATAGGCTGCCTCTGCTACGAAGTAATGACCATGATGAAACTAGTGTGGCCGCTGCTTTAAACTAGAGGCATTAGAGTAAGGACTAAAGGTCAAAAACTCTAGTGTGAAAGCTGCAGCAGACCTCAAGCAACCAAGAAGCTCCTGCCATGGATATTGCGCTATCACTATTATCTCAGGCCTCTGAATGTCACTCTGGTATCCAGGCATGTCTGTTGCTGGCTCTACCTGAAATCTGGTGGGGCTATACCTCAGAATCCAGAACTATAAACCGAACGTCTCTGTCCTGATGCCACAGTTCAGCTTCACAGGGTCTGCCCAAGGCTGCCCAGAAACACTAACCTTTTACTCCAAAACCTCAGCTCTTTGTCCCAGCCCACGGATCTTGTAACACTTAACAGGAGTCACGGTGTATAGAACTCAGATCAAAGAGCCCCCTTAACTCCATTAGCAAAACAGAGCTTGGCAATGGGAGCCCAGGATTTAAGGAGATAAGGCACACTGCTCTTTAGAGGAACTCACCCAGAAGTAGCGGGAACAGCACAGAAAGGAAGGTAGGGGTCTGAAGATACCTCTGAAAATGACCCAGATGTCAGCATCACGCAGAAGGTCAAGTTAAGAAGGACATGTACCAAGTTAAGTGACTTAGAGCCATGTGAACATAAGACCCATAGCCTATGGATTTCTCTTTTTGACAAGGTAAGCCACTCATAAGGTAATGTTTCACCTGACAATTCTTCCACAATTTGTGTATTAATAAAACTTTTATCTTCTCTATTAAGAAGAATAATCTCCAAGCAGGTAGTAAGAAAAAATGAGTTCTAAGAAAGATAAGGAGAAAATATATGAGCACTTTCAGATCCAAATGAATTACATAGAAGAGACTAAAGAGAACAGAGAGAGGCAAATGCCAAACTGTAATTGGTAATTTTTATGGAATCATGGAGAACAGGGAAGTTCTCAAGAGATTAGGATGTAGACTTAAATAGTCTCAATTTTTACTAAGATAGATTCTTGGGACAGTATATCAGTGGTTTTGAAATGGTTTTTCACCTGCCTTTCACACACAAAAATTCTAGATTTTTATTTAGGTTCAACAAAGAAACTAATAAGGAGGATGTGGTTTATTAAATGAAAAGGTCTAAGGCAAGGGACTTCCTTCCTTGAAGTATGGCAGACTAGATATTCCAAAATGCCTTCCCTGGAGGTCTAATATGACTAGATTCTGAATATGTTACAATAAACACATATTTAAATGTATAAGTGAACTCAAAATAAGTAGGAGAAATTCCTGTTAAAGACAAAACAAAACAACACATAATTTTTTAAAAAATTCATGAGTGATAACCATGAGCAAAATTTTGTGAAGCCTTAAGGGCAAATACCAATTCAGGGACCCAATGTCTTGGGGATTGACTACTGTGCAGGGAAATGGAAGAATAAAACATAGTCAAGAAAAATGTGGGAAATATGCCCAAGATTCTTACATCATGCCAAGACCCTTGAAAAGGGTGGTACCATGGGTGAAATAAGGGGTAAAATTATCCAGCTGCCAATGAAAGGAACCTGCAAGAATTATGTTTGCTCTGCCATGATTCTGGATAGAAAATAACTGCAGCAACAATAATAATAATTATACTAGTCTCTAGAGAATTTGCTATCCTAGACTCTCTTCCATTCAGACCTGGAGTTCAAACGTATAATACTCATAGGTTAGCTAAGAAATTCGAGTAGTTCAGAATTAATAAAAACCTGTCACATCTGGTAATAAGAAAGGGAAACACTCTCTAACTCCTCAGGATTCACATAGATTAAGTTCAAACACAAATTTGTGATACAAAAGGAAAGAAAATACAAAAAGAGTGAGCCACCATTAGGGAGATACAGTAGAAACAACAAACCACAGTTTTGGACACTCTCCTATCCCAAGTATTTTAGTTACTAAAATTGTGTATATAGTTTATAAAATATCTCTGTATAAAATGCTTTTAAAAGGAAAGAAATTTTTAATACAAAATATAAGAAACTATAAAATTATTTGATAAAGGAATCAAATAAAATATTAAAAGTTTATATAATACAATTTTAAAGCTCAGTGGATAGATTATAAAGCAGATTAGATACAGCTGAAAAGAAAATGAATTGGAAGATGAATCTAAAGAAATTACCCAGATTGCAGTAGAGAGAAACAAAGGAAGTAGAATGCATGAAAGAGAGATTAAGAGAGTTCCAGAAGGAGAAAACAATGGGAAAGAGGCAAAAATCAAAGATATGAATTTTCCAGATCTGTTGTAGAATGTGAATCTACAGCTATAGGAAGCCTGACATATACCAAGCCGTATGAAGTTCGTGTGTAGACACGTTATAGTTAAATTACTAAACTCCGGAGATAGAAGTTCTTAAAAGTGGCAACAGAAAAGAAAGGAAAAGAAAAGGAAGGAAAGGAAAGAAAGGAAGAAAGAGAAATCAGACTTAATAAAATGTAAACCTATTGTGCACCAAAAAACATCATTAAGAAAGTTAAAAAGACAACCAACCTAGAGAGTGGGCAAAAATAGCTGAAGTTATATACTTGATAAAGGTTTGGTATCCACAATATATACAACTCATCAACAAAAAGACACATAATCTAATTTTTTTTTTTTTTTTGAGATGGAGTCTTGCTCTGTCGCCCAGGCTGGAGTGCAGTGGCACGATCTTGGCTCACTGCAAGCTCCGCCTCCCGGGTTCACGCCATTCTCCTACCTCAGCCTCCCAAGTAGCTGGGACTAAAGGCGCCTGCCACCACGCCCGGCTAATTTTTTTTGTATTTTTAGTAGAGACACGGTTTCACCGCGTTAACCAGGATGGTCTAGATCTCCTGACCTCGTGATCCGCCCGCCTCGGCCTCCCAAAGTGCTGGGATTACAGGCCTCAGTCACTGGCGCCTGGCCCGGAAATGCAAATTTAAACCATGATGAGATACCACTCCACACCTATCAGAATGGCTTAAATAAACACTATATAGTGATAATAACAATTCCTGATTATGCAGAGAAACTGGATCACGTATACATTGCTGGTGACATAAAATGGCACAGCCACTCCAAAAACTTTGTTTGGAAGTTCTCAAAAATCTAAAAATGCATCTACCCTATGACCCAGTAATTGCAGTCTTGGGCATTTATTCCAGAGAAATTAAGACTTATGTTCACACAACCCAAATATCCTTCAATCGTTAAAAAGTTAAACCATGGTACACCCATATCTTGGAATACTACTCAACCATGAAAAAGAATGAATTATTGATACACACAACAACCTGGATGAATCTCCAGTGAACTATGCAAAGTGAAAGAAGCAAATTGCAATGGATTACAATACTGTATGATTTGTTCTATAGGACATTCTTAAAAAGACAAAATCATAGAAATGGAGAACAAATTGGTGGCTGACATGGGAACAGAGCAGATTGGGCAGGCGTGTGGCTATAAAAGGACAACAGGAGAGGTCCTTGCAGTGAGGAAAATGTTCTGTATTAACTCCACTGTTCTCATTTTGACATTGTACTATTATCTGGAAGATGTTACCATTGAGGGAAACTAAGTAAAGGGCACCTGGAGCTCTCTGTATTATTTCTGACAACTGCTTGTGAATCTACAATTATCTCAAAATATTATAAAAAGTTTAATTAAAAAAAAACTCGTGGGATGAAGCTGAAGCACTAATGAAAGGAAATTTTGTATCCTGAAATGCTGATACTAGAATGAGATATGCATCCTACTTAAAAGGTTTGAAAAATAGCATCCAGATAAATACAAAGAGGAATGATATGACAAAGGGCAGAAACAATGAAATAGAAAACAAAAATAGAATGAATAAAGAAGTTTGTTTTTTTGAAAAGATTAATATAAAACAAACTTATGGTAAGATAAATCTAGCGGGGAAAAAGAAAGAAAACACAAATATTCAATGTTAGGAATAAAAAAAGAAGACAGAATCAAAAGAGATTTAAAAAAAAAACAATCAAAACATACAACTGAGACTTTTATGCCAACACATTTGTAAGCTGAGATGGAATGTACATACTTTTAAAAACTATAACTTTTAAAAACAGTTTCCAGGAGAACCAGAAAGCCTAACTAGATTTTATAATTATCTATTAAAGAAGTTGAATCAGTAGTTTTAAACCTTCCCACAAATAAAACACCAGACCCGATGATTTTATAGTTCACTCCTGCCAACTTCCCAAGGAATAGATCAATTATATGAATTCTTCCAGAGACTAGAAAAAAAATGAAATGCCTCCGACCTCATTTTATGAGATTATTATAATCTTGATATTAAGATCAAGCAAGAAAATACAAGAAAGGAAAAGAGAGTGAGAGAAACTAGGGATAAGGCCTATAAAAGATGTGAAAAAATTTTCTATAGCTAACTATAAAATGATATTGAAAGACATTACAGGAGAATAAAATAAATGGAGAGTTCTACTTTGTTCATAGATAGAAAGGCTAAATATTGTAAAGATGCCAGCTCTCCCCAAATTATTCTATAAATTCAATTGAATTCCAAACCAAATCCCAAGAAAGTTCTTTTTGAAACCTGACAGTCTCATTCTAAAATGTATATGGAAGAGCAAATGGCTCTGACAAATGGTCGAGACATTTCTTAAAAAAACAAGGTAGGATGACTTGCTCTATCAGATTTCAAAATTCTAAAACTAGAATTATTGAATATGGCATTTGTGCAGATGCAGACAAATATGCAAATGGCATAAAAAAAGAGCACTCAAAAACAAACCAATGCATAATTAGAAACTTGGTATATAACTTAAGATGGACATGACAATGACTAGAGAAAGTAGAACTATTTGGTAAATTCAATCCCTATCTACACACACACACACACACACACACACACACACACACACACAAATTTCCAAGTGAATTAAAGATGAGAATGAAAACCTCAAAGCTTTTAGAAAGACATAGGGGAAAGGTTTGATCTTCCTTTTGTTGGTGAAGGTTTGCCTTTACCACCAATCACCTGATCTATCTGGCTATTATCTGTACTATTGCAGGTCTATAAGAAGTACAAAGAGAAGAAGATGTACATAGGTTCTATAATTCTATTGTTCAATCAAGCCTTAAGGACCATTGAGTAAAAGGTCTTTATAGACTGGAATTCTAAGACAAAATTTGCCTTGGGTCACAATAAGAACCTAGTAAGAACATTTCTCTTTCTGGTCTGTGTATGAGAATTGGGCTTTCAAAGCACTCCTCTCTCCAGGCATTCAGTCTGCAAAGGATTGATGATTTCTTGAGTCTGAAGTCAGGATCAGCTTGATCTTAGGGCCAAACCAACTGTCAGACATGTTTGTTAGTAAATTGTGCTACCTCCTGGAATAACTCTGGTTTATGTATTCTCATTCTTGCATATATCTCTCTAAATGTAATGGTTTCATCCAGGACAATTTAGAATTGCGCTAGCTACCAAAACCACTGGAGAGGTTCTGTGGCATCCATGAGAGTGACCTATTCATATCTTCCTTTAAGAGAGAAAGGCTGCAAGGAATGTAGTCAACTGACCTGCCCCGCTTTAAAGATCCACCACATTTATGCCAAGGCCATATCTTCTCCAGGTAGTTCATTTCCAGTAACTTAGCACTGTAGGCATATGAGATCTGGGAAATTCCTGTTCAATATAAGACCCCTCTAACAGGAAACCTTTGCTCTGAACTCCCATTGGCCTGATTGACGCTTTCTCAGAGGCTCTTTATACCCAATCTTCCTCACTCTGTCTCCTTTCACATGTATCATGCCTCCATTGCAGTCCGAAGATTCTCCCTGTTTATTCTATTTTTGCTCTCCTTTTACCCTTTAAGAAGCTCCCCGCTTCACAAATATTTTTCACATGTAATTTGATTTTGCCATCAGCTTCTCAGAAGACCAGAAATGAAATGGGTGCCCCAGAACAAAAAGGGAAGAACCCTTTATGAGAAAATTATCTGCTTCGTCTGATTAAAACATATATTATTTTAATACGAAAGATCACCGTTCTTTGGGGCTTTTATTCATGTAGTCCTCATAAAATTATTAATGTCCTAAGTTGTTTAAACCAACTGTAGCAACTGTCTCTGTCTCTGTCTTTCTCTCCCTCTCTCTCTGGTGTGTTGGGCAGGGGGGGCACGTGTGTGTGTGTGTGTGTGTGTGTGTGTGTGTGTGTGTAAAAATATATCTTCCTGCGTCCAAAGCTCCTTTGGTGGTCTGTAATGACTTCCATATTTGTTTGTAGCCAGCTCCTCTCACTTCCTCTTCTTGTTATACCCCTTTTCCTCTCTTTCTCCCTCTCTCTAGAAGCTTTGAAGATCAAATACTCTTTGAAAAATTGTATTCTTATGTTCAATTCTAAGAACATCAATTCAGATAAATGCATCTAATATGAAATGGGAATGAATCACACTGCAAAATCTCTGAAAATTTAATGGGTTAAGTTCAGGTCCTACTGGCTTCAGGGGAAAAAAATGATATACTAAATACTCACGTAAATTTGAAAAAAAATGCAAGAGTTTTTCAAGGGAAAAAAATTAACTCCTAATTTTTGTTTATTTTGGCTCTTCCAAGGGAAAAATGCCCATTATAACTACACCTCTGAAAAAGAAGTAAAGCTTTACCTGTGAATTGAGTTAATGGCTTTAGTTACTTGGTTACAAGGTAAGAAAGAAAGTGAGATATTGGAAGCTTTTAAACATGATTTAAATAATCTTGAAAGTTTGTTTATAAATTCAAATGTGTTCAAATTGAAATTAATGTAATACTCCTATCAACAGGCTTTGGTCAAATTAGACTCACAATTTTAATTTAAAAGCAACTCTATATCTTCTCCATGTTTTTACCACCTTGTAAAAATAATGTAAATACAATATTCTACTTCATACAAGGGTAGAGTTTATTTTCTCATGACTAAAATTTTCTAAATTTCATATATTTTATAAGTCAAAAAGTTATTTTCACGAATTGTTTAAGATTTCAAAAGTATGTTTAATTAAATTATGTAATAACAGATGTATTTTAAAAAGTTATTGGCTTCACAAATTGATTTCAAAAGTATGTTTAATTAAATTATGTAATAACAGATGTATTTTAAAAGTGTTATGCTAGTGAAATTTTCCTAATGTTACAAATTATAAGAACTTGATGTGTCAACTTGATCCTATAATTTTAATAACCTTGGTTAACTTTAAGATCTTGAATTGATATTAATTTTTGTTAATTTATAAATAACATTTGAATATCTAGACAGCATAATTTTCATTTACCTACACTCTTTTTTCTACATTTTAAAGTAGACATTAGTTAATGTGTCAAAAAAGAATGCACAAATATCTTTACATTTTATTAATATCTATGTTCATTTTTGAAGTAATATAAAAGAATAGTGTGCTGTTAAAGAGATGTATATGCAAAATGATGGATGTTGAGAATGGAAGATAGATAACAGAGACTGGGAAGGGTGAGTAGGAGGAATGGGGGAGGATAAAGAGAAGTGGCTTAAAGGGTCCAGACACATAGTAAGACAGAAGGAATAAATGTTTGATAGCAGATAAGGGTGACTATACTTAACAAAATATATTGTACTCAGGTGACGGGTACCCTAAACACCCTGACTTGATCACTATGCATTATATACATGTAATAAAAGTTATGCACTCCATACATTTGTACAAATAAAAATAATAATGAAGAATATATTTTTGTTTATCAGGAAAAAAGAGAGAGTAATTTTGTCTTAAATAATAACTGGTTGATTGTACCAGGGCATGAAAGAAGATAATAAAGATGAAAAAAATAAACTTTATTTGCCTGGGTTAAAAAAATCCATAAATAATGAGCTTTAAGGAATGTGTGAAACATTGAAAAAGTTATGTTAAATGTGATGGATTTATACATAAGAAAGACCCTTTTCTTAACTGCAAATCATTAGAAAGGTGATTTGAGATTTCCTTGTGTTGAAATGGCCAAGTGAGTTGGTGCCCAGATAACATAGGTCTTTTTTGGCACCACAGTATTTGTTAGCTAGCTATACTTTTGACTGATTCTGGAATCACATTTGAAAAAATACCTTAATTTTGAAAATGGTTAAGTTCTTAATAATTATTATTACTTATTGCTGTTTTTTGTTATGCACATATACAATTGTAGTTGTTAAATATTCTTGAAGCATTAACCCTGTTGTCATTTTGAAGTGACTCTCTTGTCTCTAGTAATACTCCTTGTCTTGAGGTCTATTTTGCCTGATACTCCAGCTTTCTGATGTTTATTGTTTACATGGTATATCTTCTTCAAATTTTTTTCTTTTAATTTATTTGTGTCTTTGTATTTAAAATGTGTCATTTGTAGGCAGTGTATACTTGGTTTTTACTCATTTTAATATCATTTTAATATCACTCATTTTACTCATTTTAATAAAATATCTGCTTTTTGTTTTGACTATTTAGTCCATTTACATTTAATATAATTATTGATATGGATATATTTAGGTCTGCCATTTTGCTATTTTGTATTTGTCTTATTTATTTGTTGTTTCTCTATTTCTCTTTTTCTGTATTTCCTTCTTTTTGTGTTAACCAAACATTTGTTAGTTTTATTTATTTTCATGGGTTTCTAGCTATACTAATTTACATCATTTTTTAGAGGTTGCATCTATAACTTATCTCAATATATTTAGAACTAATATTGAATTACTTCCTGTAATGTAGAAATTTTGCAACAGTATTTTTCAATTCATTTTCCCCATCCTTAGTACTATTGTTTTAATATATAATTTTATATACTACAAACACAATAATACAGTATAATTTGCATTAAATGGTTAGATGTCTTTTAATATATATGTAAATATATAACACATATAGTTATATAGTCATACATTGCTTAACAACAGTGATACATTCCAAAAAATGCATCATTAGGTAATTTCAATGTAGTGTTAATATCATAGAGTGTACTCACACAAACCTAGATAGTATGGCCTACACATACACAATGTGGTATGGCTATTGCTGTTACAGGCTACAAACCTGTACAGCATGTTACTGTACTGAATACTGTAGGCAACTGTAACACAATGGTAAATTCTTGTGTATCTCAACATATCTAAGCATAGAAAAACTACAGTAAAAATACAGTACAAAGTATTTTTTAAAGTGGTACATTGTATATTTTCTGTCACTTACCATGAATGGAGCTTGCAGGACTGGAAAGTTGCTCTGGGTGAGTCAGTGAATGAGTGGTGAGTGAATGTGAAGGCCTAGGACATTATTATACACTATCGTAGACTTTATAAACACTGTACACTTAGACTACACTAAATTTGTATAAAATATTTGTATTTCTTCAATAATAAATTGCTTTAGCTTATTGTAACATTTTTACTTTATAAAATTTTTAAAGTTTACTTTTAAAAAGTAAAAAGTAAAATTTTTTACTCTTTTGTAATAATACTTAGCTTGAAACACAAATACACTCCGCAGCTGTACAAAAAATGTCTTTCTTTATATCCTTATTCTATAAGCTTTTCCTATTTTAAACTTTTTTGGCTTTTACTTTTTAAACTTTTTTGTTAAAAACTAAGACACAACACACACATATTAGCCTAGGCCTACACAGTGTCAGGATCATCAATATCACTGTCTTCCACCTCCATATCTTGTCCCACTGGAAGGTTGTTAGAAACAATAGCATTCATGGAGCTGTCATCTCCTATGATAACATTGCCTTCTTCTGAAATATGTCCTAAAGGACCTGCCTGAGGCTGTTTTACAGTTACCTTTTTTTAATAAGTAGGAGGAGTACACTCTAAAATAACAATGTAAAAATAGTCTAGTAAATACATAAGCCAGTAACATAATCATTTATTATTTTTATCAAGCATTATGTACTGTGCATAATTTTATGTGCTATACTTTTATACAACTGGCAGCACAGTGGACTTGTTTATACCAGCATCACCACAAACACATGAGTAATGAATCGTGTTATGATGTTATGATGGCTATGACATCACTAGGTGACAGAAACTTTTCAGCTCCATTATAATTTTACAATACTGTCACATATGTAGTTTGTGGTTGACTTAAATATCCTTATGCAACCCATGACTGTACATATATACGCAGATATAAATATATAGATATATACATACACATTATTCATTTTTTTGTTACTTCCTATAGATTTAGTGTTAATTTCTCTCTAGGCTGAAGAACTCCCTTTAGCATTTCTTATAGAACAAATCTGCTGGCAATAAATTCTCTCATTTTTTTCTATACAAAAATGTCCTTCTTTTAGGTTTATTTTTAGAGGAGAGTTTCATTGAATAGAAAATGCTGGGTTGACAGTTTTTTCTTTCAGTATTTTGAATATGTCATTCCAATCTCTTCTGACTACCACTGTTTGTTTATTTATTTATTTATTTATTGAGATGGGGTCTCTCTCTGTTGCCCAGGCTGGAGTGCAGTGGCAAGATCTCGGCTCACTGTAACCTCCACCTCCTGGGTTCAAGCAATTCTCCTGCCTCAGCCTCCCGAGTAGCTGGGACTACAGGTACACGCCACCATGTCTGGCTAATTTTTGTATTTTTAATCAGCCCTTTCTTGTATCATTGTTACCATTAGGTAATGTGTCATTTTCTTTAGCTATCATAAAAAATTTTCACTTTTATCATTGTAGTTTAACTATAATGTGCCTAGTTGTAGTTTTCTAGGTAGTTTACTAAGAGTATGTTCTTGTATTTATTCTGTCTGTGATTTGTTAAGCTTCTTGTATCTGTAAATTACTATTTGTCATAAAGTTTGGAAAGTTTTCATCTATTATTTTAAAAATATTTTGTTCCTTTTTCACCTTGCTTTCCGGGACTGCAATGACATGTATTAGATCATTTCATATTATCCCACAGGTCTGTGACGTTCTGTTCACTTTTCTTCAATCTTTTTTCTCTCATCTTTGAAGTGGATAATTTCCATTTATTTATCTTCAAGTTCACCGATTCTTTTTTTGCCATCCTCAGTTTTCTGTTGAGCTCATCAGGTATACTTTTCATTTCAGTGGTTGTACTTTCAGCTCATAGATAGATACATAATAGATTCCATTTCACTGATAATATTTTTATATTTCACTTATTAAAATTATTTTCCTTTAATTTTTTAAATGTATTTTTCTTTGAGTCTATGAACATATTTTTGATAGCTATTTTGATGTCTGTCTGCTAAATCCCACATTTGGTCCCTCTTAAAGACAGTTTCTATTTACTTAGTTTCTTAATGAGTACAGATCACACTTTCCTTTTTCTTTGCATTTCCATAATTTGACTGAAAACTGAACATTGTAAATAACACATTGTGGCAATTCTGGATTTGGCTGCATCTGAAAATTGTTGGATTTTGGCCGGACACGGTGGCTCAAGCCTGTAATCCCAGCACTTTGGGAGGCCAAGGTGGGCGGATCAGAGAGTCAGGAGATCGAGACCATCCTGGCTAACATGGTGAAACCCTGTCTCTACTAAAAATACAAAAAAAGAAATTAGCCAGGGGTGGTGGTGGGTACCTGTAGTCCCAGCTACTTGGGAGGCTGAGACAGGAGAATGGCATGAACCCGGGAGGTGGAGCTTGCAGTGAGCCGAGATTGCACCACTGCACTCCAGGCTGGATGACAGAGCGAGACTCCGTCTCAAAAAAAAAAAAAAAATTGTTGGATTTCTTTATATTAGTCAGTTAACATGCCTGGACTAAAACTGCAAAGCTTGAATCCTCCACTGTGTGCTATAGTTATATACATATATATAGTTATATAGTCATACATTGCTTATCTTGTCTCTGTTCAGTTTTTATGGCTTCTTCCAATGCTTTTTGTTTTTCTGATGCTTTTTTAGCCTGGCCCCCTTAGGAACTCCAGTGAACCCACGTAATTTGAAGTATCAGAGAGAAAATTAAGCAAGGTTCCTCCCCTCAAGCTCAACATTTACTGAGAAAACAAAAAAAAATAAGTAGGCAGTATCAATATCATCCGACTAATTATTTAATAAAAATATGCAAAGGGCATACAAGTAGTTCAGAGTAGAAAGCACTTAACTCTAAAAGAAACAAGTGATCCAGGAAAACTTTATAGAGAAGCTGACACCGAGGCTGGATTTTGAAAAGTAAGTAGTAATTCAGAGGTGAATGGAGAAAAAGGACATTTTATATAAATGGATATCCAAGAGCAGATGAGTATGACAAATCATGACATCCTAACAACAGATTATTTGATGTAGCTAGAGCATAAGGACTTGTGGGTGGGGGGGCAAAGCTGGAGATTAAAACAGAATGTACATCATAAACAACCTGTATACCAAGTTAAGGGGTAAATGCTTAATCCTGGAGAAGATGATGAGCCACTGAAAGGCTGTAGGCTATGTTAATGGTGTATTAGGGTAATCCAGATAGGAGACAGTTATAGCATGGTCTAGGACGGTAGGAGAAGAGTGGAAATAAATGAGCAGCCACGATGGGTAAAACAAGCAGCAAAATAGAGCTTGGGATGCAGGAGTGGGAGGCAGCAAGGATGACAATAGAGACCTCCACTTAGGCAGCCAGGTAGAGGATACAGCCATTTATCCAAGGTAGAAAGTGCAAAAGAAACAGAGCATTGAGGTTGGGGAAGAACAAATAATGTGTTTAGCTTTTGATGTGCTGAGGCCAAGGCACTGGGGCAAATCAGAAAATTCTGGCAGGCAGTTGAAAATATAGTCACCAGAATGCTCAGGCAATGCAGTGTATGAGCAAGAGACTCTGGAGAGAGTGTCCAGATTGAGAAAAGAGATGGTGTGAGAACAACACCTGGGGGACCCTGATACTTAAGGAATGGGCTAAAAAGGCAACTGAAAAGATAAGAAAGAGGAGTTGATGATAGTGTATATGGTAGAGGTAGTCATAGGACTAAAGATAGTAGCATCTCTTACTACAGATACCTTATCTGGCTTCAATCTTGAGAAGGGCTGGCCTCAGCTACATCTTTTTCCGTACTTCTCATTGGTCCCTCTAACTATTGCCCCTAATCTAGACTGTATGTCAGACCCCTCCCCTTATGAATTAATTAGAAAATTCCTAATAGATACATTATTCCCAGAGGTGTTATTGTATTACTAGCAACTTTGGTCCAGTTGTAAATTGATTGTACTTATTGAAGCATAGCAAAACAGTCCCCTGGCAACTTCACTCCATCCATCAAATGTCATTATGAGGTACCGGTGATGGAGGCCCACAGAGTCCCAGGGTCAGGCTCATTAGCCAGAGCATCCTTCAGTCTAATTCTCTATGAACTTCCCATAATAGCCTTCTCCACAGGGTCCCTAGGTCCTGGGCCCAGGTAAGGGAAATAGTATGTCCTGACAAAGATTAATCAATTGGAAATTCCTGCACTTCTCAGGAATCCAAAAGTGGAGGGAT
Source organism: Homo sapiens (assembly GCF_000001405.40). Taxonomy (NCBI): domain Eukaryota; kingdom Metazoa; phylum Chordata; class Mammalia; order Primates; family Hominidae; genus Homo; species Homo sapiens. Next base: position 137,708,586 of record NC_000003.12, read on the forward strand.
TTTTCTGCTCTAACAAACACATATATGTACACATGCAAAACAGCATGAGAAGTACATTTAAACAGGGAAAAGACTGGGTGTGGATTTGGACAAATGTTCCCTATGGATCCAGAATTCCTTTATCTCAGTAATTCCAACTTGCATGAATTTCCGAACTGAAAAAAAAGATATGTACTCCAAGGGAAAAATTAATTACTAACAGCAATCAAAGGTTAAGTGCTGATGCATGTTATCTTTCTTAAATTTCAGAAGACATATCCATAATTTACAACCAAAGAGAAAGGTTTAGGTTAATATTTGAATAATCCTGAATTGGAAGCAGGAGAATAAATTTGGAAGTAAGAACAGGGGTGTTGGAAAGAGGATGGAGAAGGAGAGACTGGAGATGGTGGTGCAGAGGAAGGAAGCAGAAGCCAGATGGAATTTTAATGGAACTTGTCGTTCTCATGAAGACTCAGGGTGCCTAAGGCCAGAAAAGATTTTGAAGCAAGATTTGATGACAGAGCTTAATATATGCCTATCACTTGCCATAATTACACTATGATTTAATCTACAGGTTCAATATCTCAGAAGTATCTTTACCCCTCCAAAGATCTGAAGCTGCATTTGGGGTATGCTGCCACTAGATGGCAATTAGTGCCTTGATCTCCAGCGGGGCAATGCCAAAGAATAAACAGCATGCATGTCCACATGTAATCCTTAAGAAAAAGAAAAAGGAAAAGAAAAAACAAAGCTCATCTATGATATATTCTGGTCAGAAACGTTTAATTTGAATCAAGTTTTTAAATGTAACTATATAGAATATACAAAAGATATGGGAACAAGCTAATGATTTCCAGGAAGAAATATCCAGATGAATCTAAATAGGACAATTTGCAGGACACTGATCTGGGTCTCTTCAAAATAATAATATCATGGGGAAGGGAACTGGTCTAGAGATTAAGACACTTGAGGAATATAACATCCAGATATAATGTATGGTCCTGGGTTATGTCCTGGGTTGGACAAAGCTACTTTAATTTGGGGGAGGGGGGATAATTAGGGAAATGTGAATATGTATGTTATTTAGAAGTATTATTTACTTGTTAAATAAAATAGTGTTATTTTGGCTATGTAGTAAAAAAACTTTAATGCATAATGCATTCATTAGAACTTTAATTTTGTTCTAATGAAACTAATGAAATAATGAAAGTGAGTCAATGTCCACCTGCTATGCCCAGAACACCCAGCCTCCTTTCCCGGCTCTGTGCTCACTCACAGGCTCTATTTTTTTTTTTTCTCCATGCTGTGGCTGATATAGTCTTCTGGTTTACAAAGATGAGCATTCACAGCTGAATGTTTCTGGATCCTCAGTTTGATCCAGCTTACTTACTCTCTTGGTTCTGACCCACTGTGCCCCTTAGCCACCATTCCCGGATTTCTGTGGCTTGGCTGTAACAATCTGCCCTTTTCCCCAGACTGATGAGCAGTGAGGCTGTCTCCTGCCAGCAGCTTGTCAGTACCTCCCCCTGCAAGAAGCCCTCTGTGTCCCAAGCTGCCTGCCTGCAGCTAGCTTGACCTGCCCTTCAGAAATCGTAGCATAAAACATAGTCATTGAGAGGGCAGGCACTGGAGCTAGACTGAAAAGGTCTGAATCTCACTGGTTAGGATCTTGGGCAAGTTATTCAATCTCTATGTGCCTTGGTCTTGTCATCTGCAAAATGGGGATGATGACTTTACCTGCCTCATAGGGATGCTGTGAAGATACATGATTCAAAAAATTTAACACTTTTAAGACAGCCCTTGACACGTCATGAGGTGCTCATTTGCCGCTAGTCATTATTAAATGTTAGCTATTCTTGTGTGAGATACTAATTATGTAACAGGTATAACCCATGTGACACCTTGGGGCTACAAATATGGTCTCATTCTGATTTAACTGGCCCCATATTTCTGTCACATTTTACATCATTGTGACGCCCCTTGTTGGATTCTAGCCTCATCAGTCTTGGGCCAGTTCCTAGAATATCCACCTCTTTTTGCTCCCAGGCTATCATAATAAATTCCTTTTACCTGGGATGCTTTTCACATGGCTGACTCTTTCTCATCTTAAATCTCACCTCCCCCTTCATCAGGCTACACACATCCTACCATGTAAAGTGGCCCCACCCTACCCACCTATCACATCTCTGTGTTCTTTTTTTAAAAATCATTATTTATTTATTTACCTTGCTTAGTTTCCACCTCTGCTCATAAAGATTAGCTTCACTTCATTCACTCTGTCACCCCAGGTGACAGAGGGCTTGGCATACGGAAGAACTCTGTGAATAGTTGTTGAATAAATGGACAAGTTAGAAAGGCCACCCAAGTCATTCTGAGCAAATGTTTAAAGAAAAGGTGATGATGTTCCCTAGTCAAAGAAGCAGTGGATATGGGTGTCTTTTAAATGGCGTTTTCTCTTCCTTGGAAAAAAAAAAAAAAAAGGTAACATTTTGCTCTATCAGCCACACCACTACAAGTTTGAAAACAATAATAATTATAGTAATAACTAGAATGGAAGCCAGAGATAACATAATTCAAAGGAGATATAAAGACAAAAATGACTAAAGAATAGAGAAGTAGCAGAATATGACATGGTAGGAAAAAAGAAAAACTAGCCAGGTAGATCTTAGAGACCAGGAGCTTACACCATATTGGGGAGTCTTTTTAAAGAGAACAAAATAAAATGGCAAATAGGCATACGAAAAGGTGCTCAACATCACTGATCATCAGAGAAATGGAAATCAAAACTGCATTGAGCTATCATCTCACCCAGTTAAAATAGCTTTTATCCAAAAGATAGGCAATAACAAATGCTTGCAAGGATATGGAGAAAAGAAAGCCCTCATGTACTGTTCACAGGAATGTAAATTAGTACAACTACTATGGAGAACAGTCTGGAGTTCCTCAAGAAACTAAAAATAGAACTACCATACAATCCAGCTATCTCACTGTTGGGTATATGCCCCCAAAAAAGGAAATCAATATATTGAAGAGATATCTGCACTCCCTCCTATGTTTGTTACAGCACTGTTCACAATAGTTAAGATTTGGAGGAAACCTAAGTGTCCATCAACAGATGTATTAACCCGTTTTCACATCAATGATGGAGACATACCCTAGACTGGCAATTCACAAAAGAAAGAAGTTTAATGGAGTTACAGTTCCACATGACTGGGGAGGCCTCAAAATCATGGCAGAAGGCAAGTAAGAGGACCACGTCTTACGTGAATGGCGGCAGGCAAAGACGGAGAGCTTATGCAGGGGAACTCCCCCTTTTTAAAACCATCAGATTTTATGAGACTTATTCACTAGTGTGAGCACAAGAAAGACCAACCCCCATGATTCAATTACCTCCCACAGGGTTCCTCCCATGACACGCGGGAATTGTCGGAGTTACAATTCAAGATGAGATTTGGATGGGAACACAGCCAAACCATATCAACAGATGAATGGATAAAAAAAAAGTGTTGTAAATATACACAATGGAGTACTATTCAGCCATAAAAAAAGAATGAGATCCTGTCATTTGCAATGAAATGGATGGAACTGGAGATCATTGATGTTAAGTGAAATAAGCCGGGCACAGAAATTCAAACATCACATGTTCTCACTTATTTGTGGGATCTAAAAATCAAAACAATTGAATTCGTGGACATAGAGATTAGAAGGATGATTACCAGAGGCTGGGAGGGGTAGCTGGGAGTTTGGGAGGTAGGGAGTGGGGACGGTTAATGGGTACAAACAACAGAAAGAATAAGACCTACTCTTTGATAGCACAACAGGGTAACTATAGTCAATAATAACTAAATTGTACATTTTTAAATAACTCAAAGAATGTAATTGGATTGTTTGTAACACAAAGGATAAATGCCTGAAGGGATGGATAACCCATTCTCCATGATGTGATTACTATGGATCCTACTGAGAAATTTTCATGGCCAAAGACAGCTGGAAACATGACTTTTTTCAGTCTCCATTCCTAACTCTTTCCACACTAGTCAATTTTATTTAGACAGTGGACTATTTTATTTTATCACATTGTCTATTTTATATCCAAGTAATTAGAATGTAGAATGCTCTTCAAATGGCAAGTGGACAAAAAGAAACATCACAATGTAATTGTCCCTAGCATTGAGTTATGAAATAACGAAGCCCTGAATCATGTAGTATACTTGAATTCAGGTCTCCAAATCCTGCATTACAGACAGGCAGGCTGCATCTCAGGACCATTTTCAATATTGAAAATGGGGGCCAGAAGAATGAAGACAAACAAATACTATGCCAATTTTTTGAAAAGTAGAAAGGCATATTCACAGGGACATGGATGAAGCTGGAAGCCATCATTCTCAGCAAACACATGAACAGAAAACCAAACACCGCATGTTCTCACTCATAAGTGGGAGCTGAGCAATGAGAACACATGGACACAAGGAGGGAAACATCACACACCGGGGACTGTTGGGTGGTGGGGGCAAGGGGAGGGAGAGCATTAGGACAAATACCTAATGCATGCAGTGCTTAAAACCTAGATGACGGGTTGATAGGTACAGAAAACCACCATGGCACATGTATACCTATGTAACAAACCTGCACATTCTGCACACTTTTCTCAGAACTTAAAGTAACATTTTTTTTAAAAAGGCACATTTAAGTATCTACAGACCAATAAACTTGTCATGATATACAGATGGAGTCTAGGGAAGTGACACTAGCCCTGTAAAGTGTACATTTCAGTGCATCTCTTTTGTTCTACAATTGCAGTCTTGGTGTTGTATAAATCCAGACATGTTTGTGTAACTTCACATAGGTATCAGGAAGCTTCTACCAGTTACTACGCACAGAGGACACAACAATGAATGAAAATCCACAGCCCTTCTAGATTGGAAGCCAAGTATCCCAGACTAGAAGAATTTTTATGAGGAAGATTTGAAAATAGCAACCATAAAGTTGACCTTAAAAAAAAAATCCATCAAGCAGAACAAAAGAGTTTACAAACAAAAGGGCACAGAGCTCTATCCCTGGAGTCACCAAGATCAAGGAAAATGCTAGAGACTCCTCCATATCTACCTTTTGATAGTGTCTGGAATTCGTGGGTTCTTGGTCTCACCTGACTTCAAGAATGAAGCCGCGGATCCTAGCGGTGAGTGTTAGAGTTCTTAAAGGCGGCGTGTCCGGAGTTTGTTCCTTCTGATGTTCAGATGTGTTTGGAGTTTCTTCCTTCTGGTAGGTTCGTGGTCTCACTGGCTCAGGAGTGAAGCTGCAGACCTTCGCGGTGAGTGTTACAGCTTTTAAGGCGGGGCGTCTGGAGTTGTTCGTTCCTTCCCGTGGTCTCTCTGGCTTCAGGAGTGAAGCTACAGACCTTCACAGAGAGTGTTACAGCTCATAAAGGCAGCGTGGACCCAAAAAGTGAGCAGCAGCAAGATTTATCGCAAAGAGCCAAAGAACAAAGCCTTCACAATGCAGAAGGGCACCCCAACCGGTTGCTACTGCTAGCTCAGGCAGCCCGATTTTGTTCTTAGCTGGCCCCACCCACATCCTGCTGATTGGTCCATTTTACAGAGAGCCGATTGGTCTGTTTTACAGAGAGCTGATTGGCCCACTTTGACAGGGTGCTGATTGGTGCATTTCCAATCCCTGAGCTAGACACAAAAGTTCTCCACCTCCCCACTAGATTAGCTAGATACAGAGTGCTGATTGGTGCATTCACAAACCCTTAGCTAGACACAGAGTGCCGATTGGTGCATTTACAAACCCTTAGCTAGACATAAAGATTCCCCAATTCCCAGTAGACTTAGGAGCCCAGCTGGCTTCACCTGGTGGATCTCCCATCAGGGCGGCAGGTGGAGCTGCCTGCCAGTCTGGCGCTGTCCGCCCGCACTCCTTAGCCCTTGGGCGGTTGATGGGACTGGGTGCCATGAAGCAAGGGGCAGCGCTAGTCCGGGACCGGGTGCCATGGAGCAGGGGGCAGCACTAGTCCGGGAGGCTCAGGCCGTGCAGGAGCCCACGGCAGGGGGTGGGGGAGACTCAGGCATGGCGGGCTGCAGGTCCCGAGCCCTGCCCCGTGGGGAGGCAGCTAAGGCCCAGCGAGAAATCAAGCGCAGCTCCGGTGGGCCGGCACTGATGGGGGACCCGGTGCACCCTCCGCAGCTGCTAGCCCGGGTGCTAAACCCCTCACTGCCCGCTCCTAGTGCGGGGCCGCCAAGCCCACGTCCACCCGGAACTCTAGCTGGCCCACAAGCGCCGTGTGCAGCCCCGGTTCTCGTCCACGCCTCTCCTTCCACACCTCCCTGCAAGCTGAGGGAGCCAGCTCTGGCCTCGGCCATCCCAGGAAGGGACTGCCCCAGTGCAGTGGCGGGCTGAAGGGCTCCTCAAGCGCCGCCAGAGTGGGCGCCCAGGCAGAGGAGGCGCTGAGATGAGAGCCAGCGAGGGCTGCCAGCATGCTGTCACCTCTCAATATCAGTAAGCATTTGACACAGCTGCCCATGGTACTATTTTGGATAAAATGATGGCTGTGAACTCAATGATATTACTGTCAGGTGCATTCAAATCATTCATCAACTAGAGTAGAAGCTTGATGCTATTAGGCTCGGTAGTTCACACATTAACTGAAGAACAAATTGATTAAAGTGAAGCATCATTTAAAAATGATACATATATGCTTTAAAATTTTTATTTGATGCTAAATCATATAACAGTGCAATCATTTGGCAATTTTTTATTGAGGCCAAAGTCTATGTTTTAGTCTCTTTCTTTCAAAAAGCACACCTCTGAAAAATAGTTTATGATCTCAAAGGATTTTTTTTAAGCAAAGCAAAAATTTAAAACAGTTTGCAATTTGAGTGCAAACTCTTTCTAGGGTTTGTTTGTTTTTTAAATAATTTTCACCAATTTTCTACAGTGCTCTACCCATATCTAAATGGGCAGGGTTTTTGTTTTGTTTTAGCTACTCAGCCTTATCAATTTTTTAAGGTAGGTGGCTCAGTTTTCATATAAACAACTTCTTTTCACACTAACATTTCATTGGTTCACATGATATTTAATTTACATAATTACAGTAGCAAGTGCAACTGGCATAAACAGGCTTGGGGCAAATAACGCTGACTGTTTGAAAGCATGGACCTCAACTGCTGAAAACAGCAGGAGCCCCCAGACATAGTAGAGCAGGTTGCCCCGCACCCCACCAACCCTGCAGAATGGGTTTACTCCTCAGCAGGTTTACAGAAGAAATGGGGAGGATTGGTTATCAAGAAGTCAGTTAAATGGAAACTGGTAACATCCCCAAAATAAGAATTTTGAACCTGTAGCAAAATTATGGGGATTCTCTGGTACAGAACCAAGTAGTTTTCTCAAGTTCAGCATTTTATTCAGTGTCATGAAGATATAGAAGACACATGAATCAAATTTTCAGAGGGCACAGAGCTGTGAGGAATACTAACACGGCAAGGATCATCTCAAAATCAAAACACTCTCAACTTCTGTGAATTCCTCGATGTCCTTCCACAGGGAATTTGATGCGTAAAATGATGGCAGCTCTATTAAATGCTAGGCAATTGCATAAAGACTGTTAGATGCCCATATGTGGATTCAGCAAGCTCTCTGGAATAGCTCAGATCTCCAAATGCCTGGATCAGTGCCTGGCATAGAGACAAGGCTCAAGAAATATGTTTGAATAGATAAGCATGCTATAGAAAAAAATAGGTGCTAAACAGTGTGCATGATGTGTTTATATTTGTGTTAAAACAAAGAGGGTATTTATAGAATCTTTGCTACTTTGTGCAGAGATAATTTGTGCTCAGATTATGACTGGAAGGAAGGTCAAAAAAATTGATCAGTGGCTGTCTGCTGAGAGAGGGAACTTGGGCATCTGGAGTATAAGTTATAAGGGAAACTTACTTTTTGTTCCTATGTATTTTCATACTACTCAGATTTTCACTGTGTATATTTTATTTTATTTTAACTTTTATTTTAAACGTAGGGGTACATGGACAGGATGTGCAGGTTTGTTACATAGTAAACGTGTGTCATGGGGTTTCTTGTATAGATGATTTCATCACCCAGGTATTAAGCCTAGTATCCATTAGTTGTTTTTCCTGATGTTCTCCCTCCTCCCACTCTCCACCCTCCAGTGAGCCACAGTGTGTGTTGTTCCCCTCCACATGTCCATGTGTTCTCATCATTTAGCTCCCACTTGTAAGTGAGAATATGCATTATTTGGTTTTCTGTCCCTGTGTTAGTTTGCTAAGGATAAAGGCCTCCAGCTCCATCTATTTCCCTGCAAAGGACATGACCTCATTCCTTTTTATGGCTGCATAGTATTCCATGGTGTATATGTACCACTTTTATTTAATCAGTCTATTATTGAAAGGAATTTGGTTTGATTCCATATCTTTGCTATTGTGAACAGTGTGGCAATGAACATACGCATGCATGTGTCTTTTTGTTCGTTTGTTTTCAGATGGAGTCTCACTCTGTTGCCCAGGCTGGAGTGCCATGGCATGATCTCGGCTCACTGCAACCTCCACCTCCTGGATTCAATGATTCTGCTGTCTCAGCCTCCTAAGTAGCTGGGACTACAGCCATGCACCACCACACCCAGCTAATTTTTGTATTTGTAGTAGAGATGGGGTTTTGCCATGTTGGCCAGGCTGGTTTGGAACTCCTGACCTCAACTGATCCACCCACCTTGGCCTCCCAAAGTGCTGGGATTACAAGCGTGAGCCACCATTCCCGGCCCGCATGTGTGTCTATAGTAGAATGATTTATATTCCTTTAGGTATATACCCAGTAATGGGATTGCTGGGTTGAATGGTATTTCTGACTTTAGGTTTTTGAGGAATTGCCACACTGTCTTCCGCAGTGGTTGAACTGATTTGCAGTCCCACCAACACTATAAACATTCCTTTTTCTCCACAACCTCATCAGCATCTGTTATCTTTTGGCTTTTTAATAGTAGCCATTCTGACTTGTGTGAGATGGTATCTCATTGTGGTTTTGATTTGCATTTCTGTAATAATCAGTGATGTTGAGTTTTTTTGTATGATTGTTGGTGGCATGTATGTCTTCTTCTGAGAAGTGTCTATTCATGTCTTTTGCCTATTTTTAATGAGGTTGTTTGCTTTTCTCTTGTAAATTTGTTTAAGTTCCTTATAGATCCTGGATATTAGACCTTTGTCAGATGCATAGTTTGCAAAAATTTTTCTCCCATTCTGTAGGTTGTTTAATCCATTGATAGTTTCTTTTGCTGTGCAGAAGCTCTTTAGTTTAATTAGATCCCACTTGTCAATAATGTTTGCTTTTGTTGCAATTGCTTTTGGCATCTTCATCATGAAATCTTTGCCCATGTCTATGTCCTGAACGGTATTATAGGGTTTTTATAGTTTGGGGTTTTACATTTAAATCCTTAATCTATCTTGAGTTAATTTTGGTATATGGTGTAAGGAAGGGATCAGTTTCAATTTTCTGCATGTGGCTAGCCAGTTGTCCCAGCACCATTTTGAATAGGGAATCCTTTCCCCGTTGCTTGTTTTTGTCAGGTTTGTCAAAGATCAGATAATTGTAGGTGTGTGGTCTTATTTTTGGGTTCTCTGTTCTGTTCCTTTGGTCTCTGTGTCTGTTTTTGTACCAGCACTATGCTGTTTTGGTTACTGTAGTCCTGTAGTATAGTTTGAAGTTGGGTAGTGTGATTCCTCCAGCTTTGTTCCTTTTGCTTAGGATTATGTTGGCTATTTGGGCTCTTTTTTCTAGTTCTATGAAGAATGTCAGTGGTAGTTTATTGGGAATAGCATTGAATCTATAAATTGCTTTGGGCAGTATGGTCATTTTAATACTGATTCTTCCTATCCATAAACATGGAGTGTTTTTCTATTTGTTTGTGTCATCTCTGATTTCTTTGAGCAGTGATTTGTAGTTCTCCTTGTAGAGATCTTTCACTTCCCTTGTTAGCTGTATTCCTAAGTATTTTACTCTTTTTGTGGCAATTGTGAATGAGAGTTAGTTCATGATTTGGCTCTGGGCTTGACTGTTGTTGGTGTATAGGAATGATGGCAATTCTTGCACATTGATGTTGTATCCTGAGACTTTGCTGAAGTTGCTTATCAGCTTAAGAAGCTTTGGGGCTGAAATGATGGGGTTTTCTAGATATAGGATCATGTTGTCTGCAAACAGGAATAGTTTGACTTCCCCTCTTCCTGTTTGAATGCTCTTTATTTATTTCTCTTGCCTGAGTGCTCTGGCCAGAACTTCCAATACTATGTTGAATAAGAGTGGTGAGGGAGAGCATCCTTGTCTTGTGCCAGTTTCCAAGGGGAATGCTACCAGCTTTTGCCGATTCAGTATGATGTTCACAACCATATAATTACAAGGAAATTGAATAACCTGCTCCTGAATGACATTTAGGTAAATAATGAAATTAAGGCAAAAATCAAGAAGTTATTTGAAACTAATGAGAACAATGATACAATGTACCAGAATCTCTGGGACACAGCTAAGGCTGTGTTAAGAGGAAAATTTATAGCACTAAATGCCCACATCAAAAAGCTAGGAAGATCTCAAGTTACCAACCTAATGACACAACTAAAGGAGAATCAAGAGCAAACAAATCCCAGAGCTAGCAGAAGACAAGAAATAACCAAAATCAGAATTGAACTGAAGGAGATTGAGACACAAAAAAACCATTCAAAAGATCAATGAATCCAGCAGCTGGTTTTTTTGAAAAAAATTAATAAAATAGATAGAATGCTAGCTTGACTAATAAAGAACAAAGATTCAAATAAACACAATCAGAAACAATATGAGGGATATTATACCAGACCCCACAGAAATACAAACAACCATCAGAGAATATTATAAACACCTCTGTGTACAAAAACTAGAAAATCTAGAAGAAATGGATAAATTTCTGGTTGCATACACCCTCCCAAGACTGAACCAGGAAGAAACTGAATCCCTGAACAGACCAATAACAAGTTCTGAAATTAAGGCAGTAATAAATAGCGTACCAACAACAACAAAAAAAAGCTCAGGACCAGCTGAATTCAGCCAGATGTACAAAGAAGGGCTGGTACCATTCCTACTGAAACTATTCCAAAAAAAATGAAAATGAGAGGCTCCTTCCTAATTCATTCTATGAGGCCAGCATCATCCTGATACCTAAACCTGGAGACATATAACATAATAGGAAAAATTCAGGCCAATATCCATGACAAACATTGATGCAAAAATCCTCAACAAAATACTGGCAAACTGAATCCAGCAGCACATCAGAAAGATTATCCACAAAGATCAAATATGCTTCATCCCAGGGATGCAAGGTTTCTTTAACATACACAAATCAGTAAATGTGATTCATCACATAAATAGAACAAAAGACAAAACCACATGATTAGCTCAACAGATGCAGAAAAGCTTTTTGATAAAATTCAACATCCTTCATGTTAAAAGCTTTCAATAAACTAGGTATTGAAGGAACATACCTCAAAATAATAAGAGCCATATATCACTGTGCATATTTTAAATCAGTCTACTAAATAAGTATCTGAAATGTTACAAGTATCTTAAATGTTAAACTGAAACCGTGAAATTTAAATTTGGTGGGGACAAAGTGTATTATCCTGCATTTTGCTTCAAAAACTAATTTCCTAACCTCAGATGAGGATGGCAAAATCCTGCACATGCAGCCTCTGTGAAGGGTCTCAAATTCAGTCTCTCAGTCCTTCCTGATGACCCATTAATTTAGGACCTCAGTGTCTACTGTCTGAGCCACCTCAGAGAACTGACTGAGCTCATGGCCTGCCTCCTCACTGACTCAGCCCCATTCAGCACACGACAACACTCCCAAAGTGTTAACTCTGATGTTGTCACTCTCCTAGTCAAAAACCAGCTCTCATTTCCTATCATCCTTTTCTATTTTGCTTTTTAAAATTTCAAATCATAATGTACTTACTTAAAAAAGATTTTTCTACTAGGCTTATAATGGAAAAACCAGAAGCCCCTGACCTCCCCCTGCACACACCAAGGTGTTACCACCCAAGATACTATCTATTGATTTGTTACTATGGAAAAATAAGTTTGAACCCACTCACAAAATGCCCCTACCTGAAACACAATCTACTCATCCCTTCCTAATCTTTCTATATGGTAATATAAAGTAAATAATGGCTGAATTTACTTATTGTGCTGATATTAATGTTATGCATAGCTAAGAAATATATTTTTCTTTTTATGCAATTATCTTTTTTCTCTTTTGCTTCATCTCAGTGGACTCAGAGAAACCCATAACTCCAGCAGTACCTCTCCCTTCCATCTTTCCAGAAGCCCTCTGGTTTTCGTTTGTTTGCTTGTTTTTTATCTAGTCTGAGCTGTTTTGCTCCCTATGCCTGCTATGCAGACATTATCATGGGACAGTCATCCTGAAAATTCCTTTTACTTCTCTCCTAGGTTAGATTCTGTCATTCCTGAATCTCATATCTTCAGATTTCTTGATCATGTCTCCCGTTTTGGAAGGGCCCATCCTCCAGTAGCTTCCTTGAAATAGTATATGAAATGTAAATCAAGACCTAATGCTGGAAAATGTCTTTATTTTATCCTCACATCTTTTTGAAAATTTGTCTGGGAATAGGAATTTATATTGGAAAACATTTTGCCCCACTGTCTTTTAGCTTATATTGTTGCAGTCAAGGTGTCTGAATCCATTCTGATTTGTATTTTCTCTACATGACCCATTTCTCCTCTCAGAAATTTTTAAGATATTATCTTTGTCTCCAAGGTTTAGAAATTTTATGATAATACAACTTTATATAAGCCTTGTATTATTTTTCCTTACACTAAAGTAGGCTCTCAAAGGACTCTTCCAACCTGGAAATTTATGTCCTGTGGTCATAGGAAATTTTTTGGAATTATTTCTTTGGTCATTTCCTCACCTCTGATGCTTCTGTTCTCTTTCTAAAGATGCTAGTCTTAGGATTTTGAATTTCTTGTCCTTATCTTCTAATGTTCTTATTTCTCTTATTTTCTTCTCTATATTTGATCCATTTGCCAATGTGTGCTACTATTTTATCTTCCAAACCCTATTAAATTTTCCATTTCTGCTTTCACAGTTTTGATTTCCAAGAACTCTTTTTTTCTCTCTGAATGTTCCCTTTTTTATTAGCTTTCTGTTCTTGTTTCATGAATACAGTACTCCCTGAGGATATTTAACCATATGGTTTTATTGTTATTGCTCAGTTTCTTTTGGCTCACTCTGCATTGTTTCTGTGTGCAACGCTTCCTTTTTTTCTATTTCTTTATTTTGGTCTTTATACTGCATTTGATGGGTTTTTATCAAATGTCTATTGATCTTTGGCTGTCTTCTCATATTCAAGAGTAAGGCACTAAAAAGCTGATAAAAAGCCCTGTGTGCATGGGCCGTGCTTGTCCAAGAGCAGAACTCCCAGTTGTCCATTTCTGTGGGTCCTTTCTCTTAGGCAGGTTGTTCCCCTTGAATCTTTGGTTGGGGGCAGAAAATCCTGGCTTCCAGTGTTCTTGAAGTTGGTGTCAGAGGCCTGGGGCCTTAGTGACCAATACACTTCTTCTCCTCATCTCTACCATATACTTGAAGTATATGATATCCAGAACCTTGAAAGTTTTCATTTTCTACCATGTGGAGCCAAGAAAGGATTTGGGCTCCTTAATGAATGAAAACTATTTTTAACTCCGGTTGCACCCACCTTCACCATTAGGTATCCTTAGTTCCTGAAGATGTTCAAGGTTCTGTAGAAGGAAAAGGGTCATTTCTCTATTTACCTCCTTCCACAATCACCTTTTGTCAGCCTTCACTTTTCAGCTTTCTCTGCACCACTGAATCAGTTACCACTTGTGTATCTGCATTCCAGCTTCCAATATTTGGCTAACAGCTATCTGTATTGTCTTTGTCTTTATGCCCCATTTTACCCCTTAACTGTTATTTTAGTGAATTTTGGGGACACAGCATAACCAGAAGCCCCTCTGCTTTTGGATTATGCACACTCTATTCTGGTCTCCTCAGTACTTCTCCAAAATGTCTGCAACTGGCTTTCCAGAACCATCACCCACTGCTGCCCCCTGCATCCCTAGCTTCTGCCTTTGTCCTTTAGGCTCCCTAAACCCACCTGCCCCTTTTTTCAAGGCACATCTTCACTGCTACCTCCTCAGGAAACCTTTCCTGATCTCCAAAACAGAAATGGGTTTTCCATTGCTCCAACACCTTCAATATATCTTAAGTGTTCCATAATAGGGTAGAACTCAAGGAGTCAAAGATGTCTTCTTGAGTGCACATTTCTAATCACAAAAAGGTTATAATTCTCATATTTTTGCTAGAGACTCAAACATACATGCACACACACAGCAGGGAATTAAGGGGGAAATATTATAGAAAAATATATTTTTGTAGGACCAAAGTTTTAAATAAACTATTCACTTAGCCTATAGGTTTCAAAGGTTTGCCAAAGGACTTCTGAGCAATAATTAATTGCTTAACCATTGTTTAGAGTTTTTCAACTGCTCTTTATCCTAGGAGTCTCTTCTCTACAGGCTGGGTAAAATGAAGCTGAGTTTGGGTTCCCACTGCTAGCCTCTAAATTCCACATTTCCAGGCTTACTCATTACCCTAGCCACATAACACATGGTCCTGAGACATAGGAGCACTGAGATGCAAGGAGCTGATAGAAGGCAACTTAAGAGGTTCTGTGTTTGAACATAAGTGTTTTGCTGTGTTAAGTCACTGCACAGAAGGTTCTGCTCCCAACTGTATCCTGGTGGAACACTGACCAGGCCAAAACTGTAGACAAGCTGAAAAGCTGATGACTTATCTGCAAGCCTAGAGTCAACTACTTGTAGCTATTCAAAAACAGGTGACTGTGCAGCCTAACTTTACAGCAGAGGGACAAGGCAAATGGGAAACTCAATTCCCAGGCCACTCATGTAAGTCATTTAGAATACAAAGGCTTATTAATCATATTAATTCTTGAACATTGAAGCAAAACTAAGAGTTAGGTTTTTAGTGGTGGTTAATTCTGTAAACCTGCTTTGTTAGACATGGCTAAATATGTGTAAACTAGCCCTGGTATGATTCTGTCCCACACAGCTCTTCTCTGAAGCAGTAGTCGTTTGTCTCCATCTGCCTTCTTTCCCACCTAAGTGTGTGTCACCATCCCATGGAAGATAAAATGGACATAGACGTGAGTCCCCTGGGTCCCCAGAACTATCTTTCAGTTGTGAACTGAAGGCCGACAAAGATGATCACATTAAGGTTGATAATGATGAAAATTAGCACCAATTGTCTTTAAGAACAGTCAGTTTTGTTTTTTGTCCTTTATACCTAATGTAAATGACAAGTTAATGGGTGCAGCACACCAACATGGCACATGTATACGTATGTAACAAACCTGCACATTGTACACATGTACCCTAGAACTTAAAGTATAATAAAATATATGTATATACATATATATATTTTTAAAGTCAGTTTAGGGACTGGTACAAAGAATGAATTGCACATTGTTGAAGCAGAGGCAATGAATTATGAAGGCAGTCCATTTAAGTTAACACTAGCAACTTTGAAAACGTCCGTACAGCCACAGTTTCCCCTGAGAGCTTTGAAATACCACCACCCATACTCTTACAGTTGAAGTGTGGTTCAGGAACATGATATTAGTGGGCAGCACTTAGTTGCTGGGGAGAAAGAAGCAGAGTCAGAAGATGAAGAGGAGGAGGACATGAAACTCTTAGGTACCCCTGAAGGGGGTAGCAAGTTTACACAGAAAAAAGTAAAACTTGCTGCTGATGAAGATGATGATATGATGATGCAGATGATGATGATGATGATGATGATGATGATGATTTTGATGATGAGGAAACTGAAGAAAAAGCTCCAGTGAAGAAATGTATATGAGATATTCCAACCAAAAATGCATAAAAATAAAACCATCTCTCTGAAATGACAATGGCTACCATTTATTATATACCTTCTATGTGCCAATCCCTACATCAGCCCCTTTATTAACATTATCTCACCTGATCTCAAAAAACTCTTGAAATAAAAGACTTTTTGTCACCCAAGAATGATTTAATTTTTTTCTTTTTAGTTTTATTGCAGCATAATTTATATGCCATAACATTCACTCCTTTTAAGTGTGCATTCCAATGACTTTTAGTAAATTAGAGTTGTGCAACCACTACTACAATCTAATTTTAGAACATTTCCATCACCCCAATAAAAGATCCTTCTGTCTATTTGCAGTCACCCCTGTCCCCAACCCCAGCTCCAGGCAACCACCCATCTATTTTCTATCTCTATAGATTTTTCTTTTCTGGACATATCGTATAAATTGAATCATATAATATATGGTCTTTTGTTCCCACCTTCTTTGCTTAGCATAATGTCTCTGAAGTTTATCCACATTGGGGAATGATTCACAGCTCCATTTCTTATTATTCTGAATATGCTTCTATTCTACTGATATACCATATTTTGTTTATCTGTTCTCTAAATGATGGACATTTGAGTTGTTTCCAGTTTGTGGCTATCATGAATAATGTTGCATATATATCTTTATGTGGACATATAATAGGTTGAATTATTGCTCCCACTTCTGCGTTCTCCTATATTTCACACCCTTTGCATGTGATCTTGCAATGCCTCCTGCTGTGGGTAGAGCATACCCCCTACCATATTAAGGTTGGTCTTGGCCATATGAATTCTTTTGACCAATGGATTAGCAGCAGAAATTATGATAGGACAGTGCCAAGATGAGGTCTTAAGTGGCATGGTAAGTTTCCACTCATCCCTCTTGAACTTCTGCCATCTGCCAAGAGAAGACTATTCCCCAAGTAGCTGCTGGTTCCTAAATGAGAAAGGAGAAAAGACCTGAACCAAATCTACAGCTCCTGAAGCTAATCCCAGCCAATCCCAGTTGAGCCCAGCATTGACGCCAATTACAGACCTGTAAGTGAGAAAATTATAGGCTAATTGTTGTAAGCCACTGACTTTTGGGAATAGTTTGTTGTGCAGCATGATTGCAGCAATAGCTGCCCAATACATCTAACTTTCTCCCAGTCCTCCGTTCAAATTACTTAAAGTTACCTATCCCTATACCATGTACTCTATATATGACATTTGATAGGACTTCACACAAACTTTATGTATTATTCATGCTGCTGATAAAGACACACCCCAGACTGGGAAGAAAAAAATGTTTAATTGGACTTACAGTTCCACGTGGCTGGGGAGGCCTCAGAATCATGGCGGGAGGCAAAAGGTACTTCTTACATGGTAGCGGTAATAGAAAAATGAGGTAGAAGCAAAAGTGGAAACCCCTGATAAACCCGGCAGATCTACTGAGACTTATTCACTGTCATGAGAATAGCAAGGGAAAGACCGGCCCCCATGATTCAATGATCTCCCCCAGGTCCCTCCTACAACACATGAGAATTCTAGGAGATACAATTCAAGTTGAGATTTGGGTGGGAACACAGCCAAACCATATCATTCCACCCCTGGCCCCTCCAAATCTCATGTCCTCACATTTCAAAACCAATCATGCCTTCTCAATAGTCCCTTCTACCTATGAGCCTGTAAAATCAAAAGCAAGCTAGTTATTTCTCAGATAAAATGGAGGTACAGGTATTGGATAAGTACAGCCATTCCAAATGGGAGAAATTGCACATGGTCTTGTGCAGCTCTGCCCCTGTGGCTTTGCAGGGTAAAGCCTCCCTCCCACCTGCTTTTACGGGCTGGCTTTGAGTGTCTGCAGTTTTTCCAGGTGAATGCTGCAAGCTGTCAGTTGATCTACCATTCTGGGGTCTTGAGGACAGTGGCCCTCTTCTCACAGCTCCACTAGGCAGTGCCCTAGTAGGAACTCTGTGTAGGGGCTCCAACCCCACATTTCCCTTCTGCACTGCCCTAGCAGAGGTTCTCCAGGAGCACGTCACTCCTGCAGCAAACTTCTGCCTGGGCATCCAGCCATTTCCATACATCTTCTGAAATCTAGCAGGAGGTTGCCAAACCCCAGTTCTTGACTTCTGTGCACTCATAGGCTCAACATCACATGGAAGCTGCCAAGACTTGAGGCTTCATCCTCTGAAGCCACAGCCTGAGCTCTGCGTTGACACCTTTCAGCCATGACTGGAGCAGCTGAGCTGCAAGGCCCCAAGTTCCTAGGCTGCACACAGCACAGGGACCCTGGGCCTGGCTCATGAAACCACTTTTTCCTCCTAGGCCTGGGCCTGTGATGGGAGGGACTGCCGTGAGGGTCTCTAACATGGCCTGGAGACGTTTTCCCGTGGTCCTGAGGATTGACATTAGGCTCCTTGCTACTTATGCAAATTTTTGCAGCCGGCTTGAATTTCTCCCCAGAAAATGGATTTTTCTTTTCTATCGCATAGTCAGGCTGCAAATTTTCCAAACGTTTATGCTCTGCTTCCCTTATAAAACTGAATGTATTTAACAGTACCCAAGTCACATCTTGAATGCTTTCCCACTTAGAAATTTCTTCTGCCAGATACCCTAAATCATCTCTCTCCAGTTCAAAGTTCTGCAAATCTCTACGGCAGAGACAAAAAGCCACCAGTCTCTTTGCTAAAACATTACAAGAGTTGCCTTTACTGGGGTTCCCAACAAGTTCCTCATCTCCATCTGAGACCACCTCAGCCTGGATTTAATGTCTGTATCGCTATCAGAGTTTTGGGCAAAGCCATTCAACAAGTCTCTAGGAAGTTCCAAACCTTCCCACATTTTCCTATCTTCTTCTGAGCCCTCCAAACTGTTCTAGTCTCTGCCTGTTACCCAGTTCCAAAGTCACTTCCACATTTTCAGGTGTCTTTTCAGCAATGCCCTATTCCCAGTACAAATTTACTGTATTAATCTGTTTTCATGATGCTGATAAAGACATATCTGAGACTGGGAAGAAAAAGAAGTTTAATTGGACTTACAATTTCACATGGCTGATGAGGCATCAGAATCATGGTGCGAGGCAAAACGCACTTCTTACATGGCAGCAGCAAGAGAAAAATGAGGAAGAAGCAAAAGCAGAAACCCCTGATAAACCCATCAGATCTTGTGAGACTAATCCACTGTCATGAGAATAGTATGGGAAATACCAGTTCCCATGATTCAATTACTTTCCCCTGGGTCCCTCCCACAACATGTGGGAATTCTGGGAGATACAATTCAAATTCAGATTTGGGTGGGGACACAGCCAAACCATATCACTTTATTAAACTATCCTTTACTTTCATCCACATAGTTATTTCCATGACAAACATGAAGATCCAAGGGACTCTCTTCTACACCAGGATCTATTTTGTTTATTATACTGCGGTCATTCAGTGTAATTCCTGGTACATGGTAAGTACTCAGAGAAGTTTCTTTAATTGTTTTTGGCATATACAGCTTTTCCTGTCACCAAGAAAATTATCTCCAATAAACACAGCATTTTCAGTATCTTATGAACAAAATTAATTCTCAATTTTATTTTCTCCTCTGTGTCTTCTATTATTCGTAGTCTACTTTCCTTTATAATTTTAATAAACTTTTTATACCCATTCTGTCTTCACAACAACCCAGTTTCATTCCCAATTTATAGATCATGATGAGAGAGTAAGTTACCTGCCTCAACACAGCTACTAAGGAGTAGGACTAAGGTTCACACCTTGGTCTCACCATAGGCTCAGGAGTCTGCCCATACACCAGATGCCCGTGGTCATTTCTCACCTAAATATTCATTTGGCATATGTTTTGGTTTTTCTGCTCTCAAGGCAGTTCATCTGTCAGTGGGATCATAAACTTCTGCTCTTCCTGTTTCCCTTTTGATTAATTGATTTTTTCTTATATTGTTGGGTAGCTAACTTTCTGAATCTTTTGCTACTTGCCAATCAGAGATCAAATGTTGACTGGTTTCCTCTTCCCCAGACAGACCCTTGCTTTAAACACATGGTCCTTTTACTATACAAAATTTGATGCTAGTTCTGTTTTTTTTATTTCCAGATGATTTTAATGTGAAATATATTGTATAACTTCTCTACTTGACCAAATTATTGCATTCCCTGGAGCCTCTACAAATCCTTTTTAATAGCCTCATCTATTCATCTATCAATTTCTATTTTATTGGTATGGCTCTCTAGCTCTCCTTTGATATTTCCTTGTGTATAAAATTCTTCAGGGTTTTTTTAGGTGTTCAGCATCTTTCCTTTCCTTTGCCTATTCCCTGACACTTCCTCTTCAAAGACTAACACTCATAATATTTTGTGTTTCTGTATAGGAATTATTTCAACAACAACAACAAATCTTCCCCTATGTATATGCTATCTTTTGGTTGTTTGTTTGAGAATTCAAGGGTTTCACAACTGTCGAAATAAGTTTGAATTTACAAAAACTGGGTCATGTTTTCCTTCCACTTATAGCTTTCTTTGGAATGAATTAAAAATTATATATTAAATGTTCACAGTTTAAAAAGCAAGGAAGATGGTGAAAGATGATAAGAAGCATATTCTGAACCCTGCAAAAGCTGTATTAACACTGTAAAAAAATAGAAAAGGTACTTTGTTAATTTGATTTTTTAAGGCAGCCATCATTATTAATTTTTACTCACCTATCTTCAGCTTTTATACACCTACACATTCAACCTATATTTATTGATATCCTGCTAGTTAACAATTAGCAGAAAACCTAGCCTATAAATTGGCATTCAAAAAATATCCAGTGAACTGGACTGAATTGTTTGTTTAAGCAATGAAGATGCAAATATAATGAGGGTAGCATGGTGTCTTGAGCTTGCAATCTGGAATGGAGGATAAGAAGGGGCTTAATATTTATTGGAGTACTGGAAATTTTTAACTTAACCTCCCATTTACTCTTAATACCTCATACTTTAAAAATAAAAGTGGAAAAGTAAAATTACCTTCAGAATGCATTGGGTGAAGTAGCAGTAAGCCCAATCAATAGTGACCTAAACAAATAGGAATTTATTTTCCTCACATAACAAGAAGGTAGGTGAATTGTTGGAGATGAAATAATATACTAACAATATCAGGAGCTGCATTTCTGGGGTCCTTTTGGTCTTTCCTTCCTGGCTGTTGCCTCATAGTCATAAGATGCCTGCTGCAGTGCTAGATATCACATTCACATTCAATACAGGACTAAGGTGAAAAGGAGAAGAATGGTGTCCTTTATTTTTAACTTGGTTTTGAGAATTTTATTGAAATCCTTTTTAAGCTCAGGCAGTTTTGTGGTGTAGGGGTGGCCCTTTTCTTACCATCTTCACTTTGACCTGTTTCAGCCCCAGTCATAGCTTCTTTTGTTTTATATTATTTTTATTTCAGTAGGTTTTCGGAGAACAGGTGGTGTTTGCTTACGTGGATAAGTTCTTTAGTGATGATTTCTGAGATTTTGGTCCACCCATCACCCAGGCAGTGTACACTGTACCCAATAGGAAGCCTTTTATCTCTTACCCACCTCCCATCCTTCCCCCCAAGTCCCCAAAGTCCATTGTATCATTCTTATGCTTTTGCATCCTCATAGCTTAGCTCCCACTCATAAGAGAGAACATGCAATGTTTGGTTTTCCATTCCTGAGATACTTCACTTAAAATAATGGCCTCTAATTCCATCCATGTTGCTGCAAACACCATTATTTTGTTCCTTTTTATTGCTGAATAGTATTCCATGGTTTTTTCTTTCCATTAATTGATTGACAAGCATTTGGGCTGGTTTCATATTTTTGCAATTGCTAATTGTGCTGCTATAAACATAAATGTGCAAGTTTTTTTTTTCATATAATGACTTCTTTTCCTCTGCGTAGATACCCAGTAGTGGGATTGCTGGATCAAATGGTAGATCTACTTTGAGTTCTTTAAGGAATCTCCACACTGTTTTCCATAGTGATTGTACTAGTTTACATTCCCACCAACAGTGTAACAGTGTTCCATTTTCACTACATCCATATCAACATCTTTTTTTAAAAATTATGGACACTCAGGAGCAAGGTGGTATCACATTGTGGTATTGATTTG
The DNA here is from genome assembly GCF_000001405.40 of Homo sapiens. NCBI lineage: Eukaryota > Metazoa > Chordata > Mammalia > Primates > Hominidae > Homo > Homo sapiens. Next base: position 137,730,626 of record NC_000003.12, read on the forward strand.
CATTTCCCTGATAGTTAGTGAAGCTGAGCATTTTTTCATATGTTTGTTGGCCATTTGTGTATTATCTTTTGAGGGCTGTCTATTCATGTTCTGAGCCCACTTTTTGATAGGATTGTTTGTTTGTTTGTTTTTTCTTGCTGATTTGAGTTTCTTGTAGATTCTGGATATAGTCCTTTATTGACTGCATAGTTTGCCAAGATTTTCTCTCACTCTGTGGGTTGTCTCTTTACTCTGCTGATTATTTCTTTTGCTGTGCAGAAGCTTTTTAGTTTAATTAAGTCCCACCTATTTATTTTTGTTTTTGTTGCATTTGCTTTTGGGTTCTTGATCATTAAGTCTTTGCCTAAGCCAATGTCTAGAAGGGCTTTTCCAATGTTATCTTCTAGAATTTTTGTTCTTTCAGGTCTTAAATTTAAGTCTTTTATCCATCTTCAGTTGATTTTTGAATAAGGTGAGAGATGAGGATCCAGTTCCATTCTTCTACATGTGGCTTGATAATTATCTCAGCACCATTTGTTGAATAGGTTGTCCTTTCCCCACTTTGTTTTACCTTTCTTTGTTGAAGATAAGTTGATGTAAGTATTTGACTTTATTTTTGGGTTCTCTATTCTGTTCCATTGTTCTATGTGCCTACTTTTATGCTGGCACTATACTGTTTGGCTGACTATAGCCTTATAGTATAGGTTGAAGTCGGTAATATGATACCCCCGATGGGTTCTTTTGCTTAGTTTTGTTTTGACTATGCAGGCTCTTTTTTGGTTCTATGTGTATTTTAGGATTTTAGGATTTTTTTCTAGTTCTGTGAAGAATTATGATGGTATTTTGATGGGAATTGCATTGAATTTGTAGATTGCTTTTGGCAATATGGTCATTTTCACTATATTGAATCCACCCATCCATAAGCATGAGATGTGTTTTCATTTTTTTATTTAGATTTTTTTAAATTATACTTTAAGTTTTAGGGTACATGTGCACAACGGGCAGGTTTGTTACATATGTATACATGTGCCATGTTGCTGTGCTGCACCCATTAACTCGCCATTTAACATTAGGTCTATCTCCTAATGCTATCTCTCCCCACTCCCCCCACCCCACAACAGGCCCCGGTGTGTGATGTTCCCCTTCCTGTGTCCATGTTTTCATTTGTTTGTTATGATTTCTTTCAGCAGTGTTTTGTAGTTTTCCTTGTAGAGGTCTTTCACCTCCTTGGTTAGTATATTCCTAAGTATTTAATGTTTTCTTTGCAACTATTATAAAAGGGGTTGAGTTCTTGATTTCATTCTCATCTTGGTCGCTATTGGCGTAGAGGAGTGCTACTGATTTGTGTACATTGATTTTGTATCCTGAAACTTTACTGAATTCATCTATTAGTTCTGGGGGATTTTTGGTGGAGTCTTTAGGGTTTTCTAGGAGTCTTTAGGGTTTTCTAGGTATACAATCATATCCTCGAAGAACAGTGACAGTTTGACTTCTTTACTGATTTGTATGCCCTTTATTTCTTTCTCTTGTCTGATTGCTCTGGCTAGGACTTCCAGTACTATGTTGAATAGAGGTGGAGAAAGTGGGCATCCTTGTCTTATTCCAGTTCTCACAGGGAATGCTTTCAAATTTTCCCCATTCAGTATAATGTTGGCTGTGGATTTGTCATAGATGGCTTTTATTACCTTAAGGTGTGTCCCTTCTATGATGATTTTACTGAGGGTTTTAATTATAAAGCAATGCTGGATTTTGTCAAATGCATTTTCTGCATCTATTGAGATGATCATGTGATTTTTGTTTTTAATTCTGTTTATGTGGTGTATCACATTTATTGACTTGTGCATGTTAAACCATCCTTGCATCCTTGGTATGAAACCCATTTGGTCATGTTGTATTTTTTTGATATGCTGTTGGATTTGGTTAGCTAGTATTTTGCTGAAGATTTTTGCAACTATGTTCATCAGGAATATTGGTCTGTAGTTTTCTTTTTTTGTTATGTCCTTTCCTGGTTTTGGTATTAGGGTGCTACTGGCTTCAAAGAATGATTTAGGGAGGATTCTCTTTCTCTATCTTTTGAAATAGTGTCAACAAGATTGGTACCAAATATTTAAATGTCTGATAAAATTCACCTGTGAATCCATGTGGTCCTGGATTTTTTTTATCGGCAATTTTTTAATTACCATTTCAATACCACTACTTGTTATTGGTCTGTTCAGAGTTTCTATTTCTTCCTATTTTAATATAGGGGAGTTGTATATTTCCAGGAATTTATCCATCTCCTGTGGTTTTCTAGTTTGTTTGTGTAAAGGTGTTCATAGTAGCCTTGAATAATCTTTTGTATTTCTGTGGTTGTAATATCACCCATTTCATTTCTAATTGAGCTTATTTGGATCTTCTCTCTTGTTGGTTAATCTTGCTAATGGTCTATCAATTTTGTTTATCTTTTCAAAGAATCTGCTTTTAGTTTCACGTATCTTCTGTATTTTTTTGTTTCAATTTCATTTAGTTCTGCTCTGATCTTTGTTATTACTTTTCTTCTGCTAGGTTTGAGTTTGATTTGTTCTTGTTTCTCTAGATCCTTGAAGTATGACCTTAGATTGTCTATTTGTGCTCTTTCAGACTTTTTAATGTAGGCTTTTAATGCTATGAACTTTCCCCTTAGCACCACTTTCGCTATATCCCAGAGGTTTTGATAGGTTTTGTCACCATTATCAAAGAATTTTTTAACCTCCATCTTGATTTCATTGTTGACCCAATGATCACTCAGGAGGAGGTTATTTAATTTCCATGTATTTGCATGTTTTTGATGGTTCCTTTGGAGTTGATTTCCAATTTTATCCCACTGTGTCTGAGAAAGTACTTGATATAATTTCAATTTTCTTAAATTTATTAAGACTTGTTTTGTGGCCTATCATGTGGTCTATCTTGGAGAATGTTCCATGTGTTGATGAATACAATGTATATTCTGCATTTGTGGGGTAGAATGTTCTGTAAATATCTGTTAAGTCCATTTGTTCTAGGGTATAGTTTATTGTTTCTTTGTTGACTTTCTGTCTTGATGACCTGCCTAGTGCTGTCTGGGGATTACTGGAGTCCCCCACTATTACTGTATTGCCATCTATCTTATTTCTCAGGTCTAGTAGTAATTGTTTTATAAATTTGGGAGCCCCAGTGTTAGGTGTTATATTTAGGATTGTGATATTTTCCTGTTAGACTAGTCCTTTTATTATTATATAATGTCCCTCTTTGTCTTTTTTTACTATTGTTGTTTTAAGTTCTGTCTTGTGTGATATAAGAATGGCTACTCCTGGCCGGGTGCAGTGGCTCACACCTGTAATCCCAGCACTTTGGGAGGTTGAAGTGGGTGGATCATGAGGTCAGGAGATCGAGACCATCCTGGCCAACATGGTGAAACCCCGTCTCTACTAAAAATACAAAAATTAGCCAGGCGTGGTGGCATGTACCTGTAATCCCAGCTACTCAGGAGGCTGAGACAGGAGAATCACTTGAACCAGGGAGTCAGAGGTTGCAGTGAGCTGAGATCATGCCACTGCACTCCAGCCTGGTGGCAAAGTGAGACTTCGTCTCAAAAAAAAAAAAAAAAAAAAAAAAAGAATGGCTACTCCTGCTCACTTTTGGTGTCCATTTGGGTGAAATGTCTTTTTCCAACCTTTTATCTTAAGTTTGTATAAGTCCTTGTATGTTAGGTGAGTCTCTGGAAGACAGCGGATACTTGGTCAGTGAATTTTTATCCATTCTGCCATTCTATATCTTTTAAGTGGAGCATTTAGGCCATTTACATTCAACATTAGTATTGAGATGTGAGGTACTATTCTATTCGTCATGCTAGTTGTGGCCTGAATACCTTGGAGTTTTTTTTCATTATGTTATATTTTTATAGGTCCTGTGGGAGTTTTGCTGTAAGCAGGTTCCATTTTGGTATATTTCTAGGTTTTGTTTCAAGATTTAGAGCTCCCTTTAGCAGTTCTTGTATTTCTGGCTTGGTAGTGGCGAGTTTTCTTAACATTTATTTGTCTGAAAAAGACTGCATCTTTCCTTTATTTATGAAGATTAGTTTCACTAAATACAAAACTCTTGGCTGATAATTGTTTCATTTAAGGAGGCTAAAGATAGGACCCCTATTCCTTCTAGCTTGTAGGGTTTATGCTAAGAAATTTGCTGTTAATCTGATAGGTTTTCCTTTATAGGTTACCTGATGCTTTTGCTTCACAGCTCGAAAAATTCTTTCCTTTGTCTTGACGGTAGATAACCTGATGACTATGTGTCTAGGCCATGATCTTTTTGCAACTAATTTTCTGGGTATTCTTTGAGCTTCTTGTATTTGGATGTCTAGATCTCTAGTAAGGCCAGGGAAGTTTTCCTTGATTATTCCATCAAAGATATTTTCCAAACGTTTAGATTTCTCTTCTTGGGAACACAAATTATTCTTTGGTTTAGTCGTTTAACATAATCCCAAAGTTCTTGGAGGCTTTGTTCATTTTCTTCAATTCTTTTTTCTTTGTCTCTGTCACATTGGGTTAATTCAAAAGCCTTATCTTCAAGCTCTGAAGTTATTTTCTGTACTTGTTCACTTCTATTGTTGAAACTTTTCAGTGTATTTTGCATTTCTCTAAGTGTGTCCTTCATTTCTAGAAGTTGCAGTTGTTTGTATTTATGCTACCTATTTCTCTGGAGATTTTTCTATCCATATCCTGTATCATTTTTTTTATTTCTTTAAATCAGTATTCATCTTTCTCTGTTGACTCCTTGATTAGCTTAATATTCAAACTTCTTAATTCTTTTGCTGGCATTTCAGATTTCTTCTTTGTTTTTGGATCCATTGCTGGTGAGCTGGTGTGATCTTTCGGGGGTGTTAAAGAGCCTTGTTTGTCATATTACCAGAATTGCTTTTCTGGCTCCTTCTCATTTAGGTAGACTATGTCAGAGGAAATATCTGGGGCTCATGGGCTCCTGTTCAGATTCTTTTGTCCCACCAGGGTGCTCCCTTGATATGGTGGTGCTCTCCCCCTTCCTCTAGGGATGGAGGTTCCTGAGAGCCAGAGTTCAGTGATTCTTATTTCTCTTCTGGGACTAGCTACCCAGTGGAGCTACCAGGCTCTGGGCTGGTATTGGGGAGTGTCTGCAAAAAGTTCTGTGATGTGGTCTGTTTTCAGGTCTCTCAGCCATGGATACCAGCACCTCATCCAGTAGAGGTAAAAGAAGAGTGAAGAGTACCTGCTCCAGTGGAGGTAACAGGGGAGTGAAGTGGACTTTGTGTGAGACCTTTGTTGTAGTTGTGTTTAGTGCACTGGTTTTCTCAAATCCTAGTTGTGCTGGCCATGAAGTTGTCATGTGGACAGACTCAGGACCTCTGCTTAGCCAGGAAATTACAGGCAGTGGAATTATCTGTTGTTTTCTCCTTTCTTGGGGCAGGGTTGTTCCTTTATGAGTTGTTGTAATGTTTTGAGTTGGTTGGAGTCAGGAAGTGGTGCCTTCAAGAGAGCATCAGCTTGGGAGTATAGGGAGGATACAAGCTTGCCCTAGGGTCACCTGGATGAGGTATTTCTCAAGTGGTAGGTGGGGCCATAGAGCTGCCAAGAGATTATCTTTTGTCTTCAGCTACCAGGGTGGTTAGAGAAAGACCATCAGGTAGGGACAGGGTTAGGCATGTCTGAGTTCAGACTGTCCTTTGATGGGGCTTGCTGAGGCCACTGTGGGGGATGGGAGTTTGGTTTGTAGACTGATGGAGTTTTAATCCCAGGGGGATTATTGCTCCCTCTGCTGCATCATACAGGTCACCAGGAAAGTGGGGGAAAGCTGGCCATGACAGGCCTCGTGCAGCTCCTATGCATCTAGAAAGGCCAGTCTCACTCCCACCATGCCCCACCAATAGCACCAAGTTTATAGCCAGGCAGCTTGTGAGCAGGGCTGACATCTAGCCCCAGACTACATGCCACCCCTTTCAGAAAGCAAGCAGGGCTTTCAGCCCTTGCCCCTCCCTGACTGTGATGACTTTTGTGCTCATATCTGCACTTCCCAATGGCCCTCTGTCCTGGATTCTGTCCAGGAAAATTGGCATTTGGTTGAAATTATTACAAAGTTCAGCTAGAAGTTTCCTTCTCCCTGTGGGCTTTATCCAGTTCCACTGGCAGCCCTCCCCAAGGACATCTGTGAGATAAAGTCAAAAATGCCTTCCCTGAGCTTCCTTGGGTTCCAGAAGTGACTATAGGGCTCTTCCTTATGCTTCTTCTACATCTATATTTTGCTTGGCTCTCTAAATTCATTTTAGCTCTAGGTAAAGTTAAGTCCTTCTCCCATGATCTGGATTTTCAGGTTCCCCAGTGAGAATGTGTGTTCAGTGGCAGACTTTGCCCTTCTCACACTTTGGGTACTCACAGTTTTTCATCTGTCTTATGGAGTTTGCAGCAGCACACTTCTTCTTTTAAAGGCTCTGTGAATTCTTTCAGTTTTCCTGGTATGTTCCTGCAGTAGTTCTTGGAGAAAAATTTCATGATATGAGTCTCCACACACTATTCTGTTCACCCAACTGGGAGCTGCCTTCTATCTGCCATTTTCCACCCAGTTCTCCATCCCTTTTAGTAGTAGAGAAGAAACAGACTTAACATCATAACAAATGTTTTATATGCAATGTCTCATTTAATTAATTTTCTTCTTTTTGGAGTAAATCTTTTGGAAGTTCTTTTGGTGAGGATCTGTGTTAATAAAATTTCTAAGTTCTAAATGTCTGAAAATTTAGTTATTTATATATACAACTGAATTATAGTTGGGCTGGGTATAAAAATAATTTCAACGTTTTTCATCAGGGTTTTGAAGATATTTCTCCACTGTATTCTTGGATTTGATGTTGTTAAATAAAAATCTGATATCATTCAAATTATTGCACCATTGCAGTGGTATGCCTTTTTTACTTGTGTTCTCTTAAACTTCCTGTTTTTCTTTAATGGCCTAAAGTTCCGTTAGCTTTCTAAGTTTCTAAGTATAGTTTTATTTTCATTTACCCTGCTCTATATTTGGTAGGCTCTATAAATCTGAAAACTTCTGACCATCCCAAGCTTTGGTAAATGTTTATTATTTTTCCAAATATTTCCTGTCTTCCATTCTCTCTATTTTCCTTTTCTGCAACTCTTATTAAAATGATTGAACTTCTTTGTCTATTGCCATTTTTTCATTGTCTTTTTTTATACTTTTGTCAAAGAATAAAAAGAGACATTCAGTTTAGTTAAAAGCACAGCTGAAATGTACTTGAATAAGAAGATTAAACATGTATTGATTGATTGCCAGATGACAAAGGTGAAATAGAATTTATAAAAGGAAAAATAAAACACATTTTGTGGAAAACTAAGGTGTAGTTTATGTTCAAGGTTGATGTTTGGCTTAAATTGTGTGCCCTGGAGAAGCTTGACATAGTAGTCAGGAAGACAGCTCAAGTTGCTTAGGGATTTTCCACAAAATCTTGTGCTTTCACCCATAGAATACTTGTGGGATATTCATCTATGGATATTGGTCCTTCTTGTTGTCCCTCTGTTGGTTTCTCCATCTCAGTTAGCTAGGATTGTGCCATTTCCCTCATTATTATTCTTCATTTTTTATTCTCTATATAATGTTCTAGAAGAATTCCTCAGCTTAACAGTTCAAATCACTGATTCACTCTTCAGCTAGCTCCATGTGCTATTTTTCAGACCATAAATTGAGGGTTCTTTTTTTCAACGGCTATTAGTAAATAGATTAAATAGACTCATGTGACTGGCAAGTTAGTGTTTGCTGTCAGCTGAAAGCTCAGCGTAGGCTAAGAATCAGGAATGTTGGCTTTTTCTCCATGTGGGTCTCAACAGTGAGGTGCTTGGCCTTCATCATGGGGTGGCTTAGGTCCAAAAGCAAGCATTCCAAGAGACCCAGGTCAAAGGCGTGTTTGCTTTTATGGCTCAGCCTTAGAAGTCCTAGAGCCACCACTTCTGCCATAACCATAAGCCTAATCACATTTAATGGGTGGGACTATAAATTCCATCTCTCAGTAGGAAGAATGTCAAAGTCACATTAGAAGAAGAGAAAATGGAATATGAGATGTTTTTATGGCCACTAATAAAATACAATCTGTCATATTGTCTCTCTTTTTCAGTGGTAATCCTCCTGAGATAACTTACCAATTTTGTGTGGATCACTTACATATCCTGTCCCCTCTTGATGGGATAGTCTCATGACAGCAACAGCTTCAGACTCACAGGGAAGATACAAAAGCTCAGAGCCCTTTGCAGCAGTATGGTAGCCTCTACTTACTGATCTGGTTTCTGTTCTGCTTTTTTTCCATTAAGAAAGACTCTCCATTTCTAGCACATAGACAATCCTCTTTGCTGTTTTAAAGCTTGGCTATGTTTTATTTATTATCATTGTGGTAATTTGGTGTATGAGTGAAAGGTTTTGGTGTTTCCTCAATCCATCATACTGAACATAATTTCTTCAGGTTGGAAATTTTATTGTCCATATTTTTAGTTAAAAATCTGAGGCCTAGAAAGGTTAACTGACTTGCTTTAAGCTTGAGAAATTGAAACCAGTTTGACATCACAATTACCGTGCTCTACTCCCTCTCTCTTAAAAGTTCTTGCTTATGTCCAAAATATTAGTAGAAATAAATGAGAGAGATTTCACCAACCATCCATAGAAGTCAACCCCATTCCCTTGTAATCAAACCTCATATATGAAGTATTTTAGTATCATCAATACATATAGCTTATGAAACTTTGATAGCTTGAATCTAACAGTTTCTTATTCTATGATTTCAAAATATATATGTCACCATTCTAGATAACAAATTCTTTACCAGGAAAAATTATTATTGTAACTGGTACTTATCAGGCAGCTGAATCATAGATAATCTACAAGAAAATATTTTTAATAAACCTGAAACTACATGTTTAAAATGGAAAAAATTAACCATCCTCAGGGAGTTAAACCATTGCAGCTTCCCTGAAATGGGCATCATATCTTTATTATTATCTATGGACAACTAACTTACCTAAAACATACTGTTTTAACACAAATTATATTTCAAACTTGTATTGAGAATCCTCATTGGACCTTTCTTTACTATAACATCCTCCAAGTAATTTGTATCTCTCTTTCTCTCCAATTCTCAGTGTTTTACAACCTAATATAAAACTCCTGATTAAGCTCCCATATGGTCCAGAGAAGGAGTTCCTACATGTGTGACAGTACAACTGCAAATAAACCACAAGAAAAAGTCACACACAAAAAATGTAAACCATGGGACTAACATGAGAGTTAATAATATTTTATTTTGCCAAGTATATTAAAAGTTTTTTTAAAAACCCAGCTACTATCTACTATCATTTCCTAACCAAGGGCATATACACTTCTAAAGACTGGGAAAAATATAATCTCATACTTTAAACTTTATTTTTAATTGATGAATTTAAATTGTATATATTTATTATATACAAACATGTTGTTTTGAAATATGTATACATTGTGGAATGGCTAAATTGAGCTAAGTAACATATGCATTACTTCACTTTTTTGTAATGAGAACATGCAAAATCTACTCTCTTCGTGATTTTCAAGAATATACTACATTGTTATTAACTATAGTCACCATGATGTATAGTAGGTCTCTTGCACTTATTCCTTCTAACTGAAATTTTGTATCATTTGACCAATATCTTCCCAATCCCCATTCCCCCCAGTCCCTGGTAACTACTATTCTATTCTATTCTCTACTTCTATGAGCTCAACCTTTTCAGATTCCACCTGTAAGTGAGATCATGTAGTATTTGTCTTTCTGTGCCTGGCTTATTTTACTTAAAATAATATCCACCAGACTCATTCATGTTGTCACAAAAGACAGGATTTTCTTCTTTTTTAAGGTTGAATAGTATTCCTCTGTGTGTGTGTGTGTGTGTGTGTGTGTGTGTGTGTGTGTGACATTTTCTTTATATATTCATCCATTAATGGACACTTAGGTTGATTCCATATCTTGGCTATTGTGAGTAATGCTGCAATAAACATGGGAGTGCCCATCTCTCTTCAGCATACTGATTTCATTTCTTTTGGACATATGCCCAGAAGTTGGATTGCTGGAAAATATGGTAGTTCTATTTTTAATTTTTTGAGGAACCTCAATACTGTTTTCCACTATGGCTGAACTTATTTACATTACCACCAACAGTGTGCAAGAGTTCCCTTTTCTCCACATCCTCTCTAACACTTGTTATCTTTCATCTTTTTCATAATAGTCATCCTAATAGGTGTGAGTTGGTATCTTGTTATTATTTAAATTTTCATGTCTCTAAGGATTCATAATTTAAACCTTAAACATTAAAAACTCACCATATTCTTTTTTTCTTAATTCTCTTATTTCTCCACAATAGAGAACTGGCTTGTGTTCAGGAACTTTTGCTCTAAGTAACATGAATACTTGTTTCTCCTCTTGTTCCAGTGTTACATCAATGTAAACATCGCTCATTAGCTGTCATATCATTGTCCCTTTTCCTCTTCATACTTCTACTACCTAGAGGTTGACTTCCTGGTGAGTGGGTCTACTGAGTCTAACTACAGTGACTGACTGCAGGACAACTTTGCCTCACTCCCCAGGCAGTGCACTGCTCCTCCACTCACTCATGAAACATGGGGAAGCCAGTTACGTATGCCAAAAGTAACTGTACAGATTTCAGTCTGCCTAGAATTCAATAACTCTATGTGCTTTTGTGACTTGGACAAGTATGTTATGTAATCAACAATTCATTTAGCTCAATGGCTCGTTGGTGAGGTTTGGGTAGTTTGTGTTTTTTATCCACATTAGTAAAGATTTCACCATTATCCACAGAACATACAATGTGTTCCTATACTTGGGAGCATAAGAATCTCTGAGAATCTAGGAAGAGTTTCTTTAACTCTCAATGGAAAGAAGATAATAGTGAAAAGAGAAGAGGCTAGGCCTTCTTAACAAAGACATTCATTCTGCTTGGTGTCAGACATTGTGCTGGGGAAACCACAGATAAGTTTCCAATTGTAGGTTGCTTGAAGAAGGCACACTGGCTATACTCAGAGGGAGTATTGACTTAAGTATTGCTCCCAAGATAAACTGATATCCTTGTTAGCTATTGTCTCCAAAAGGGAGATGTCAGTTGTAAACAAGGCACACTGTCAGAAATGTGGAAGGACAAAGTAGGTTGATCATAATTCCATCTATGTGAGAATTTTGCATTCTCAATAGAGCATCCACCATTTCCAGTTGTAGGTGCCTCATTTTTACTGGATCCCATACTAAGATTTTTGTTAGGTTAGATCAGTGCTCCCCAAAGCATATTTCACTAGACTAGACCATGAAAGCAAGGATTCCTTGGCCAAATAAATTTGAGAAAAGATTCATACAGCATTCTTTGCTCAAAGATTCACAATGCCCATTGGCACATTGAAGGCCACAGAAAACCTGCAGCAAAGAAACTTTATACCTACTTTTAACCTAAAATTTGTTAAAATAATCAGACTTCAGGACCCTTGTAACATTTAATAAATCTGGTGGAGCTGACGTCTGCACATTTCCCACCAAATCTGCCATTTATTCCATTTTCACCCCATCTGGAGATGTCCTTATTTCTATTGGTTGATCCATGCAGTGACAACAAAGCAAAATTTCCTCCAGGTACAGTTGGGAGGTCTCATAATAGTCTTGAAGGACCACTAGTGTTTTGTTTTTCAGATGCTGCAATTTCACTCCTTGATCAGACGATAACATGCAGCATGTAGCATCATGAGGCATCTTTTACCATTATTTTACATGGCATAACTATTCTTAGACGTTAACTGCAGGAGTGTAAACTACATACCGTGGCAGCCCATGCAACACTGACCATGATGCTCTGCACATATCAGCTGCTTTGAACAAATTCTTTGGATTGGGTCAAATTGACGTGTCTTTTCCACCATGAACAGGTCACACCTCACCTTTGGAGCTAATTCTGCACTAATTAGTTACAAATGTTCCCTCTCATCCTTCCTATGGGATTCCATGAAATTCAACAGCCATTTACTGAGTGTCCAGCAAAAACCAAGCTCTGCTCCAAGCAGGATCCATTCTGCGCTCCTCTAGAAAAGCCCTCTCCCTCCAATTGGCAGAGGTAGCTCAGCAGTGCCCTTGCTAATTCCTTCTTATTTCTTTACCATGAATACTCTCCAGCCCTTGGGGGAGCAGAAAGAGAGAAGAGGCAAATAAGAACTAAAAGAGGAAGAATGCAATAAGCCTGAGAGATACTCAGGAAAATTTGTTCCCAACAGTTTGGAGAATGCAGATCCCTTTCTAACAAGTAGATATTTCACAGACTGGGGATTCGCTTTGAGTATCTGTTAACTGAGAATATGTGGAACAGAAAACACTAAATTCAGTAATTATTTGAAACAGGATGCTTTCATTGGCAAGACACAGAAATTCAGACGCACCTGGCTTTAAAAATATGGATATTATTTTTTTTATCTCATACAACAGAAAGTCCACAGGAAGAAATTCATAGAGGGCTGATTCACCAGATCAGCATTGTCATCCTGAACCCAGGGTCTTCCCTTCATGCCACTCTGCATCCTCACTATGAGTCTCATGCTCAGACTGTCAGAACAACAGCAGTGACACTCCAGCTGTCACATTCAGACGCATATCTGAAAGGTAGGAACCCATCTCTTCTTATAGCTCTCTCTTAGAAAAAGGAAATTGTCCCCAGGAACCTCCTGAAAACTTTTCCCTCAAATTTCTTTGGCCTAAATATATATGCATGCCTATTCCTGGGCTAATCAGGAACAAAGATTAGAATTAGACAGACAGATGAGGATTACTCCTAAAAATGGGAGTAGAGTCAATTTAACTCAGGTTCTTGGATGCAAGGAAAGGGAGTAGATGCCTGGGGAAAAACTGGGATTCTGTTAAGAAGAAGGAAGGAATACACATTGGGTAAGCAAACAATAGTGTCTATCACAGTCTTTTAAGTAAATCCATAGTTCACGAACATGCATTTGAAAAATAGAAGTGAATATATGGCACTTTTAATGGCAAAAACCACAATTATTTTTGTACCAACCTAATATCCCTGAAGCCCTTTGTAGATACCCCTTTAACTAATGTCTCATGGTTTCATTGTCCATGACTGTGTGTCATGCTCATCCCTAAATGCAAAGGAGGCTATGAATATGTGCATGTGCCATTTATAGCCTCCGGAATAAAAGGTGGGCTTTGCCAGCAAAACACATGAGAGTGGGTATGTCCTGATCTGTGTAAGGTATTGTTATAAACTCCTTGTTAAATTTCTGTGCCCAAGGAAAAGAGAGGAGAAAGTCACCAAGATGATTTGGATGAGACTGCTGGTTATTCTCTAGCATCCTCTCTTCTCTTCCTCCACACTTACAGAATATTTGGGGCAGCGCATGTCTGCCCAAAACAAAGGCTGCAATTCCCAGCCTCCTTCACAGCCAGGTGGGTTTTGTGCCTCAGGTCTGGACAATGAAACTGAGCAGACGTAGTATGTGTAACTTAGCGGGTGAGAGTCAGAAGGCTTTTTGGAACCGCAATAAGAAAAAGGAAAAATAAAGAAATAACAACATTTTATTCTGTTTCTATTTTGTTCTCAGCCGGGTCTGTTGCTTAGATGGTACTTCATTTTTTATCTTCGTGTCAACCTGTGAGGAAGACATTATCATCTCCATTTTATAGCTTAGGAAACTGAAGCTCAAATATACATTTGGAGCTGACATTAAAGACAGAGGGAGTCATGTAAGGGAGGCAAGATTATTTCCTTTAGTAACTGTCCTTTTGTTTCAGCGTATTTCCTTCTCCTCTCCTCTCCTCTCTCACAGGTGTCTTGAGGGTCTTTTCCCCTCCCCCAGCGACTCTCATAGTTGTCAGAGTCATTCAGTTGGTGAGTAACTGCAAAGACCAAGTGCCTTAAAGCAAAAGACAGAGGTTTGGGGTGCTTGTTTGCCCAGAGAGGTTTTTCCTCTACCCAAAATAAGATTAGACCCAGTAGAATAAAAGGAAGAGGATGAGCAGGGCAACTGTGATGCTTGGGAAGGAAGTGAAAATTTAGTTCTACTGGAGGGTGGATTGGTGAAGTCTTTGCATCTCAATGACCAGGGAGCTGGAAGCAAGCTGAATCATGCTCAGTGACACCAACCTGAGGACCCTGCCAGGTATTCTGCACCCCCACTGGCCCACCATTTACACAAAACCCACTACCTAACAGTCCTAATACCTTAGGGTGGCAGATGGCCAGAAAGGAAAGGCTCTCCCCTAACCAAAGGGGGCCTGGGGAAAACCAATTGGATATATCTCTACGAGCCATGTCATGAAGGTAGCTTAGCACAGGAGTGACATGTGGAGTGTTGAGTTTGGTTTTAAAATAGATATCTAGTAATTGTGCAGAGTAGTTGAAAACAAAGAGAAACTCTTGTCAGTTCAGGTATGAAGAGACAAACACAAAAGATGGGAAAGAAAAAGGAAGGATAAATTGGTAGGCATTAAAAAGAAAGACTAGACAAGGCTCAGTGGTTAGCAGCATATGAGAGGAGAAGGAAGAGGAGGAGGAGGGCTGGGAGTATTGGAGTTCTCATGGACCCCAATGAGAAGGGTGAGTGATGCTATTATAGGCTGAAATAAAGAAGGAGAAAGAATGAGGACTCAGCAGCTAAGGAAAAATAACTTCTGCTTTGGACATAAGGAATTAGAAGCAATGTCTGAATGCCTATCTGGAAATGCCCACTAAGCACAGAAACAGTACAGGAACTTGGAAAAGATATCAGAGCAGAAGACAGTTCTAAGTCCATTTAGCAAGCATCTGTTGAGCTATTGGGTAAAAGACTGTGAAGTGTCCTGGATACAAGATTAACAAGATTGTTATTGGCCAGAAGCTCATCTGATCTCAGCTGGTAGGTTTTCAGTACATGACTGGGCTTTCCCAGGGGTAAAAAAGTGAAAAGAGAGGAGTCAGAGGGCTGAGGTTAGGACCTTTTGGAGGGGAAAATTTATAGGATGGAGAGACACTCCAAGTGCTATAAGGCAATCAAGGAAAAGAAGAGCTGAGTAAAGACCTGCTTTTGCAATGAGGAGGACCTGGATGCCTTTGCTAGTTCACTTTTGATAATCTGTAGGAGCAGGGAATCGAACGAAGAATATTAGGATTGAAGTTACAGGAAAGATATGGAGCCAGAGGCATGGACTTTTCATTGTAGACATTGGGAGCTGTGCCCACTATTCCAGGAAACTCAGCACAGCTCATTTCTATTCCTGCTGGAGTACAAAACCAAGGAATATTTTAGAAAGGGGAGAGGGACCATAGGAGGTACACTGATGATACGGCACAGTCAGCTTGCCTTTTGCCTTAGGACAGGAGAAACCAGTGCCCATCCCTAGACAGAAAGGATGAAGTATTTACAGAAGGCATATTAATATAAAGGGTCCATGCTCTAGAACAGGAAGAGGATACAGGAGTGATGCAACAGTGGTAGAGGAAACTTTGGAGAAAAAGGAGGGTACTTCCTTTGAGCCTGGGAGAGAAAGGAAAGATGGGGAAGAACAAGCCATGTTTAGGCATGGAGAGGGGCTAAAAGAGACCTCACAGTTTTACCTGGCTGAAATCTGATGGATCTTTAGTGCAGCCCCACCAAAGTAAGTGTAGTCAGAACAACAGATGAGAAAAGAACTGCTAAGCAGCCACAGTCAGCTGGAACACGATGGGCAAATTCAGCACAATTGTCTCTGAGGAGATACAACCCCAAATCCCACTGGGGCCAACACCATGTATTTCCAGCAGTTGTAAAGGAAGAGCAGTATCTACCATCCCAAGGTCATTACAGGGAGAAACTCAGCACAGCTCATTCCTATTCCTCCTGGATTGCAAAACTGAGGGATTATTTATACAGCAAGCAGATGCCAACCCAAATAAACTGGTCAGTAAAAATAATCACAATTTTACTACATTAAAGTATGTGAAAATAGAGTATACCCGAACAGAAAATCCATAAAAAGAAGATACAGATGTGCATACCAAAAGAGCTTCAGCTTCTATACATAAAAACTTAGCTGTGATTGTATAATTCAGCTAAGTCCAATTCCGGGCAAAACCTGAGAAGTAGGGAGGATTGGGTAGGAGGCTTTGCTATCACATAGGGAGCATTTGGTTGCACAAACAAAAAAGCCTAACTAAAGACGACTTAAACAATAAGAAAAATGAATTTTCTCACACATAAAGAAGTTTTAAAGTTGAGTTTCAAGGTTGGTTAATTTAGCAACTCTACAAAGTTACCAAGAAACAAGAATTTCCCCTTTTACCGCTCCCCATCCTCATCTTACTGACACGTTCTCTTAAGCCATTTCCTCTCATGGTCTAGAGGGGGCCACCCTAGTTACAGTGGTGAAGTAGTGAAATGCAGACAGCAACATCCCAAAACAGGAAAACTGAAGATCCTTTCCTTTTGTGCAACTCTTCTGAAGAGCAAGGAAAACTTTTGCCAGAGCCCCACCCCAGAACAGACTTCTGCTCTTTAGCCAGACTGGGTCATATGTCCACCTTTAAATCAATCACTGGTGAGCAGATGAAGTGTCTATTATTGATTTAATCAAGCAACCCCTGGGAAATGGATAGTGAAAAATAGTAAAGTTCTATTAATAAGGAAGAATGGGGAAATTACTGTTGGCTGGGCAGTCAGCATTGTCTGCCACAGATTTTGTGTTAGCAAGTCAGAGAATCATGATAGGATGGTTTACAAATGAGGAGGAGGTTCTAAGCCATCAACCAGGGCAACAAAAGAATTTCAGGGTTTTTGACCTAGTTACTCAGCTCCAATCCATTTTCACATATCCAAAAAACATGCTCTCCATTTAGACATCTTTAAACAAGTATTTCAGTAGCATCGCCTGGTAGAATAGGATCAGACAGACCTAGCTACGTATTTTCACCCAATGACACGCACATACATAAGTGACCTTGGCCAAGCCATTCCAAGGTGGCTTACTTTTCTCATAATCTTGTGTCTGCTGTGAAGATTAATAAACAAAGGATCCCAGTGTGTAATAAGTACTATGAAATACAAGGATTGCGATTATCTTCTAAATTATAATCCAAGAATTATAAATAGACTGCCCTGATTTATAGTCTAGGCTAATCATTGCTAAAATTATTCTACTGAATTTAGCTCTTGAATATAGGTTGATAAGGGAATCAATCCACTCTAGCATCATAAGTACAAACCTAAAGGTATTTTTAGCAAAGAACTGCTGAAAGATATATCCAGTTAAAACCATAATAACAGACCAAAATAAGCCCTTGTCAGCAGACCAGACATTCTACTTTCTGATAAAAGTAAGTTTTTAGGGGAATTTATTGAAATAATTGTAATATTAGCAAAGACATTGCACTTACTTACACATAATAAATAAGGACTGTAAATAAGTAGACAGTAACTTCCAAGTTTTTCCCATCTCTCTTCATCTATATATAACTCTCATTCTGAACTTCATAAAGTCCCACTTTTAATCTCACATCTCATCTCCTAAATGTACTATTTTGGTTGCCCATCTAATAGATTGCCAGACTCTCATTCTGACATCCAATGCCATTAGCATCTGGTCCACCTTACTCTTCACCTTTTCCCAGTTCATGTGAGTTCCCCATCCCATCTCTATAACATGCTCCCAATGTGCACATCTTCCCACCTCAACTACTTCCTTCCCTCCCCTCAGCCTATTCAACCCATTCATATTTTCGTGAAAGAAGAAAGTCAAGACCCCTGCTTCAGGCAGCCATCTGTGAAGATCCAGCTCTCAAGGATCTACACAGTTCTCCTCTGCCTCCTACTAC
Source organism: Homo sapiens (assembly GCF_000001405.40). Taxonomy (NCBI): domain Eukaryota; kingdom Metazoa; phylum Chordata; class Mammalia; order Primates; family Hominidae; genus Homo; species Homo sapiens. The sequence continues at coordinate 137,748,475 of NC_000003.12, forward strand.
ACTTAGGTTCCATCCAAGTTCACACGTGGTTATTGTGAGGACAGTCAGGATAGAAATGGTGAGGGCTCTTGAGTCACACAACACCTGAATTCAAATCCTGGATGCACCAGTTACTAGCTCTGTGGCTTTGGAAAAATCCTGTCTAACCTTTTTGATCCTCAGTTTTCTCATCGTCAAAATGGGTATAATAACATATCTCTCTACCTAGGTCTGTTGCAAATTAAATAAAACAATGTGTGTAAAAAGTTTATGCATAATACATGGGACATTATATCAGTAAAGAAGAGTTCAATTATTGTTGGCTGCTATCTGCTACAATCGCATGCTCTCAAATTTCAGTCTTGCCTCACTGGTCCAACTGAAATCTCTATAGACAATGACCAGGGTGGACAAGTCCCTTGCCCTTCTCAACTTTCTCCATCAAGTCCTGTTGGGCCCTCACCACCTAGTATGAGGAGGCTTTGCTAGGTTTGGATCACGACTGAACGTTTGTTCATGCACAAGCTCATTTTCTCACCAATAACCCATTCTAGAATCAGAGACGAGGGGTCTTCCAGGTCCCTAGACCAGGGATGTTTTAGATACAGTGTTTCCCTTCTACATTTTTAGAGAGAGTTCCATATACCACTTCTGAGAGAGCAGGACTGCCAACAGGGCAGCATGAGGGTACTGGCTCTCAGCAGGGAGGGTAGAAAGAATGTTAAGAGATAAGACAGAGAGAAGTTCAGAAAGTTAGAAATAGGTGGTCAGAGCCAAGAGAAGGAGCAAAAGTGAAGACAGGACACAGAAACCATGAGGGATAAAACCTGAGAAAAGACAGGACACAAAAATGGGCTCCAAAATGAGAGAGAAGTGAAGAGAGACCCCAGGCACCAGGCACAGAGCAACCATTCCAGATTGGAGCAGCAGTACTTGAGGACTGCTGAGGACTGCCATTATCATGCCATCTCTTCAACCTGATGAAAATACTGGAAGATACACTCAACAAAACATGGGAGTAAGATGAGAAAGGGGAAGATGTGAGAAACTGAAATAAGAAAGTCAACCCAAAAGGAAAAAGCTTCCAGAAAGGATGTCTCCAAGAAATAGACTGGGATAGTAGATTATCTGATATGACTCACTTTGTAGAAAATTGTGTGACAGGCTATGGGAAAGTGTGAGGAGAATCAGTAACAGCTACAAAGCAAATCAAGTAAGTGGAAAATGGGGCAATGTTTAGAAAGTAGGAAAGGAAAATAGTCATAATACATTACAATGCTCAACTGTGAATATTTGCATAGGTATAATAATGTAAACATTGCTAATTAAACCAAAGAGAAAAACTGTACTAGAACTACATTGGAAGGGTGAAGGAGGGGAAGCAGAGGGGATAGAAGGATGAGAGATCTAAATGATGTTTGTTTTTTGTACAATTCTGCCAAAAGGTAGCTGTGATCCTGTCAGGAAGCAATGAAATCAGTGAGTGTGATTTAGATTATGGAGTTCTGCTACTTACAAAGCTCTTCCCAGTCTGTTATCTAGTTGGAGCTTGTGGTGGGCAGCCCTCAAGATGGCCTCCAAAGATCCCTGCTCATGGTATCCACATCCTTGTGTAGACCTCTCTCACACTGTACCAGGCTTCTGTCTCAGTACAGGCTTGGTCACTCACAGACCATTTGCACAATGGAAATCAAGCTGCCTAGTTAAGAGCAATCTTTATGGAAAGGCTCATGTGTTGAGAAACTGAAGCCTCTTGCCAACAGCCACAGGAGTGGCTTGGAATCAGATCCTCCAGCTAAGTCAAGCCTTCAAATGGCTGCAGCCCTGGAGACATCATGATTTGTTCCCTTGTAAGAGACCTTGAGTCAGAATCTCCCAACTAAACTACTACCTGATTCTTGACCCTCAGAAACCATATGACATAATAAATATTTGTTGTTTTAAGTCACTAAGTTTTAGGGTAATTTGGTACATAACAATAGATAACTGATACAGGGAGTGACAGACCACCAGTGTGGTATTATTATCCCCATTTAGCAGGCAAGAAAATGGAGGCCAAGAGAAGTTGGTAATTTGCCCTGAGTCTCACAGTAATTGGCAGACTTAGGTCTTGAACTCCATTTTATAGTTCTTTCTATAACCATCAGCTCACTCAGCAAATATTTCACTGTCTTATGAGATAAAATGTTACATGCTGTTGGTCTTCAGAACATGTTAAAATGGTGCTTGAAAGAAAAAACAGATGGGATTCTGTTCCAAGATGCCAAATAGGAAGAGCTCCGGTCTGCAGCTCCCAGCGGGATCAACGCAGAAGATGGGTGATTTCTGTATTTCCAACTGAGGTACATGGTTCATCTCACTGGGGCTGGTTGGACAGTGGGTGCAGCCCATGGAGAGTGAGCTGAAGCAGGGCGGGGCATCGCCTCACCCAGGAAGCATAAGGGGTCAGTGGATTTGCCTTTCCTAGCCAAGGGAAGCCGTGACAGACTGGACCTGGAAAAACGGGACACTCCTACCCAAATACTGCACTTTTCCCATGGTCTTAGCAACCAACAGACTAGGAGATTCCTGTGCCTGGCTCAGCAGGTCCCACACCCACTGAGCATTCCTCACTGCTAGTGCAGCAGTCTGAGATCGACCTGCGAGGCTGCAGCCTGGCTAGGGGAGGGGCGTCCACCATTGCTGAGGCTTGATTAGCTAAACAAAGCAGCCAGGAAGCTTGAACTGGGCAGAGCCCACTGCAGCTCAGCAAGGCCTACTACCTCTATAGACATCACCTCTGTAGGCAGGGCATAGCTGAACAAAAGGCAGCAGAAACTTCTGCAAACTTAAACATCCCTGTCTGACAGCTCTGAAGATAGCAGTGGTTCTCCTAGCGTGGTGTTTGAGCTCTGAGAATGGAGAGACTGCCTCCTCAAGTGGGTCCCTGACCCCCGTGTAGCCTAACTTGGAAAAACTTCCCAGTAGGGGCCAACAGACACATCATACAGGTGGGTGCCCCTCTGGGACGAAGCTTCTAGAGGAAGGATCAGACAGCAATATTTCCTGTTCTGCAATATTTGCTGTTCTGCAGCCTCCACTGGTGATACCGAGGCAAACAGAGTCTGGAGTGGAACTCCAGCAAACTCCAATAGACCTGCAGCTGAGGGACCTGATTGTTAGAAGGAAAATGAACAAACAGAAAGGAATAGCATCAACATCAACACAAAGGACATCTACACCAAAACCCCATCTCTAGGTCACCAACAGCAAAGACCAAAGGTAGATAAAACCACAAAGATGGGGAGAAACCAGAGCAGAAAAGCTGAAAATTCTAAAACCCAGAGCACCTCTTCTCCTCCAAAGGATCACAGTTCCTTGCCAGCAACGGAATAAAGCTGGACAGAGAATAACTTTGACAAGTTGACAGAAGTAGGCTTCAGAAGGTCGGTAATAACAAACTTCTCTGATCTAAAGGAGCATGTTCCAACCCATCACAGGAAGCTAAAAACCTTGAAAAAATGTTAGAAGAATGGCTAACTAGAATAAACAGTGTAGAGCAGACCTTAAATGACCTGATGGAGCTGAAAACCATGGCACTAGAACTTCGTGATGCATGCACAAGCTTCAATAGCTGATTTGATCAAGTGGAAGAAAGGGTACCAGTGATTGAAGATCAAATTAATGAAATAAAGTGAGAAGACAAGGTTAGAGAAAAAGAGTAAAAAGAAATGAACAAAGCCTCCAAGAAATATGGGACTATGGTGAAAAGACCAAATCTACATTTGATTGGTGTACCTGAAAGTGATGGGGAGAATGGAACCAAGTTGGAAAACACTCTTCAGGATATTATCCAGGAGAACTTCTCCAACCTAGCAAGGCAGGCCAGCATTCAAATTCAGGAAATACAGAGAACACCACAAAGATACTTCTTCAGAAGAGCAACCCCAAGACACATAATTATCAGACTCACCAAGGTTGAAATGAAGGAAAAATGTTAAGGACAGCCAGAGAGAAAGGTTGGGTTACCCACAAAGGGAAGCCTATCAGACTAACAGCAGATCTCTCGGCAGAAACCCTATAAGCCAGAAGAGAGTGGGGGCCAATATTCAACATTCTTAAATAAAAGAATTTTCAACAGGGAATTTCATATCCAGCCAAACTAAGCTTCCTAAGTGAAGGAGAAATAAAATCCTTTACAAACAAGCAAATGCTGAGAGATTTTGTCACCACCAGGCCTGCTTTATAAAAGCTCCTGGAGGAAGCACTAAACATGGAAAGGAACAACCAGTACCAGCCACTGCAAAAACATGCCAAATGGTAAAGACCATTGATGATGTGAAGAAACTGCATCAATTAATGGGCAAAATAACCAGCTAACATCATAATGACAGGATCAAATTCACACATAACAATATTAACCTTAAATGTATATGGGCTAAATGCCCCAATTAAAAGACACAGACTGGCAAATTGGATAGAGTCAAGACCCATCAGTATGCTGTATTCGGGAGACCCATCTCACATGCAGAGACATACATAGGCTCAAAATAAAGGGATGGAGGAAGATCTACCAAGCAAATGGAAAGCAAAAAAAAAGCAGGGGTTGCAATCCTAGTCTCTGATAAAACAGACTTTAAACCAACAAAGATCAAAACCGACAAAGAAGGCCATTACATAATGATAAAGGGATCAATTCAACAAGAAGAGCTAACTATTCTAAATATATATACACCCAATACAGGAGAACCCAGATTCATAAAGCAAGTCCTTAGAGACCTACAAAGAGACTTAGACTCCCACACAATAATAATGGGAGACTTTAACACCCTACTGTCAATATTAGACAGATCAACAAGACAGAAGGTTAACAAGGATATCCAGGACTTGAACTCAGCTCTGCATCAAGCAGAACTAATGGACATCTACAGAACTCTCCACCCCAAATCAACAGAATATACATTCTTCTCAGCACCACATCAAACTGATTCTAAAATTGACTGCATAATTGGAAGTAAAACACTCCTCAGCAAATGTAAAAGATGGAAATCACAACAAACTGTCTCTCAGAACACAGTGCAATCACATTACAACTCAGGATTAAGAAACTCACTCAAAACTGCACAACTACATGGAAATTGAACTACCTGCTCCTGAATGACTACTGGGTGAATAACGAAATGAAGGAAGAAATAAAGATGTTCTTTGAAACCAATGAGAACAAAGACACAACATACCAGAATCTCTGGGACGTATTTAAAGCAGTGTGTAGAGGGAAATTTATAGCACTAAGTGCCCACAAGAGAAAGCAGGAAAGATCTAAAACTGACACCCTAACATCACAATTGAAAGAACTAGAGAAGCAAGAGCAAACACATTCAAAAGCTAGCAGAAGGCAAGAAATAACTAAGATCAGAGCAGAACTGAAGGAGATAGAGACACAAAAAACCCTTCAAGAAATCAATGATTCCAGGAGCTCATTTTCTGAAAAGCTCAACAAAATTGATAGACCGCTAGCAAGACTAATAAAGAAGAAAAGAGAGAAGACACAAATAGATGCAATAAAAAACGATAAAGGGGAGATCAACACCAATCCCACAGAAATACAAACTACCATCAGAGAATACTATAAATACCTCTATGCAAATAAAGTAGAAAATCTAGAAGAAATGGATACATTCCTGGACACATACACCCTCCCAAGACTAAACCAGGAAGAAGTTGAATCTCTGAATAGACCAATAACAGGCTCTGAAATTGAGGCAATAATTAATAGCCTACCAACCAAAGAAAGTCCAGGACCAGATGGATTCACAGCCGAATTCTACCAGAGGTACAAAGAGGAGCTGATATCATTCCTTGTGAAACTATTCCAATCAATAGAAAAAGAGGGAATCCTCCCTAACTCATTTTATGAGGCCAGCATCATGCTGATACCAAAGCCTGGCAGAGACACAACAAAAAAAGAGAATTTTAGACCAATATCCCTGATGAACATTGATGCAAAAATCCTCAATAAAATACTGGCAAACTGAATCCAGCAGCACATAAAAACATTTATCCACCACGATCAAGTCAGCTTCATCCCTGGGATGCAAGGCTGGCTCAACAAACACAAATCAATAAACATAAGCCATCACATAAACAGAACCAATGACAAAAACCACATGATTATCTCAATAGATGCAGAAAAGGCCTTTGACAAAATTCAACAGCACTTCATGCTAAAAACTCAATAAATTAGGGATTGATGGAATGTATCTCAAAATAATAAGAGGTATTTATGACAAACCCACAGCCAATATCATACTGAATGGGCAAAAACTGGAAGCATTCCCTTTGAAAACTGGCACAAGACAAGGACGCCCTCTCTCATCACTCCTGTTCAACATAGTGTTGGAAGTTCTGGCCAGGGCAATCAGGAAAGGGAAAGAAATAAAGGGTATTCAATTAGGAAAAGAGGAAGTCACATTGTCCCTGTTTGCAGATGACATGATTGTCTATTTAGGAAACCCCATCATCTCAGCTCAAAATCTCATGAAGCTGTTAAGCAACTTCAGCAAAGTCTCAGGATACAAAATCAATGGGCAAAAATCACAAGCATGCCCGTACACCAATAACAGACAAACAGAGAGCCAAATCATGAGTGAACTCCCATTCACAATTGCTACAAAGAGAATAAAATACCTAGGAATCCAACTTACGAGGGATGTGAAGGACCTCTTCAAGGAGAACTACAAACCACTGCTCAACAAAATAAAAGAGGACAAAAAGAAATGGAAAAACATTCAATGCTCATGGATAGGAAGAATCATTATCATGAAAATGGCCATACTGCCCATGGTAATTTGTAGATTCAATGCCATCCCCATCAAGCTACCAATGACTTTCTTCACAGAATTGGAAAAAACTACGTTAACTTTCATATGGAACCAAAAAAGAGCCTGCATTGCCAAGAAAATCCTAAGCAAAGAGAACAAAGCTGGAGGCATCATGCTACCTGACTTCAAACTATACTACAAGGCTACAGTAACCAAAACAGCATGGTACTGGTACCAAAACAGATACATAGAACAATGGAACAGAACAGAGGCCTCAGAAATAACACCACACATCTACAACCATCTGATCTTTGACAAATCTGACAAAAACAAGAAATGGGGAAACAATTCCCTATTTAATAAATGGTGCTGGGAAAACTGGCTAGCTATATGTAGAAAGCTGAAACTGGGTCCCTTCCTTACACTTTATACAAAAATTAATTCAAGATGGATTAAAGACTTAAATGTTAGACCTAAAACCATAAAAACCCTAGAAGAAAACCGAGGCAATACCATTCAGGACATAGGCATGGGCAAGGACTTCATGACTAAAACACCAGAAGCAATGGCAACAAAAACCAAAATAGACAAATGGGATCTAATTAAACTAAAGAGCTTCTGCATGGCAAAAGAAACTACCATCAGAGTGCACAGACAACCTACAGAATGGGAGAAAATTTTTGCAATCTACCCATCTGACAAAGGGCTAATATCCAGAATCTACAAAGAACTTAAACAAATTTACAAGAAAAAAACAAACAACCCCATCAAAAAGTGGGCAAAGGACATGAACAGACACTTCTCAAAAGAAGACATTTATGCAGCCAACAGACACATGAAAAAATGCTCATCATCACTGGCCATCAGAGAAATGCAAATCAAAACCACAATGAGGTACCATCTCACACCAGTTAGAATGGCGATTATTAAAAAGTCAGGAAACAACAGATGCTGGAGAGGATGTGGAGAAATAGGAATACTTTTACACCATTGGTGGGAGTATAAATTAGTTCAACCATTGTGGAAGACAATGTGGTGATTCCTCAGGGATCTAGAACTAGAAATACCATTTGGCCCAGTGATCCCATTACTAGGTATATAACCAAAGGATTATAAATCATGCTACTATGAAGTCACATGCACACGTATGTTTATTGTGGCACTATTCACAATAGCAAAGACTTGGAAACCAATCCAAATATCCATCAGTGATAGACTGGATTAAGAAAATGTGGCAAATATACATCATGGAATACTATGCAGCCATAAAAAAGGATGAGTTCATCACATGGACACAGGAAGGGGAACATCACACACCGGGGCCTGTTGTGGGGTGGGGGTGGGAGGGGGATGGCACTTGGAGATATACCTAATGTTAAATGACGAGTTACTGGGTGCAACACACCAACATGGCACATGCATACATATGTAACTAACCTGCACATTGTGCACATGTACCCTAAAACTTAAAGTATAATAAAAAAAAAAAAAGGATGAGTTCATGTCCTTTGCAGGGACATGGATGAAGCTGGAAACCATCATTCTCAGCAAACTTTCACAAGGACAGAAAACCAAACACCACATCACATGTTCTCACTCATAGGTGGGAATTGAACAATGAGAGCACTTGGACACAGGACAGGAACATCACACACCGGGGCCTGTTGGGGGCTGGGGTGCTGGGGGAGGGATAGCATTAGGAGAAATATCTAATGTAAATGACAATTTGATGGGTGCAGCAAACCAACATGGCACATGTATACCTATGTAGCAAACCTGCACGTTGTGCACATGTACCCTAGAAGTTAAAGTGAAAGAAGGAAAGAAAGAAAGAAAGAAAGAAAGAAAGAAAGAAAGAAAGAAAGAAAGAAGGAAGGAAGGAAGGAAGGAAGGAAGGAAGGAAGGAAGGAAGGAAAGGAAGGAAGGAAGGAAGGAAGGAAAGAAAGAAAGAAAGAAAGAAAGAAAGAAAGAAAGAAAGAAAGAAAGAAAGAAAGAAAGAAAAAGAAAGAAGGAAAGAAAGAAAGAAAAAAGAAAGAAAGAAAGAAAGAAAGAAAGAAAGAAAGAAAGAAAGAAAGAAAGAGAGAAAATAAACAGATATGTGAAAATAGGCACTGTTAATGTAGCACTTTTTGGAACTGCCAACTGCCCTAATATTTCTTGCTATTTAGGCTGAGAGCAGAGGCAGGTACCACAAAAAATAAAAAAGGAAGTGTTCTGATCCTTGACTGGGTCTTGTTGCCAGCGTTTGGTCTTATCCTCTGCAGTGAATAATTTGTGATAAAACTGGCAAGATAATGTATGCTTCAATAACTTGGCCAATTGCATTAGGCAAACACAGAACCTTAAACAGTATTGTTTATGATAAAAGCTGACCAAGAATTCTTACATTAGAAGAATGGGGTTAGGGGAGCCCTAATGCATGAGAAACACCGGAATACAATAAAACTTGAGGCAGAGGCACACAATATTGACACTCTTTTGGCTTTTATTCATAGAAACAAAATGTGTCTTTCCTGATCTTATAACCACTGGGAATTTTTTTTTAATCTTAAGAAACCTCATTAGCAATAAGAAACCTCATATACAAATCCTATATTTCTCAGGCTGAGATATTCAAGATGCCTAAATGTGGACGCAGTTTCTCTGAAAAGGGTCGACTCAGAGGTTCAGGAGGGAAGTAGAACTCCACTTGGCAGGAAGTGGGAAAAGTAAGTCAGATGGGCAGTGGGCTGCTAATACCTATTGGGTATAGATGGATATATCCCTCCTTGTTTTATTCCTTGGCTTCCTAAGGGTACAGGAGACTGTAAGAGGAGTTCAAAGCATTTAGCAGGGTTTCCCTTGCTCTTTAAAGGATGGTCAGGCAGCTGATCCCAAGGCCAGTAAAAAACAATCAAACAAACAAACAAAAACCTGTCAATTTAAAAGTTTCTGTCCTATGGCTACAGGTGACATTCCTCCATAAGTAGAATGTCCAATAATCAATATTTCTTTGTATGTGATTGTTAAGATTATTGTGAAATAATTCTGGTGAGTCTTATTGTAATGATTTCTCAGTACATTTAGAATAAAACCCAAACCCCTTATGGAATTTACAAGACCCTGGATAATCTGGGCCCCACCAATCTCATCCACCTTTTCCTTATACTCTCCAGGGTCATGGCCAGGGTTCAGCCACACTGGCTCTTCAATTCCTTTGTGGCTTCAGCAGTTCTTCTCCAGGTAGTGGAGTTTCCTGCTCCTGCTGCCTGGAATGACCTCTACCCTGTGCCCTCTTCCTTCAGAAGGCTGGCTCTCCCCAGGTCCCTGACTGCCAATGCAAATCAGACCACCTTTCTTTGTCCACTCCATTTTCATCATCCTGATTTACTTCTTAGCACATACCACTATCGGAAGTTAACTGCTCATATTAAAAGACAAAATAATATTATCTGACCAATTATTGAGCAGTTTCTATATGTCCAGCACTATTCTAAGGATGTTTCTCATATTAAATCATTTTGTTCTGATAATAATTCTTTATATCTGTTTTACAGTTCAGGAAGTGAGGACACAGACAGGCTAAGCACCTTGCTTTAAGTGACACAACTACTTGGTGGTTGAGCCAGGAATCACCCCAGGAATTTGTTTCTTGTTTATTCTCTGTCCTCCCATTGGGCTGTAACAATCACTACTAGAGAAGGACTGTGGTAGGTCCTGTTTACTGCTGTGTCCCAGCACCTAGCACAATGCCTGGCACATAGTAGGTGTTCAATAAATAGCTGTTGAGATAATGAATGAGTAAGGAGATTTCAAAGCCTTATTCCTGCTCCCACCCCTTCCATTTTCTGGGAGATTAGCGTAGATGTTGTGCAAACTTCTATTAAATTTGTACTGAGGCCGGGCGCGGTGGCTCACGCCTGTAATCCCAGCACTTTGGGAGGCCGAGGCGGGCGGATCACGAGGTCAGGAGATCGAGACCATCCCGGCTAAAACGGTGAAACCCCGTCTCTACTAAAAATACAAAAAATTAGCCGGGCGTAGTGGCGGGCGCCTGTAGTCCCAGCTACTTGGGAGGCTGAGGCAGGAGAATGGCGTGAACCCGGGAGGCGGAGCTTGCAGTGAGCCGAGATCCCGCCACTGCACTCCAGCCTGGGCGACAGAGCGAGACTCCGTCTCAAAAAAAAAAAAAAAAAAAATTTGTACTGAGTTGGTGAGTCACATGAGCTCTGCTACAAACAGACTCAAACTACTCAAGTTAAGGCAGTTTGAAGCAAAAAAGTCTCCTTACCTGGGCGTGCTTGGGATGTTAAGACAGAAGTATCCTTCAGCCCAGCCCAGCACTGCTCTAACAGCTCCAGGATGCCAAACATGTACCCCTGGTTTTGCTCGGCTTCTCTTTGTTTCTTGGTGTAAGCGGTGCCCTCCTGTGCCATCTTGTCTGCAAGAGACAAGTGGGATTTTACAAAATTTCAAGATGCCGGCATGGGCTGGGCTGGGTTGGGTTCTGGAGGGAAAACCCCGGAGAAATTACCAAGAAATGTCTTAATAAGACCAGAGCTCTGGATCCTCTGGGCACTCTCTAGAGGCGGGATATATACAGTCTCTGAATTTTAAAATAGAAAACAGTGGGCAGCGGGGAACGGAGTAGAGGGAATCAGAGGTGCCAAACATTAAAGATATTTTGGGTAATAAAAATTAAAAGTTCATGTATCGCAAGGACAAAAAACCAAACGCCGCATGTTCTCATAGGTGGGAACTGAACAATGAGAACACTTCGACACAGGAAGGGGAACATCACACACCAGGGCCTGTCGTGGGGTGGGGGGAGGGGGGAGGGATAGCATTAGGCGATATACCTAATGTAAATGACGAGTTAATGGGTGCAGCACACCAACATGGCACATGTGTACATATGTAACAAACCTGCACGTTGTGCACAGGTACCCTAGAACTTAGAGTATAATAAAAAAATTAAAAGTTTATGATTTAAACAAAGATTCTTATTTCCTGGGATCATTTTGTCACCTCAGTGCTTGCTTCTGGGTTATGGACACTTGGGGGGGTGGGCCGGATTAACTGTCTTGTCTCTAAACACCTGGGTGCGCTGGCGCTCACTCTCAGCTGCGAGCTGAAGCCCACGCTGCTCTCAGGCTTCCCGCAACAGGCACCTGCGACTTCGCTCACCAAAATCTTCCAGTGGCCACAGTGAGCGGGCAGGACTGGTGCCAGCAAGCCCCAAGCATCCCAGGCCCTCTGGACGCAGGTGACTCTTCTGGCCTCTTTGGAAAGCCATTGGAGCTCGAGAGGCATAGCCAGCTGCCTCCTTTCCGTCCATCCCCAACCGCGTTCTCTAAGCCACGTTCTGTGCGCCTTACTCCCAGCACTCAGCCATTCCCCAGCCCCAGAGGCCTTGGAGTAGTGACCTCTGCCCACCAGAGAGGAGGGGGCCGGAGGGTGGGGCGGAGCCTTGTGGCAAGGCAGGTGGGTGCAGGCCTCTGGGGCCCCAGACTGCCGCGTCTGGCTCTACCAGGCTGTGTCTCGGGCCCCGTGCCTGCAGCTGCAAGGCGGGGAAAGACCTATCGGGAAGATCCACCTCGGCCTGGGCAGAAGGAAACTTTACTGAGAGTCTTCTCTGAGTTTGGAATTATGCGGAAATTGAACCCAAGATGAATAACACGCAGCCACAGCCCCAGAGAAGCTCGAAGTCTAGTGGGCTGCACCGACTGCGACAGGGACCCAAAAGAGGCTGGGGAACAGGGATTGAAATGGAAGTGTGAGAGTGAGAGCATAGAAGGGGTCCTAGCCCAGCCCAGGAAACAGAAAAGTCTCCCCATAGACAGTGAGAGGCTTGTACTGATACCTGAGGTACGCGCAGGAGCTGCGTGAAAGGAGAGGCCCAGAGCCAGAAAAGAGGAAGGCGCATCCTGGACGCTCTGCGCCCTGGAGGGAGACGAAAGGCCCGGAGAGAAGCAGATTAGGTCGGTGCCCTTAGAGGCCTCTTCCTTCACTTCCGGGAAACAGCGGCGGTTCCCTGACAAAATCCCTGTTGCTCGGGGGTTCGGACGCCTTGCTAAGGCTGGCACGCAGCGGACCTTGAGTAGCTGCGCTGTGTACTGAACGTGTGCACAGCTTCTCCAGGCAAATGTGCAAGCGGAAAGACCTCATCCAAGCGTTATCTCCAGCCCTGGAGGAGAATGAACTGGTAGCCTGGGGCCAAACTTCAGGCCGTGGACAAAGCAGGAGGAGTATTTAGGCAACCTCTGTCCTAATGCTTGTTCTGGTTGTGACCGAAGTTGCTGACTCTCCTCAGGGGTCACGTCTCCAGGACGTGCTACCCGGTGGTTTAGACCCGTCAGGGAGGCACAGCGTGAAGGGACAGCGCAGCGCAGTAGAGGCACCTGCTGGAGACAGCACCAGGCCAGACCCCAGGATCACGGGAACTCCTGCTCCCGCCACAGCTCTAAAGAGTGTTGAATAAACCGGTGGTCACCGGTACTGCGTAAGGGGTGTGCGTGGCTTTGCAGTTCGCCTAGGAGACAAGCTGATGCACGGCCTGGAAGGTGCAGCCCTCATCCCTGCGTTCCCTCCCCGCGCGGAGTTCCTGTCTCAAGGCCAAGACGCGCAGCGCTGATGCTGGCCCCTTCCTAGGTCAGTGCAGCTGGACCAGGCAATCGGGGTCTCCGAAACGTCGGGGGGTCAGCTGGCGCCCTGCCCACCATCGAACGCCCTTCGTATCACTCCGCTCCTCATTGCGAATTGGACTGCGCATTGGCTGCGACCCAAGGCTGAACACAAGAAGCTTGGAGAGGAGCTCGGGCGTTTGAGGAGAAGGAAATATGAGGAATTGCAGGAAGGCGCTCGCCTGCCCGAACTGCCTCCGGGCAACTGGAAAGGATTGTCCTGGAAACTGAGAGGAGAGAAAGGACGTAGGACCTTGTGCCAGATCCCCTTGCTGAGTAATTTCCAAGAGCTTGGTTTGCATTAACCCAGAACTTTGGGTGTGCGTTTGGTGTCCCCTGGGGGGTTCTAGAGTGAGAGATTGGCGGGTCCCCTCCGAACGCTGGATCTCGCTGCAGATATCAGTATTTCTCTCATTCCTTCCCAAAGCCGTCGGGATCGCCCAGTAGAATTAGAATTGGGTGATTCCTGAATCTCCTATCCCTGGCTGGCTCTGAATATAGCGCACCGCTGGTCAGACCTGAGTAGGGGTTGCCAGCGACGCTCGGAAACCCTTTCCAGACTGGGCTGAAAAGTGCGTTTGCTTCCTGAGACCCTAAGCTAAATGAAACTTCCTGCAGAGAAAGCAGGGTTACAGGGCTGGATGGAGGCTCTGGAGAAAGGCCAGAGCTGGGGTTGGGAAGGAATGTAAAGGCTGTGCACCTGTTTGCCAGCCCTCGGAGGTGGAGCCCATGGCTAAGCAAATCAAGCGCAGGATCAGTCTTTCCAGCGTGGTTTATCTGCATGGCAGGTGTCGATTGCCCCAATAGTCTCATCAGGTGTTCCACATTGGGCTGCAGAGCCATGAAATCCCTAGGCGTGACGTCTAGTGGAATGGGGGTGAAAATAGGGATTTTCAAATCCTATACATCAAGCATCACTCCCAGAGTCACTTTTGACAAATCACCTAGTTTTTCTCAACCTTAGTTTCCTAATCTGTAAAATGGGGATATTGCCCACCTCTCTGAAAAGTGCGCCAAGGGTGAGAAGTTCCACGCGTCTTTCTAATTTTAGGAAGGGGAAGCAAAGTCTTCTCCTCAAACTTGATACACTACATGCTAGAGAAAGATCCTCCCTTCCGGCCTCCTCATTCCCTGTCACCCTCCCCCACTCCTAGCCCCTCGGAGCCAACGGAGCCTTGCGCGTTTCTGGCCGGTCCTCCCAAGAGAGAATGGTGCAAAAGCCAATAAGCCTGGAACACACGCAGGTCCCGCCGGGCCTGGGACAATGGTTTCCATTTAATAAATATTTCCCCCAAGGGCATTTCACATCGGGCAGGCAATTATTCAAAGGAAACAGGCGCGCAGGTTGGCTCTGCGGGTTATTTCGTCCTCTTTACCCGAAGAATGCTCATTTGACGCAAGAAACGAGTCTCGCAGCCTCCCTGGGTGGGAAGAGGCGCCCAGGGACAAACCGACCCTGGTTGCGATACACCGTGAGACTCCGCTGTAGGGCCGCTGCAGAAGGGGCACCGGGAAGAGCCCCATACCCAGCCTCTAGGCTCTTCTTACGGTATGAACATTTGTGGAGTAAAAGTTGGAGGTTTAAAGACACTAAATAATAATAACATAAATGGGAACTGCAATAGAAATCTCAGCCCCATCCCTGCCCCAAAAGTGAAGAACAGGTCGTAGTGCTTTTAAGGGCTCACCAACTAGGGTTCGAAATCTCTGCATTGCCTGACGCGAGGCCTTCCAGGAGCAGGTCAGACAACATTGCTCAGCCACCCAGGGTCCCAGCGCTACGCCCGGGCGCCGCATCCTGGGGCAGGGGTGGATGCCTAGTTGCAGGGGCTTCCCGGGAGAACACTGCCAAAGCACCGCCGAGGGTGGGGCGCGAAAAGTTTATTTCGCTTTTACCCTGAGCCTGCTATATGTTATTTTTCTCTTCCAAGGATATTTGACAAGAGGGCAAAGTGCTGTCCTTGCATTTCGCGGCAAAGCTGTCCTATTTATCAACACAAGCTCTCGCCTCGCTCCCTTTGCTGTCCCTTCCCCGGCCTTTGTATTTCAAGCCCTAATTCTCTTTCACAACCGGGAAAGGAAACAGGAGACGCGGAAGAGTTTTATTTGTTGACAGTGCCCGAGACAATGTGGAACCGAAGTCCCCAGTCTAGAGCTAGCCTCTCTGCTCTAGCCCTCTCTCTGCCTCTGTCCCTCACACCTCTCCCCGCCCCCACCAGTCGCGCTCTCTGTTTCTTGCACCGGCGTGTTGGCAGGTGCGCCCCCTCGGCTTCTCTGCTGCTGATTGGCGCCCAGGTTGGGGAGTCGCCGCCCCGCGCTTATGTCAGAGTGCGTGCAGTCCCGGCCCACCTCGCCTTTGAACTTCGC
Source organism: Homo sapiens (assembly GCF_000001405.40). Lineage (NCBI taxonomy): Eukaryota > Metazoa > Chordata > Mammalia > Primates > Hominidae > Homo > Homo sapiens. The sequence goes on from NC_000003.12 coordinate 137,764,283, forward strand.
CGCTTTTGGCTCTCGTTCACCAGCCTCCCCGCATTCTCAGCCAGGTGCAGCGCTAGGCGCGGCAGCTCCGGGAAAGCCACGGGAAGGGGGAGCCACGACTGGAAACGCAAGAGGAGAGAAGGGAACTAGAGAAGGCAAAGGTGGAGAGGGGGAGAAGGAGGAGCTTCTTGCCCTGGCTAAAAAATTACCTGGCCACTTAATCCCGGAGACTCCGATACTTGGGTCCCAGCCCCTGGTGCCTGAAGCCCCCCGGCCGATCGCCCTCTCCTCCCCCGCCCTTTCTGCCCCCACTCGCTCCCCCGGGGCTGCCTGGGCGCTGGGACTGGCATGATCAGCTGAACTTTGTGGGGTCAGCGCTTCTCTCTGGCTTCCCCTCAGCGGCGCCAAGGCGAGGGGAGCGCAGAACCCCGGCTCAGGACGGACAGACAGACGGCCAGCCGCGCCCAGGCTCGTCTGCAGAACCCTTGCACTCCCTACCCCCACCCACCTAGCCGCCGGGACCATGTCCAAACCTTCAGACCACATCAAGCGGCCCATGAACGCCTTCATGGTATGGTCCCGGGGCCAGCGGCGCAAGATGGCCCAGGAAAACCCCAAGATGCACAACTCGGAGATCAGCAAACGCCTAGGTGCCGAATGGAAGCTTCTGTCCGAGGCAGAGAAGCGGCCATACATCGATGAAGCCAAGCGGCTACGCGCCCAGCACATGAAGGAGCACCCTGACTACAAGTACCGACCTCGGCGCAAGCCCAAGAACCTGCTCAAGAAGGACAGGTATGTCTTCCCCTTGCCCTACCTGGGCGACACGGACCCGCTCAAGGCGGCTGGCCTGCCCGTGGGGGCCTCCGACGGCCTCCTGAGCGCGCCCGAGAAAGCCCGGGCCTTCTTGCCGCCGGCCTCGGCGCCCTACTCCCTGCTGGACCCCGCGCAGTTTAGCTCGAGCGCCATCCAGAAGATGGGCGAAGTGCCCCACACCTTGGCTACCGGCGCTCTGCCCTACGCGTCCACCCTGGGCTACCAGAACGGCGCCTTCGGCAGCCTCAGCTGCCCCAGCCAGCACACGCACACGCACCCGTCCCCCACCAACCCTGGCTACGTGGTGCCCTGTAACTGTACCGCCTGGTCTGCCTCCACCCTGCAGCCCCCCGTCGCCTACATCCTCTTCCCAGGCATGACCAAGACTGGCATAGACCCTTATTCGTCAGCCCACGCTACGGCCATGTAACCCCCAGCCCGGCCCGGACCTGAGGCGTGGTCTGAAAGCCGGGTCTGCACCCTGTCCTCTGAGCCTAGCCCCGGCCTGCAGACGCCTCCGGGGTCAGCCCTGCCGCTGTCCCTTACACCACCCAGACTTTTCCTCTCTCTTCCAGGGGGAAGGGTGGGGCGTCCTCCCGGACCCAAGGCGCAGACAGGTACCGGAAACTTGCAAACGTTATGTCAGCTACACAGCTGCCCCTATCCCGACTCTCCCAAAACAAATCTCCGACTGTACCCCCTTTGGACAAAAAAGTAGGCAGTTTTGCTTTATTTATATCCCCTTCACTCTCCTCGGATAGGCTTTGGACTCTGAACTCCCAGATTCTGATATTATATCTACAATATGCATATATTTTTTCCTTTTGTCCCCTGAAGAAAAGAGTTAGCTGTGTCTCTGTGTTTTGCCATCAGACACAACTAGGAGCCATTTGCTCTTCATGTATGGGGGGGAAAGGCTTCAAAGTTTTAAATTACAGAAAGGGAAACATTTCTATTTAAAACCATGCTATGATAGTGTTTGCTTCTTTAAAGGGAAAACAAAAAGGACCTACATGGTTATTTACTTTGTGTAAAGCAGTGCTTCTAGAGATCTAAGTTTACTTTTAGACAGAATGTCGGGTTATGAAGTCAGGAAGTAGAAGGTGAACAAAAAATTAAAAGAACAAAAACAACCTAAATGGTCATAAATGTTTTGACGATGTCTTGGAAATGTACCTAGAAGGATTTTACCTCGTTGCTCTGTTCATTTGTTGAACAAAGACGTTTTGAATAAAGACAATCTGTCATTGTAAAAAAGTAACCTTTGATGTGCCTAAAATCTGAAGTCAGGAGCCAGGTTGGAGGGACTGGAAAGTCGGGTGCGGGGAGGCTGAAAGTGCATAGAGCGACTTTAAGCAGTGATGGCTGGTGGCTGCCCCCCGTTGGCCCAGCTTGGTGGTCTGCGGGTTGGGTGTAGAAGGGCCTAGAGCTTCGGATCCGTCCGGAATGCGCCCTGGAGATTGCTTTTTGCCTTTAGAGGCTAGACAAAGGTATCGTTCCCTGGGACTTCACTCTCTCCTCCCATTCTTCCCAAAAGGGTCAGGCCACTTCAAGGAATGAATGAACTAAGTCAAAGGCCGACCCAGACCGCTGAGATCTGGGTGAGTTTACTTTTTAAAAAACCAAACGCTGAAGGAGCAGGGAGAAGCACCGAGTCTCCTGGGAACCAGTTGCGCGCTGAACACCCCGTCCTGCATTGGATGTTTAAGTTCAAAGCATGGGAGAAGACTGGGGGAATCAGGTATTCTGCCTTTTTAGGTGTTTGGAAAGGCTGCTGCCCACTCTTCTGGGGATTTGGTGCTTGATACTGGTTCCTAAGTTAAAAAATAAAACTCTAAGAAATGCAGAAAAATGTGCCATAGGTCCCTGCCCCAGAATGTCGAACACTTTTTGCTGAGACCCTGCAGGAGCAAAGGGAAAAGGAAGGCGACATTGTCATGGCTCAGGCAAGGAGTTTTTAAAAATCGTAAAAAATCAAATAAAAGCACAGCCCATGACGTTAAACAAGGAAAAGAGTCCTTTTCTTTCCCCTCCGGGTGAATGTTTTCTTGAAGATTATTGTCTTTCCTGAGAAAGGACCCTCCGATGTTATCCAGCAAAACTCTTTGGAATTTGTTCTCAAAATCGAAGGGTGCTTTCCACCCTTGGTCTTGGAGTCTCACCCCAAAAGCCGCGCTCACGCGTGGTTTTCCTTAATTTGCGTGCTTTTCCCACTGGCTTTGATATGCTGTGGGGTGGGAGGTGGGGCAGCCTAGAGGTTTGTGGGCTTTCTGCTGCTGTTGAGAGATTTGTACGCTTGCCTCCGCTGTTTCCAAAGGAGTCGGTGGCTCGAAGTGCACGGGAAACGTTGTCAACAGACACCAAAGCCGAAACCCGCGGATTAGCATATTGTCCTCAAAACAATTAGAAGTGTTTGAGGTGTTATTTGGAGCCTATTCATCCGAGCCCCTTTGTCAAAGGGGGATTTTCATTATTAAAAAAAAAAAAAAGTTAGCAGTTGTCCATCTGGCTAAGCTGAATAGCAAAGTGATCCATGTTGTATATGCTTTTCTCATTAAGAGCTCTTTTGAGACCGATGTTAGAATTAAATGGTATAACACAATTAACATACACGGGCGCTGAATAGGAGAGGACGCCTATAAATAATAGATAGATAAATAAATGAGCGATCAGGCGAAGGTAAACAAAGGCGGGCTGAGGGAGGTGTAGGGGGAGTCCGGGCTGGCTGCGCCACGCTTACTTAGCATTACAAAACCCTTTTACAAATCGAGACAATTAGGAAGTGACTTGCCTCTGGTGGCCGTCCGGTCTGGGGGCCTGGGCGCTTAGGGAAGGCCCCTCCTCCCGCCCCCTAGGAAGCCCAGGAGGCCTGGGACGGAGACGCCACGGTTTTCCTGTCTGATATAACCCCAACTGACAGTCCTGTCAGCCGCTCTGATAGCTCCCATAGCTCAGTGTCCCTTAATATCTCCTAAGATGAAGCTTACAGGGCTCTGGGTATCTCCTCGCAGATCCCAGCGCAGGAGCGCCCTGGGCACACAGAGCCCCCCAGCTGGAGAAAGAACCTGGCGCCCACGACCCCACCTGAAGCAAACCTGAAGGGTTAGGCTGGAAAGGGGCACGTGGCGAGTGCGAGGGCAAAGTGCGAGGGGCAAAGGCCTCGGACGGTGGCTGAAGCTGGAAAACCGAAACCAGGGTTCCGGGTTGCGCTTGGTCTTAGGCTCAGATGGGGAATTAGGAAACTAGGGTGCGCTGTAGAAGAGAGGCGCTCAGGGGGCTGCGGCCTCACTCAGAGGTGGCTGAGACCTCTTTCCAGCCTGCAAAGAGCCGGGGGCCCAGTTCGGGTCCTGAGACCTAAAGTCAAAGACTTGGCTCGGGCGGTTTTTGGCCATCACACTTCGTTTCCTTCCTTCTCAGACTGGCCTTCCCCAGCCATCTGCCCTCCTTAGACCTGGTCCCAACCTCTGCCCCCACCCCCATCCCCGCAAGAGCCTGCCTCAGCTTTGCCTCCGTCGCCCCGAGGGCTGCGGAGCGTCCGCCGAGGTGCGCGGCCGCGACTCGCCCTAACAAACAGCCAAAATCCTGCTCGTCACGCCGCTGACAGGGGCCGATTACTGACTTTGAAGTCAGGCGCAGACAAAAAGAAATCCCCTGGGGGGTGTGGGGGGGCAGCAGTCCCTGTCAAACCTGTTTGCTCACAACTGTCTCTTTCTTTCAAGAAAATCATTAAAGCAAACCTGTAGGGAGAGGAGCGCCCCGCCCGCCCGGAGTGGAGAAGAGCCGCTTCTCCCGAGCGCGCGTCGCGCAGCAAAGAGCAGCCAAGAGTTGCCCTGGACAGACTCCTGGCATCCGGAGAACCTGAACTCCGGCGCTGCAAGGGGCGCCCGTGGCCCTGCAGGAGGAGGTTCTGCAGATCCCTCTGCGTTAGGCACGCGTCCGGTAGCCAGGGAGCCCCAGACTTCTCTCGCTTAGCAACCTGGGCCTCCTTCGAGCGGGGTTGGCAGGGAGGGCCCGGACCTCTCGCCTGAGGCTCCCATTGCTTCCCCGGGACCCTTCTCCCCGCCAAAAGTGACCCAAATACATGCCGCGTTCAGCGCCGTCGCTCCTCTGCTGGGTGTTCCCTAGGACAGCAGAGACCTGAACAGCATGCTGCTGGGGTGGCAGCCATCTGCGCCGGCGCGGCAGGAGCAGAGTTGTTTGGGTTTTACCTAGGTTTGCTTTCTTAAACCTTGGCTGCCATCTGGCTCAGGGGTACACTGGCTACATCTTCAGAGAGATGTGGAATTCTTGACCCCTTTCCGCCTCTGGCCTCCCTCATTCCGAGAACTCCGTCAGCCTTTCATGCACTTCTCGGTTTTGGATCTGACTCCAAAAATCTTTGATTCCCTTCCAGTTTCCGAGTTTTTCTATTTAAATATTAATTTCCTTAGGCCCGATGACTTTAAAGACGGAAAAGACCAGCTACTTTGAGTAAATTACGCTGAGGTGTGAGTGACTGACATCTGAGACCCCCTGAACGTTTGCATTTTGGAACTGGAGCGAGCTAACCTGTAGGAATCTCCGGTGAACCAAAGCGGGATGATGTTTCCGTCTGAGTAGGGCCAAGGTACTTTCAATACAGCTCACCATTTAGGGAAGTGTGTCCCGCCGGTCAGCTTCTCTTGAGAGATCCGAGACTGCCAGGGCCCGGAAAACTTGGCGAGCTGTGGTGCCAGCACTCTTGTTTCCTTCATCTCCTCCCCAGCTCAGGCCTTGTTACCATTGTTCAAGTGGACAGCGAATTTCAAACCATTTGAATTTGAATATCACCTAATTCACAAGATTTGTGTAAAGAATTCTCATCTATTTGCTGAGTGGATTGTGTGTGAGTGTGAGAGGAAGAGGCACAGGGACAGAAGGGGTCCGTTAGATTTGGAGGCAGGAGAGCTTCCCGCCTCCACCGAGGTGCGTGCTCTCCTGGCCTCTGTCCTGCCCTGCCCTGCCCTGCCTCCTAGGCTCTAGTGGACCTAGCAGTGGGAGAGCTACTTGGGCTGGTTTCTTTCCTGACGCTGCAGGGATGGGCATCGGCCTGGAACCAGAAGCGCAGGAGCTGGGCCACGGCAGAGTAATTAAGAAAATAATGAAATTGATGGCGGATGGGGGCGCTAGAAATCCTGGGGCGTCTACTTAAAACCAGAGATTCGCGGTCGGCCCCACGGAATCCCGGCTCTGTGTGCGCCCAGGTTCCGGGGCTTGGGCGTTGCCGGTTCTCACACTAGGAAGGAGCCTGAAGTCAGAAAAGATGGGGCCTCGTTACTCACTTTCTAGCCCAGCCCCTGGCCCTGGGTCCCGCAGAGCCGTCATCGCAGGCTCCTGCCCAGCCTCTGGGGTCGGGTGAGCAAGGTGTTCTCTTCGGAAGCGGGAAGGGCTGCGGGTCGGGGACGTCCCTTGGCTGCCACCCCTGATTCTGCATCCTTTTCGCTCGAATCCCTGCGCTAGGCATCCTCCCCGATCCCCCAAAAGCCCAAGCACTGGGTCTGGGTTGAGGAAGGGAACGGGTGCCCAGGCCGGACAGAGGCTGAAAGGAGGCCTCAAGGTTCCTCTTTGCTACAAAGTGGAGAAGTTGCTCTACTCTGGAGGGCAGTGGCCTTTTCCAAACTTTTCCACTTAGGTCCGTAAGAAAAGCAATTCATACACGATCAGCGCTTTCGGTGCGAGGATGGAAAGAAACTTCAGAAAAACTCTCGCCAGACAACCCGGCAGCACTTGGCCCCGGAACAGAGAGGAGAGAAAGACCTGACCGCCGCACTCAGGGCCACCCGCCGCACTAAGTTTGAGGGTTCCCTCTGCCTCCAGGCCTCTGTCGCCCGAGCTCAGGCTCTCCTAGGTGCTTCAGGGCCGGGCTGCACTCGAGCCCCGAGGAGGCCCTGCTAGCGCTAGCGCGGCGGTGATAACCGAGGGAGGTGGGTGAGAGGTGCGGCTGTCGAGGCAAACGCAGAGCACCCGCCCAGTCCTCCAAGGGCCGAGAGCCGGGAGTCCCGAACGCCGCTTAAGCAGCTCCTTGCTTCCCGCAGCCCGTCCACATCCCTGCGGGATTTCTGGACGCCCCGCCCGGGGACCTAGGGAGGAGGGAGAGAGGAGGGAGGGAGTGGGCAGCCTGGGCGCACGCCACCGGTCCCCGTACGCCCGGCACCCCCCGTGGCGCGGCGAGTCAATGGGATTTGCACACTCGAGGTGTAACAGCATTACTGCATTAATTACCATTTCCATTTCACGTCCAGATTGTTTACTTATCTGCGGGAAACATATGTCGGGAGAAGTTCACATTCCGGATTCTGCTCCGCTGCCCAAGGTGCAATTCCGGGGAGGCGGCGAGGGGGGAGGGGAGGGCTTCAGATTTTTTATTACACCCTCTAGCCTTATCTGCCGCTGTAAATTATGAGGATCCTCCATTGAGCGGCATATGGAGATTATATACTTTTTTGAATATCGTTTCCCAAAGCCTGCAGATTTTCACTTTGAAATGAAACAATCCTCCGCTGGTTCCCCCGGGGACAGGCGTCTCCTGCGTTCCCCCGCGCGGCCTGGGGGACCCTTCTCGCAGAGCAGGCGCGCACCCCAATGCCGTGGCCGGCGCCCAGTGGAGACTTCTTTCACAGGGTCTAGAATAATCTTCCGCGGAACACCCATCCATATGCAGTGTTTGAGAACTAAGGCAGCTCCCTTGCTCTGTTTTCCTGCGCCTAGCCCCCGGACTTTTGTGCCGTTTGCAGCTCTTTTTCATTTCGAATACCCGCATAGACGCGAGCCCACTTCTGCCCTCTTCCTACGCTGGGCGGCTCCAAACCCGCCGCGAGGGCTGAGGTGTTCACACCTGCCCACGGCAGCCTGCCTCGCCCTCAAGCGCCTCAAAGCTTCCTAAGCGCTTACATTGGTCTTGGGACAGCCGACTTTGGCTTCTTTGTTTGTTTGAGGGACCGCGGAAGTGGCGGGGAATGTGCCCCCGCTTGAGACCGCTTATTGTGAGCCCTCAACGGAAATCCTGCACGGAAGGCAACCGCCTCCCCGCTCGCGGTAAGCAGGATCCACCCGAGTAGCGGGGACCGAATCCCATCTTTCTTATCTCTCGAAGACTCCTTTCAGGCTGAGATCAGAGAGGGAGGGAAAAAGAAGAGAGAATCATTGTTCTTCTTTTTTTAATTTAATATACCAAGCCACCAGCTCAGGTCATTTATATGCTTAATTTAGTGATAAAAGTCAATAAGCGGAATCACAGGGTTCTTCCCTCTTTCTATTTCTTTTGACCACATTTTTCTACAGTAATTGGGAAAACCGTAAAATATATACACCCGCTTTCCGCCTTCAATGCTTTGTCTGCAATGCGATTATAATAAGTGTATTTTATTAATGTAATTTGTTTGCTTTTTTGAAGGATGCAAGGGAAAATGTGCCTTTTAGGAGATTTTTTTCCATCTTATCTGGGTTCAGTTTGCAGAATTACACATACTCTGTGTGTACACACTCACCCTCAAAAGCCAAACTCAGAAATTTCCTTGAAATGCCCGTTTTTATGATTCAGAAATATCCCGTGGGAAACCTATTGTGATGTTATACCAGGAACAATTAAATGGACCAAAGCAATGCAATTAAGGCAGAGAAGAAATAAGATGGAAAATGGGGAGAAATAAACAGATTCTTTTCCATTAAGTATTGTTTTGAGATTTCTAATTTTTTCAGGACCTCTAAGAAAATTGTGAGGTGTCACTTCTCTCTTCTGGGTCTATCTGTAATTGAATCTAGGTCACTATTCTAAGGCAAGAAAAGTCTGCTTTCCACTTTCCTACATCAGGCTGAAATTTGGGGGAGGGACAAGGGTCTTGCAATTTCATTTAAAATGTAATGGTGGATGAACTGATAAGCAAATACGGAAAAAAGAGTCTGCTTAAAAGAAAAAAAAGGCATGGTTTTAATATGCTACAGATGGGGGGAAAATGATTTACATGAGAGTTTATTTCCTCTTTGCTGATATGAAAGAATTACAGATACAAAACCCACTGATCTATAGAATAAAAAAAGAAAAGAAATGTTATTTTCCTGTAAAGGTGTCAGTTCATTTATATTCATTTAACCATCCATCCATCAATTCACTTTCTCACTCCTTGCACATTCTCTCTGGCTCTGTTAAACCTTCCCCTACCAATACACTTTGCTAGAATATGCAATGAAGTTTTCTTTTAAAAAATAGTGTGAGATTGAGATGAAGTAGGTAAAGATAAGTAAAGAGAGAAGGTTTTGTTGTTGTTGTTAAATAATTACCCCCTCATAATTCAGCATTATGATTTATGATTTTAGAACAAAATTTTACCCATATTCACATCTCATTACTACTGCAGTTTGAGTACATACAACATGCCAGTGGTTAAGAATATATGCAGAAGATATGCAATTATTTTTTCATAAGATATGCATGCAATACAAAGAAATTTATTAGTTATAAACCTTCCTGTAACTTAAAAAATGTAGTAAAAGATGAGTCAGATGTTGGGTCAATAATTCATTGTTTTATTAAAATAGCTGTTTTAATAAGTATGAAGTAGTTCACATTTCCCTAAGGATTTCCTGCTTGCTCAAGGTATGAGCAACATCAAATCTTTTGTGTTTAAAGTTTTCAGGTCCAAAAAAATGTATAGTAAAATTTGCATATATTAAGAAAGAAATGAGAGGTGCAGTCATTTGAGGAGCTTCTAAATGCTGGAGAAGATTACATAAGAATACGTTTTACTTTTCCTGAAATAAAAATTGATGACCAGTATGACAGATATTTCCTCCATATTCTCCCAAATAAAGGGGTAACATAGTGTCATCTCCTCTTTCAATGACACGCAAATGAATGACTGGAAACCTATAGATCTAAGCAAGGACAAGACCAACAACCAGCATCTGTTGCTGGTTTTCATAAGTAAGAAAAACAGTACATTGTTTAAGACAGCAATGCATTCCCACAGGATGAATCTTCTCCAGACTGAAGACCGTTTCCTTCAACCTTTTTTTTTTCTGTCTTATTCCTTTCTCCTCCTCTTGTTTAGTTTTCTTTTTTTTTTTTTTAACCTGTAAATACTATTGATGAATCAGAAATTTTCTTTCTAGGTCTTCATAAATTATCAGTATAATTCTTTGTCATGCCTGCTTCTTCCTGGTCTCACTTTCTCTCACTGTGGTAATCCATTTTCTTAATCACCTAATTTTTAATCAACCAAAGTGAGTATGAGGTAAAAGGATTAGCAGTTTGGGCAGAAGTTAAAATGTCTCATGGATGTTTTGACTCAAACTCTATAGACTTATTTGTAGCAAGTGCTTATGATATAATTCAGCTGAACGAGAGGGCAGCTTTAAGACATTTTAGAATTGTTTCTTACCATTGTCTTTTACTTCCTGGGCTCTTCAATGTTTGTCATAATTATACCTAGTTAGAAGGCTTCATTTGCTCTGAGTTATCATTGAGAACTAAATGGAGAAGAAAAGAACTGAAGGCCTGAAGATATGTCATCTGTAGAAAAGGTGAGCTGAACTTTTCTCTGTCTGAACATACTTTGGGTTTACAATGAGACATTTACGTATTTGTATAAATCGGTTATACTCTGAGCTAATGTGAACACAAACTTGGTATAAATACAGATGACTCCCTCTCTGCTGCTGTGGGAGGTTCAACTGACACCTGGGGCTCAGACCAGTCTTGTTACCACATGCTTGGTGAAATTCAAAGTGTGTCACACAACTACAACAGCATTCATGGCCAACCTATTTGGTAGAAAGGATTGAAGTCAGATGGGAGGTCAATTTGCTGTCTAAATCAAAAAAACTTAGCTCCTTTGCAGATAATTGAAGATGCTGCAACATTGCCCGAAAACATTTTATAATAAACAGGTGAAATAAGTGATAATGAAGGTGGGTTTGGATTTTTTATTTTAGAAGGAGAAATTTCATAGAAAATATGAATCCTTGTCTCATGATTAGTGTCTCTCTGCAACAGCCCCATCCTTCTGCAGGTGGCCTCTTCTCAAGCTTTCTTGGCAAATCAAGAGCTTCTGCCTTTTGGAGGACATCCTCTTGACCTCCCACCCATATCAGCTCTTAGAGGACATTCCACAGGAACATTGCCTTCTTGTCCTCCAGTATTTTTTATGGAAACAGAAATTAGGTTATCTTCCTTATGCTCTAGATGGACATCTGAAATCATCAAACCCTTGAGAGAAACAGCCCTCATTCTTTTATGAGACAACCTGGAAGAAAACAGGTAAATTTCATTTGTGATGAACTGTTGCCAGAAAGAAAATTGCCATTATGATTTCATTCTTCTTCACTGGGGAGGGCTCAAGAGTAGGATAAACTCAGAAAGAAAAATAGTTCTTTGGATTGAGGCCAAAAAGGATATTCATTAATTTCTGTCTTTTGGTCATCCTCTGAATTTCAACTAGAAGTCAAAATGTATTCCTTTAGTTAGTAAGGGGGAAACCAGTTGAAAAGGCCTTAATTAGTTAATGCGTTCGCCAGCCCCTTATGGTTCAAATTCCTTACTTTCCTGAACAGCAAATAATTTCCTACTCCCCAGAAGAATTCAGACCCTCTATGCTAAGATTCCACACCTCTGTCAATGAAGCAAGGTAGGAAAGTGATGGCGAAGGGATCAGCATGCCACTGCCAATTAATCATGAAAATTTTAATAATTGGCCTTTAGTTCCCTACTGATGGTGTCAACTTCATTCATATATTCTTTCCCTTGATAAGAAAGGGCAGCATCAAAAGCTCTGACTGTCTTACTAGGAGAAATCTATGATACTTAAAGAAAAAAACCTGAAGTGCCATCAGGCCAGCCCTGGAAGTCTGTTGGAACCTGGTAGAGATATTGCCTGGCACAAAAGCTAAAGGCTGAGCACCAAGCCTCAGACCATTCATTTAATGAAGTCCTGGCTTGGATGCAGAAAAAGAAGTCAGAAAACTTGTATTTTACTTCCCGTGGCATCGACTATGCCTGGATTGGTGTAAAATAGTCCACTGGATGCGAATGAGTAAGATTTTGATTTCTCTGCAATCAGTGACTAAAAGAAAATCCAACATTGTTAACAGTGTTTAAGTATCATCTCAACTAATGAATTAAATGAGATTGCTTTTTCTTTCATTAAAATGTGTTTTAGGAATATGCTTTAATTTATTGTATCTCTTTCCAGGACTCTGAAGATTTGTCTCCATATTCTCTGGAAAGATGTACTCTGTTTGCAATAAGAGGGAGCCACATGGTTTATTAGATGGTTATTAATTGAGCATTCTGTGCAAAGAAGTTTGTGCCTTAGGTATTTTATCTTGTTAAATTCTCCCCAAAGCATTATTAGGTAGGTACTGCTATTATGCCAATTTCAGATATGAGGAAAGTAAGGCTCAGAGACATTAAGTGACTTACCCAAGAGCTCACAGACCTCACATGGAGCTGCTATACCCAAGCTCTCTGTCTTCCCACTACTGTCTTTAAAATCAAAGGCTTACTGGAGGTGGGTAAAGGAAGGAACAAAGAACCCATGGCATTCACAGCTGAGGAAGAGTCCAAGGAAGGGGGGTAAGGGGGAGGAGCTGAAACACCTTCCCTGTCTCAGTTTGACCTAGAATATTCAGAATCAAAACTGATCAACATCTCCTGTCACTGAACTCTTACTAGTTGGGCCCACACTGCTTCAGCTTTATCATCCCAAGTCTTACTGGCTGCTTCTGAGTCTTGCAGGCAGAGCTAGGGACCAGGACACCACCAGGGTGATCCCAAATCATCACATATGAGAGGCACATTTACAGACACGGATTTCCTGCAAAGCCTACCAGATGAGCCCCCAGCCCCTTCCAGTCCCATTTCATTATGCTCACTCCAGAGCAGCCTTCTTTACCACACAGCTTAGCAATTGAAAGTAAATATGTTGGGAAGGAAAGAAAAAATATTCCTGAAAGTCCTATGTCTTGTTCTCCTGCGCTTAATCGGGTTTAGTAAATCTGTTACCCTGATCATCCCCTTGAATTTCTAAACTAGATTCTTCAAATCTGCCCAATCTCTATGTCTTTGTCTTGAGATAGGAACAATGTTTCTTGCTTGCTCAGACTGCATTGAGCTGTTGGGTATCAACCATGGAATACCAAGTGGCTTTTGCATTTCCCTGCTAATAATAGTTTGCATTCGATGCATCTTTCTGGAAGGTTCAAACCTTGCCATAAATAAAAAGTTACTGATTACAATATTTATGTTTAAGGCAATATTGGGATTTTCCAAAGCCTCTCAGTTGTTTTGGGCTCAACTTTTATAGAGCTTCTCTGAAACATGCTCGTTTACTCATTCTTCTAGATTTAGAATTCCACCCTCAGTTGGAATACAGATGATCCCTAACAAGTCACATGAAAAAATGAACTGTGGAGCCAGAAGAGTGAGTTCTTGGAGAACTAAGGGCCAGAGACCTGTGAGCAAGATTTGATAATTTTATAAAAATTAAAAGACGATTTGAAATGTTATTGGTCTTACTAAAACTTTTACTTGTGAACTGCAATTGATGACATGATCACTTGTGCCAATTATAATTTTATACCAAAGGACTGCAGAGCATTGGATGGGTTTGTTGGGCAGGTTTCTCACAAACGCTGACAGAAAGGTATGACGAAGGATGGGAGGACAAACTGGGGGGGTGCCAAGTAGAAAAACAGAAGCGATGGCTAAGTGCTCGTCCTGGACTCTGCCCTTTGATAAGGGACTGAAGGTCCCTTATGATCTTCTTTCAAATTCCACCGTCACAGTTTTAGTCACATCCATCTATAATATTATTTACTATCAGACTTTTCTTTAAATTGACTCGCTTTTTCACTTTAGCCTTATCCCAAGCAATAATGCATATAAATCATAAGTTTGTTGTAATAGATTTTTTGTAATACTAATCAAAATTAAATTTATTCCCCTGTAACAGAGATAATTTCTCAAATTACTTTGGAAAACACCAATTTAAAGTGCTCAGTTTACCACTTGAGGAAAATGAGAGATCAGAGGAGTAAAGCCAATTTTCCAAGGTCACACAGCCTGACAACTGGAAATCCTGGCCTAGCACCTAAGTCTTTTAGGTATTGGCCCAGTACTCTTTCCTTCTATCATCTTTCTCAGAGGCAAAGAAAAAAAAAAAAACTATCAGGCAATTAGCACTATCTCTTGAGGGTAGAGGGCGTGAAGATTCACCAGGTTCTCTCATAAAGTTTAAACACTTTCTCGGTGGTGCTAAACCTTATCTTGGTTACTCAGACTGTCTTCAGTCTGTTAATTATATTGCATAAAACCTAACACATTTCCATGAAAGGAGCTCTAAGGGAAGAAGGACCTGAATGGGTTTTGAGAGCCAGGGCCTGCCTATCCTTTAAGAAGGTCGTCTGGGCAGGAGAAAGCAGGAAGGGAAGGGAAAGGCCACTAACCATAAGCAGTCCAATTGTGGGTAAGTCACTAGTGTCAAGGAATGTAGTCTCCTCAGTCAGGCAGGGTCCAGGTGCTGCATACTGCCCAAACTGCCTGCCTTCCCCTGGATATTTGTTTTATCTTGGAGCATGTCGTGGCCTCAGAGAACTGAATTCTTAATCTGTGGCCTTTCAAAGTCTATGGTTGTTTCCAACATCACATTGTCTCAGATTTGTTACTCGCAGCACAGATTCGAAATGAGCCTTCAGTAAAAGTAAAAAGAAAGGAAGAAAGAAAGAAAGAAAGAAAGAAAGAAAGAAAGAAAGAAAGAAAGAAAGAAAGAAGAAAGAAAGAGAAAGAAAGAAAGAAGAAAGAAAGAAAGAAAGAAAGAAAGAAAGAAAGAAAGAAAGAAAGAAAGAAAGAAAAGAAAGAAAGCCAGCCAGTGGAAGAGTTTAGCCCCCACAAAAGCAAAAAGCACCCAGCAAATCAAGCATTTTCTTGCAGACTTGTGCTAATTTTGTTTATTTGTTTATTACAAGGTGCTCTAAACCTCCTGGGGTATTCCACAGCTTTAATGACTATGTGTAACACCACCTAGCTAACACTGCTTTTCCATTCAGTCAACTCAGTCTCACAGCAGTCCTCACAACTACGTGGTTTCAGGTATTATTTTACAGAGGAGGCTGGAGCTTTGGGAAGTTAAGTGGCTTGCCTACAGTCACAAAGCCAATACGAAGAGGACCTGAAACTCAGATCTTTTTTCCCTCCCAGTTTGGGATTCTTGCTATCACCCTATCACACTTCTAGACCTGTATCTCTTGCATCTCTATCGTTCTTTCCTCAAGTCAACATACATTTCTCCAGAGTCCTAATGTCCTTCATCTTACCTTGGCACAATAAGCAATTCATTGGGACTTTTCCGCTTTGGATTTGTTTTGTCTTTCTCATTCTTTTGAGGCTGCAGATTAGCATTTTGGCTAATCACTTGGGTATTAAAAGTTAGACCCTCTGGGCCTAAATCCTAGAACTACTCCTTGCTAGCTATGCCAACATTAGCAAGTTGCTTAACCTCTCTGTGTCTCACTTACCTCATCTGCAAAATGGAAATTGAAATAGTCTTCGTAGGTAATGATAGCCTTGAAGGCCTTACAGGATTATTTTGAGGATTAAAGGACACAATGGTTGTAAAGTACTTAAGTATCATGCCACGCAATTAATGTTAGATATAATTTTGAGTGTTTTCTCTTTTTTCACCCCTTTAAAAAATCTTCTTTTGAATTCAGGATTCCTTTTCCCCATATATTTTTATGGTGAATGAGAATATCGGCTTAGGGTCTACTCTGTTCATCTCTTGAAAACGACATTATACTTTTTCTTCTAAAAAATGATACAAAGAGAATCCCCAGCCTTTTCCCCCTCTCCCTGTGGCTACAGTTTTCCCATCATTTTAAAAGGTTATTTCTTTTCTTCATAGCACAATGTGGTGGGATGAAGGGGAAATGGTTTAGAAAATTTTAAATTGATGTATCTTATTTGTTTCCCCCAGTTATATTGAAAAGAAGAAAATCTCTCCAGTTTCAGAAACACTGGCCTTTTGGATACTGAGGAGTTGGAAATGGAAAGGGGATTTTAATGAGTTTCTCGGCAATGAGGCTAGAGAAAATATTATCCATCTCCCCCTGTTCTCCAATTCAGCAGCTCGGACTCCTGTTTTCATCACAGTCCTGTTAGATAATTACAGCCCCAAAGGCCTCCTGTTCCTTCTTTCTGTGTTCCCTGAATCTTCTTTCCCAGAGCCAGGACCTCTTGGAAATTCTCAGCCTCTGTTAGTTGCCCGCTCTGGGAGCCCGACTCCTCACATCCGTCATCTCTTTCTTCTCCCCCTTCACCTGCTGTAGTGTCCCCACTGTCTCTCTTTACCTCAGCTCCTTACCATTCCTTTCCCTCTACACCCTTTTCCTTTGGTTCATAGTCAGGATGTGCTAGTTGCATTCAAGCCCTTTTTGATACTAAGAATTCAGGGGGACAAATCCAAACCCTGGAGACTACTGTCTTCCCCTTAGTGATGCTAATGAATATAATTCCTGATCTGAAATTACCTGCACTTTATTTGGCTCCATCTACTTTTCTGCCACTTACTCCCTGTATAACCATAGGCTACGTACCCTACCTCTCTCTGGGTTTGTTTACTCCTCAGTTAAAAGGAGGATTAAAATGGCAATCACAACACCTTGCTACAGATATGTTAGGAAGATTAAATGGGATAACATGCAGGGTGCCTAGCCTTCCTGGCATATAGTAAATGCCTATAAAATATAACAAGTGTCATGTATTATTATTAAATTGTATCTACCTGGTAGAAACTAATGGAGTGGACTACTTTATTAATTTAGATTTCTCTCTTTTTCCTTTCCTATGATATTTAAGCTGGAAAACCCAGTATAGTTTAAAAAATCAGTTGTTCAGTCATTGTTTATACAATCTAGATTCACTTAAATAATCTCTCCAGTTTTTATGTAGACCCAATGACATGCAGAATAATAAACTAAGGGAGAGGGTTTGGTCCACACCTTCAGGGTCAGAAAACAGAGTTTTAACCCAGATAGAATGGTGAAAGGGCTTATAAGAAATTACTGAACTTTAAAGCTGTGGTCTGTGCATACCCAGAGTCTTTTTTTCTTTCTTTCTTTCTTTTTTTTTTTTTTTTTTTTGCGACGGAGTTTCGATCTTGTTGCCCAGGCTAGAGTGCAGTGGCACAATCTCGGCTCACTGCAACCTCTGCCTTCTGGGTTTAAGTGATTCTCCTGCCTCAGCCTCCCGAGTAGCTGGGATTACAAGTGCCTGCCACCATGCCCAGCTAATTTTTTGTAATTTTTTTAGTAGAGATGGGGTTTCACCATGTTGGCCAGGCTGGTCTCGAACTCCTGACCTCAGGCTATCCAGCCACCTTGGCCTCCCAAAGTGCTGGGATTACAGGCGTGAGCCACCGTGTCAGGCCTCCCAGAGTCTTATTTCATTTTATTTTATATATTTTTTGAGACAAGGCCTTGCTCCGTCACCCAGGCAACCTCGACCTCCTGGGCTAAAGCTATACTCCCGCCTCAGCCTCTCTAGTAGTTGAGATTACAGGCATATGCCATCACATCCAGCTAATGTTTTTTGTATTTTTGTAGAGATGGGGTCTCACTATGTTGCCCAGGCTGGTCTTGAACTCCTAGGCTCAAGCAATCCTCCTGCCTCAGCCTCCCAATATTCTGGGATTACAGGCATTCACCACCATGTCTGGCCTACCTGGGGCTTTAGAAGTTTAGAGCTTAGAGAAACACTTGAGAGCTTTGAGGTCACCCTCCCATTTCCAGATTAAAAAAAAAAAAATCAAGGGCCAGGAACAGCAAAGTGTCATGGTTAAGGTCACACAGGGGACGGTGGCAGAGAAAAGTCATTTGGGGCCTACCTTTATGTAGGCTACACTTCCCTATGCTGCCAGAACAATGAATGAGAAAAGGAAACATTTAGTCCATTGTTTTGGGCCTTCTTTTGATACTGAATGCTTTTGTTTTTGTGCCTGTACACATGCGAAGCCTCTGGTGGAATGGTCTGTGGGCACTGTGACAGACAAGCAGCACTATTAATACTGGTGGCTCAAAGTAATGACTGCCTGTGTGTTGACTGCCTATGCTATGCCGGGGGCTTTGTGTTCATATCATTCCATCTTTACTAGTTACTACAACTCTTCAGGGTAATGTGATTCTACCTTGTGGATCCAGGAGACTAAGTACCCGGCCCACCGTCCTTACAGACCCAGGTGCATATTGAGAACTGTGTGTCTGCAGAGAATATGCACTTTTTCCTGTGTCATGCTGCTTAATCCATGCTCAGAACTGACTTCCTGAGAAAGTGACAAGGAGAGAAGGAGAGTGTGAGAGGACAAGGCCCAGAACAAGAGGGTAAAGATGTTTGGAAGAATCAATTCGGGAAGACTTCCTGGGAGACGAAGTTTTGTAAAGAGTTGAGGGTAAGTCTGTACGGGGGCATGGAAAAACAAGTCTAGTTTACAAATGTGTCTTTTTACTGCCTCGTATTCAGTTTCTGTGTCAAATGTTTAAAAAGGCTCGCTGTGTTTATTTAAAAATATAAAACCAGGCAAGACTGGCTTTTTCACTCAGCATAATTTCTTTCATTTACGTGACATTCTTGAAAAGATAAAAGTATGGTGATGAAGAAAAGATCACTGGTAGCTGAGGGTTGAGAACTAGGGGAAGGTGTGACCAACAAATGGGTCACACCAGGAAATTTTTGAGGCCTTAGAACTGTTCTGCATCCTGATTGTAATAATGGTTGCATGAATCTACCCCCATGTTAAAATTTGTAGGACTGTCAATTGCATTGTATCTTATTTTTTCAAATTTATTTATTTTAAATTGACATACAAAATATGTATTTATCATGTAGAACTTGATGTTTTGAAGTATACATACATTTTGTATATACATTTTTTAAATAAAACGAAATTATAAAACAAGGCACAGAAACATATTGAAGAACACTTGGGCTGTATTCACGGTGATGGGGAAGTATCTCATTAAATCAGCCCCTCTTCAGTATGTCACCTGGTGCCTCTCATAGTATAGACCTGATTTCCAGCTAACAACTGAACTTCTCAGGGTACCAGCCGAGGGCTAGGGGCTTATCCCTTATAATTCTAGGTTCCAACTCTTCTGTGGGCCCCTTTGTTCACTCCATCTGAGGCAGTAGGGATGGATGGACAAGGAAAGGAGGGGGATCACATTTGGGTGGGAATGTACATCTTGCTAACAATGTTTTTTTTTTATTTTTTTAAGAGGCCTTGCTATCGTCCCAGAGTATGGATGACATTTCCCCTAAACCTATTATCTCATGAAATTAAGTACAGATAAAGAAATTCTCTAAGACGGAATGTTATTCTAATGTAGCATTAAACCCTCTTGCAACCATAATAGCAACTGCTACCATTTACTGAGAGCCTTCTCACGGGATCAGGCATTTTACCTACATGTGCTGCCTCTGTTCTTCCTCACAACCATCCTATTGAGAAGTTTGTCATTTCCTCATTGCTCATGTGAGGAAATAAGAGCTGATAACTTTGAACACAGTTAGAAGGCTAATCCTTGGCAGAGCAGGGATTTTAATCTAGGTCTCAGACTCCAAGTGTTGGTGTCCTTCCTGTCACTTCCACTGGCCATTTCAGCTGGGGTCATCCAGGTCTACTGAGGAGACTGCCCTGCCCCACCTCTCCTCCTCCTCCTCACTCACCACTACAGGCAACCTCATTTCCCAACCTGCCCACTTAGACTCCTCACCCCAGATCTTACCTTTACAACCTGTCCCCACTGTCACCCAGCCTCTTAAGAGGTTTGTCCCTGCTTTGACTCCGTCTATTCCCAGCCCTCCCATTCTTCCCCTTTATGCTCTTGGAACTATCACCAGTAGCTTGGAAACCGGGAGGATACACGAAGTCAGGAGAAGTTGAGCTCCTGGCACTCCACATGGTCAGCCACACTTATCCTTACAGACCTTGTTATAAAGGGTGGTCAGGCAGCATAAGCTGTTGGCTGATCAGACCATTACTCTTTTTCTCTTCATGCATAGATATGAGTGTTGGAGGGAACCTCAGCCCTTATCTTGTCTAAGTTGTAGGAATTGCCAAGACCTTGGTGGGCTGACTTGGGAATCCAGTCATCATGCAGAGCTGTGATCCTCACAGTGTGTGCACCAGCATCAACTGGGAGCTTGTTAGAAATGCAGATTCTCAAGCCCCTGCCCAGATTTACTGAATCAAAAATTCTGGGGGTGGGGCCCAGCAATCTGGGTTTTAACAAGGCCTCCACGGGTGCTTCTGAAGCATGGTACGTTTGGGATTTACTGATCTAGACCAATGCTTCTCAGACTTTAATGTACATAAAAATGCCAAAGAGTCGGTTGCCAGATTTAGCAAATAAAAATACAGGTGTACTTATGGAATATGCTTATACTAAACAAATGCATTGTTTATCTGAAATTCAAATTTAATTGGGTGCCCTGTATTTTATCTGTCAACCCTACCTGAGTATTTTTTTAAATGCAGCTTCTGATTCAGTAGGTCGAAGGTGAATCCTGAGATTCAGTATTTCTGACAAGCTCCCAGGTGACGGATGCCCAAGCTGCCAGACGCACTGAGAGCAAGGATCTAGAGCTACTTGTTACATGCAGATCCTGAAACTCTCTCTCAACCTACTGAGTCAGGTTGTCCCAGGGAGACACTGATTTAGAATGTTGTAACCAAGGGACCATGCGTTCTGAGTCACAAACATCCCATTTACAAACTGTAAGTTCAGGATTCACACATAGGTGAGACTCTGCATACACAGTAGTGGAGATAACCAAGAATGGGGTGGTTTTGCTGAGAGGCAGGGAGGAAAAGAGAAAAGTGCTGAGGTAGATGACCAACTCACTGTGGGAGTGGAGGACCCAGGAAATAGGAGGCTTGTTGCAACTCTGGGAAGGAGTAAAACGTGGGGCTGCCTGTCCCCCAGGACCCCAAAACACAAGCAACACCTCCATGTGCAAGATGCTAATAGGCACATTTATTGAGCCTCTCCTGTGTTGAGAAACTCCAGGTGATATCTCATTTCAGTTTATTCTCAAGCAATACTTTGAAATTGAAATTCTTTACCCCATTGAGAAGATGAAGAACCCAAGGCTCAGAAAGTGCTAAGATCATACAGCTAGCAAAACCTGGAGTCAGGATTTGAACACAGGTCTGTTCTCAAAGCCTCTCTCCACTGCCTCATGTCTCTCTCTGCTGATGCTCATTCTGTGGTAGCTATTGAAGCACAATGGTGGTTCCAGGAGACAAGTGGCCACTGTCCTCTACAGCTGCAGCAGCAGATTCCTTTCCTTATGGCATCTGCCTTCAACACCCTCCCACCTGGGCCTCTCCATTCCATCACATGATGCTCAGATCATGACCTGCACAGACTCAGCATGCTCGGTGACTCACCTATGGCTTGTTTCTCTCCAGAAGTGTACCCCACATGTTGGAAGCTACTAAAGAGGGCCTGACCACCTGCTTCATTAGGCCCATTAGCTTTCTTCTTTTGCAGGAGCCAGATTTGTCATGTATTTATTCTTGATGCATTTTTTTTCCTTTGATCTTCCAGAACAGCCACTTCAATTTAGGTTTCTACCTGGACATGATAAAATTCCAAGCATGTTCTCACCCCCATCCCAGGTTTCAAGGTGTATTAGTTTAAAGAATTCCTCTCCATCTGAGGAAATGTTATTGTCTGAGCAATACCAGAGTTGGAGGTCCCAGACTCACTGAGGGTAAGATGTTAGAATTTCAAACTCTTAATCCTATTGATTCCAAGTCCTTTTGATCTTTTCAACACCTGTCAGGGGAGTTGAGTTTATATAATTGGGGGGAGGGTGACTGATTGGCTCTGGTTTTATTACGACCTGTTTGTGCCATTTAATTAATAATAAAAACAGCTGCCAGCTGCCGAACCACTTGAGGACATCTTTGCAGCTTCTGCTTTTCCAAAAGCTCAGGCAATTATTTGGGTTTCAGGAAGGTGACTGAATCAGATCATCAGCCTGGGATGGATTTTGTTTTGCCTTTAAGCAACCTCCATTCGTCCTTTGTAGAGTCCATAAGTGAATTGAAGAACCAAGAAACACACAGCTCTTTTCAAGGACAGGAAAGGGGAAGAAAAGTACTATTTCCTGAGTGTTTAGGTTGTGCCAGGCACTTAACTCGCTTAATCCTTTCAACAGCTTTGAGTCGTAGATCTTATTATCCCCATTTTACAGATTAGAGAGTCTAGCCTCAGAGGTTAAGAAACATGCCCCAAGTTCAAACAGCCAGAAAATGACAAGGCTGGGATAAGAACTCGTCTGTCTGATTTCAAAGTCATTGGGTTTTCACGCTGTGTAGGTTGAAGAATTTCTTAATGCATCCTGAAAAGTAAGAAAACTTGTTTGGTTCTGTTTTGTTGTTTCTGCATTTTTTAAATGAATAAAATGTGCTGTTTAAAAGTCCTAGGTTCTCACTCAACCAAATGTGAAGACTCATTAAAAGCTCTGCTAAGTAAGTGAGAAATATAAATAGGTCAGTGAAATGATATAGGAATCTTGAGAAACAGCTCAATGAAAATCAGTCAGGGAAGTGATAGACTAATAAATGGTGTTGGGAACTGACTTTCAATATTAAAATAAAGCTAAGTTCCTATCTCATCTCATACACAAAAACAAATTCCAGATGGCTGAAGTATCTAAAGCTTAAAAGAGAAAAAATTAAACATTTAAAATTATTAGAAAAAAATAGAATATCTTAGGGCAGAGAAGACATCAAAAAATAGAAATAATAATGGAAAACATAAATAAACTTAGCTACCTCAAAATTTATAAATTTGTAAATTTTGTAAAACAAAAAAACCCAGCTTACAAAGTTAAAAGAAAAGTAGCCTGAGAGAAGATATTAGCAAGACTTACAACAGTCAAGATTAGTATTGAGAATGTATTAAGAAAGAAATTTTTAAAAAACTCCTACAAATCAATACCCAAAGACAGACAACCTAGTAGATAAATGGGCAAAGATTATAGAACAAGAAGTTCACAGAAAAGAAAGCCACACCCTCAGAATGAACAAATAAAAAAGTGTTCAACCCAACAGGGAAATAACAGCAAAAATAACACAATTGGCAAAAATTAAATAATATATCCTTGTTATGTATGAGTGAGAATATAGGCTAATGGAAATGTTCACAAATTACTGGTATCAGTATAAATTTGTACAGACATCATGGAAATTATTTTGGCAGTATCAGGTAAAAATTGACAATGTGTATCACCACCCAGGAACCCGCTTCTAGACATATCTAACAAAGAAATTCTTATGCAAGTGTAGGGCCAGCTTCATGGACACAGAGTTCTGCCCTCAGAAGGGCCCTGTGCTTGGTTTAATGCTCTGCTTTCACTGTCTTGAAGTTCTTAATCGTTTTACTTTTGAACTTGTGCTTTTAAGTGGTGTTTGCTGGGGCACTGCAGCATGTCATGAATGGAGGAGATGGGTGCAATATGCATGTCAGCCACATCTTGCTGCCCTGTTCATGTTAGTATTCAGGAAGCCCCACGAGCACAGAATCCCAGTGGACCCATGAAGTGTGGGAGTTCAACAGGACTCAGGGCAAGAACAAAGTAAGTATGTTATGTCTTCAGCTGAGTAAGTGGGGAGGTAAATACTCGAAGAGGCCACTCTTTCCCTTTGAACTAGAACTTGCTTCAAATGCAGAAACACGGACTGGCGAACCGAAAACTACAAACAACCAAGGAACCCTGTTGTACTTTTTCTAACTCATGTTCTTCCTGTATTTGCCAACCACTTATACTGAAAATGACAGCAGAGAAGGAAAGGGAAAGATTGGACATCTCACAATCCCTTTTTCTTTCACTCCTTCCTTATTCATCAGTAAGCCAAAGGTAGAGTGTTGGTAGACTGTGCATGAGTCAAGAAATGAAATAAAAACAGTTGGGTTCGTTTTGCAGCATTTCAACTCCTCTGGTGAGAATGAAATACATACACATTTA
The DNA here is from genome assembly GCF_000001405.40 of Homo sapiens. Classification (NCBI taxonomy): domain Eukaryota; kingdom Metazoa; phylum Chordata; class Mammalia; order Primates; family Hominidae; genus Homo; species Homo sapiens. Next base: position 137,788,122 of record NC_000003.12, read on the forward strand.
GGAGCTGCGAAATGCAAGTTGTATCATTTCCATGATTTTACATACAAGTTAAATATGCTTATATTTGCATTTAAAACAGGTATTGAACAATATAAAAATGAAAGGTAAGATTTATGATAATAGCTTACATTTTTAATTTTTCTTAGAACAACATTAGGACGACAAATAAAAAAACACCACCATGACAAGTCAAGAGCGAGATCATGGAAGAAGGAAAAAACCTTAGCTTTTATACCTTTAATGGCACTTTTTTCCTATATTTTGAACAGAAGGGCCAGCTTCATTTTGCACTGGGTCCACAAATTATGTAGCCAGCCCTATGCATTTGCACAAGGAAACATGAACAAGAATGTCCATTTTAGCATAATTGTAGAGGTTAAAAAGAAGGAAAATAATCCAATGTCCAAGAATAGGAACATGGAGAGATTACGATATAGTCTATAGGATGGACTACTGCATGGCAGTATTAAGTATATTAAATAAATTAACCAAATCCATAGGTACATAGAAGGAGATAAAAAAATTGAGAAGAAATTCAAGCCGAAGATCATTACAAGATATAAGAGCATGCATCTATGTAATTTTATAAAACACCCCAAAATTCATTATTTATGAACACATTTATATATATGGTAAAGTATAAACTCATCCACCAGGCACACACCAAATTCATGACAGTGATTTTATTTAGGGAGAGAAAAAGAGAATGTCACCAAGATGAAGAAAATGGAGGATTTCATATTTAATTTTAATCTTTTATTTCTTAAAAAATTTTTATAAGAAAATGTTTAGTGCTGAATTTTATAACAAAATGTTTCGTGCTGAATGCATGAGTTTGACATGCTGTTCTTAATGCTCTCTATATTTTTTAATTAAAAAAACTCCTAATTTAAATAAAGTAGACCAGCCATTCCTTCCACTATCCCTCCATTCCAAGCACAATTTCTATAAAGCAGAAAGAAAATTTGGTGAGAATGCAGAGGGGAGCCCTCCATGCATATGTTTCTTTGAACAGGATACTAAAACATGATTTTACCTACTTATCAATATGAGAGAGATGGCAGAGAGGCCTGGAGTAAATCTCCTCAATGTTTGCGAATGAAAGTTATGCACAGACCGTTGGCTAATCATCGGATTGGCACAGAAAGACCCCGGTTTCCAGAGTAATGTTGATTTTTAACTCTCTTAAATTGACTTTTTAAAAAATGCATGTGACTTTTATGTCCTGAATTTGCTAATAAGTCAGACCTTTGGAATCTTCCATTACCTTCTGGAGGATGGTTACATTCTTGGCCCTGGACCAAACAAGAGCACAGTGGTGATTTACTGACGCATGCAGCCCCGCAGTCCTGGCTCACACACAGAGCTGTAATAGCTCTTTAAACTCTGAGGGCTTGAGTTCCAATTCATTTACCATAAGCACAATATAACATGGAAATTATTTTGGCTGCAGAGGCAAATGTAGCCCATTCATGTATAAAACCATTGCAATAAAAGGAAAAGAAACTTAATCTAGGAAAGTGATGCCTGTTTTTGGTTTCTTTTCTAATTCTCTTTCTTTCTAGATGCTGGCTCGTTACTGGGAATTTGGCTGCTATTTGAGGCCTGGCCCTCTTAAGAGCAACACAGTGCTGGTAATAGTCCCTGGAAGGTGACTTTCTCAAGCTCAGCCCAATTATCCATTTTTATTCTGGCCACTAATCTTTAACTCCATCCCATCCACTAATCCATTCCCCCATGAGCAAACAATGCACAGGTAAGTAACAGGGGACCTCCATGACACTTTTAATTGAAATAGCACTTAATCCACAACCTGCACCGCTGTCGCTTTTCTACCCATACCTCAAGACTTGGCAAGGATGAAACATGACTTGTATTTGAAGAATACAAAATTCAAGTATCTCTTCTGTGGAAAGTAGAAAGAGAAAAAAACCTCTCTATAAAAGCTAGATGGCATTTGGAATTATTTTAATAACTCACCCACAACTCCTATTTTATCCAAGTTGGTTACAAAGACAGAATTAATCTTTTCAGAATAATTTATAATATTTATTCTAATTTACATAAGAAATAATAAATATTCACAAAATTATAAAAGTCTCTGTCACTGACATTTGTAGACAATCACAATTGATCTGAAGTGTCTTCACACTAACTGTTCACTCCATGGAGTGGTTGTAGCCAAGGTAGGATCGTTAGCAAATAAAGTTGGAGAAGCCATTTTGTGTCTCAAGGTGAGAATGACATGCTGAAGGGAGCTTGCTGAGTCAGGGCAACCTCCTCCAGTCTTATTGCTTTGCCTGTCCTATTACTTTGACTCTGATGGGTATGTGGTTAGGAACCTGGAATTTTATCAGCTTATATTATACTGTATCTGCACAAAAATCAATATACAATTAACTATTAATTATTTGGAGTCCTGTAAAGAAGAACTGACAAAAATATTCTCCTGAAGAACCCGTAACCCTATCCATAAATCATTCATATTTGTCTTTGGAATATATGATATGATTTATATTTCAACCAATTTGCCTCACTAATTGTGTATGATTTTGACTAACGCGAGAACTGTTTGCAGTCTGTGTAGGTAGCAAGTGGAGGAAGATAAGAAGTCTGTTAGATGGTGGGAGGAGGGGAGTCAGTCATGGAGAAACCACGTTTTTACCCTATGTAATCCATAAAGTTGATAATGTACAAAGTGGATGCTACTTGATAGAAAGAGTAAAGTTGATTTCCCTTTGCTTGCTTACAGCATTTTTTTTGTTCACTAACTCAAATCACTGCCAGGTGAGAAGGGAGAAGCAGGGGGACAGTTGTGACTTCTTTGTTTCCATTTTGCAGATTGCACTCAGGAATACAGGAGAGTTCTTAGCATGACTGAGACCATATAGCCATTTACTTGGAAGCTGAAGTTCCTGTCATGGATGTCCTAACACCAAGCTCAGTTCTGCAGCAAAGCAAAAGTGTACTCACTGGGCAGACAGACACCGATTACAGGACTCTCTCTAGAGACACGGCCATACCCTGAATCTATTTACTGCCCCCGAACATACTAGGCACCAGGCACTGTTTAGAGAGAAGCCCCATTGCTGCAATTGGAATAGCCCTGGCCTAGCAGGGCTATTCCTTGTCCCATTGCAGATCATTATTTTCACTATACCTCATAAAATTAGCGTTTTTAAATGTTACTAAATGGTATTTATACTTATTTTTAATACTGTGTAATGTTTCATCCAGTAGTTAGGTATACCTTAAATATCTAATCACTATTTTATCATCTGTTCAACATTTAATTTTTTCAATTTTTGAGAATTACAAATGCTACAAAGAATATTTTTGCAAATGGCTCTTTTTTTTTCTTTTTTTCGGGGGTTGTGGGTGGTACCAAACTATTTAAAGAAAGGGTACAAATGAAAGAACTTATGTGTATGTTTTGGTATATGTGTTTCCCCCGCCCCCACCACCAAATTATTCTCTTAGAGTTATTCTCACTAGTGCTCTTACTAAGTCAAAGTCTAGAAAAATTTTTAAGTCCTTTTCATTTTGTTTTTTTTAAAGGGGTATGCCAATTTATAATGTCAATACTGAGTGTTGCTATTTTAAAATTTTAGTCTAACTTTATATAATACATTTTTAAGTACTTTCTTGATTTTTTTCTTTTGATTTTCTCAGTTCCAGCCCTGTCACATTCAGTGCCTCTGCTGTCACATTACTTGACCTAACCAGCCCCTGTCAAAGCAAGAAAGTTGCTGGGTTTTGCTGGTAACCCATCCCACTTAACCAAAAGGGCCCAGAAGTTTTTCTTCCTAGGATAAAAGCAGGACACTTCTTGTGGAAAATACAACCAATATGGTTTGAATAAGGGTTGCTGGACGCTGTTTTCCTATTGACAAATCCTTCTGTTCTGCAGGTACACAGGGGTGGGATGGCTGGAGGATGGGGAAGGGAGAGGATCCAAAGGCACTAAGAACTGTCTTGGCCTTTCTACAATAAATTTCCCAGCATGACACAGAAGCACAGTTACACACTTGCACACACACCACTGAGCCTCCCAAGTGTTGAAATACTACATCCAGGCATATATTAAACTAACAAATTTAAAAAGAAACTACCATGTCCAGCAATACTCTAATCATCCAAAGTAGTAATAGTAAAGGTAACTGATGCTAATGTCTATTAATGCCCCAAAACATTTAAAAACTCAAGAAGAAAAAGAAATCTACCCTGATAAATATGAATATATGTTTTTAATTTATGCTTTTCTTTATTTTTAATTTATGCTTTTCTTGAAAAATTATTGTCTTCCAATGATTAATTCTTTTGAGTCAGGGTGATGTATGGTTTTGCCCTGAAACTTTCTTTCTAAAAGAAATCCCTAGTCTCAGTTTGCTTTCTAAACAAATGACAGGAGAAACCATAGGAAAATGTAATTCAAAATCAAAAAGGCTCATAAGTTTCACTTTCTGAAAAAGTTGCCAGCACCTGGATATATAAAATTATACTATTTCTACAAACACAATCCTTGAATTGGAAGCTGGCCCAGATTTCTACTTCCCCAGATTCCTACATTCCCTGTGCAACCCTCTTCAATCCTGGGCTTGGTGTCTTTTTGGCTTTTCACCAGTATTCAAAACGTTCCCCTAGTTCAGGCTCTGCAGCCAGCTGTCCAGGAGGCTCCCTGATGGTTGCATTAACATCCTGGGGCAATACTGCCGTCGTGTGGGCATGTAAAATGCTGCAGGTTCATCCCAAAGTGAAGTTGCATTTTCCCAACTACAGGCACAAATGAGTCTTCTCTCTGCTCTTTCACTTCTAGGTTAATGGGACTCCTGGGTGACTGAAGATGTCAAGAGGGTTTTGGGTAGACAATTTGTAGTGCCTGTTTGTCCTGTCTCTGAGATCTTGAATAAACTTTGGGAACCTATTGGGTGAGAGTTGTTGGAAATGTAAATTTACAAGATGCATTCTTAATATATCAGACCTAATTAAAAATTTTGCCAATAAAACAATGTGGCAACCCTGTACCATGTGTGATGGCATGCTTGTGACTTGATTTATCCTTGTAAAAATGACTTTACTGGATATGTGGTCACCAGACCTAATGGCCTCTGTGATTTAATTTTTTAAATATGGGAAATATCTTTGCTGCCGAAACTCACTAACATCTTTTTGAACTTTACGGGAATTGATGTTTCCAGCTGAAAGATGGATTTAGAGTTTGGGACAGAAAACACAGTGATGCTAAAAACCAAAAGTTATTTGGAAAAAACATTTGAATCAGCACCGAAATGATGTAGTTTAGCAAAAACATTAACAATAAAACATTACCTTTCTTGTCATAAGACTATTTTCTTTTTTACAAACAGCTTATAAACTTTCTCTGTGATGAACCTTCGTATACAGTTCAGCTGAAGACTATAAGCCTGTTAGAGTCCCTTGGGAAGAAGAAACCTATGCATCTAGGTTGTTCCTAAAAAAGCTGTTGTTCAACTAAGACATGCTGTCCTTACAGTGCTGTCACCGCCAGAAATAATCTTTAATTCTGTCTTCTTGGTGTGAATTCTCAACTAGTAAAACTCTATATTGAAATGCAAATTAGCTCTTCCGAGTACAAGCTTGTAAAAATGTCAAAACACCTCACAAAAATTCTAATTGCCACATAATTAGGTATCTAAACAAAAGTTCTATGCTGATATTTTAATTTTGCTTCATTGCAATAATGTACATTCAATAATGGGCCCAACTAGGACAAGGTGATAAGTTAGGGAAGAAAGTAGCTAATAGCACCAAATAAGGATGCCCCTGAACCCAGAGCCTGGCAGAAAATAGAATGGACTTCCAGAGAAACATCATGGGGCCTAGGGAAATAAACACCGCTTAGGGAGAATTAGATTAGCCAGAGTACAACAAACTTCCATTACAAGCTGGAATTTCTTTTAGAAGGAATACATGAAAGTGTGTCTTTATAAAGAGGTGGTATCCTGGAGTGAGCACTAAATCAGTCTAATGCCTTCAATCTTCTTGATTTCCCCCTACAGAACTGTACTTCTTATTAATGTTTGTAATGACCACCTGTGGCACTGTAGGATGCTGAATTACCAAAGAAAGATTAAATTATGTCCTATTGATGACACTTAATAGACGTCTAGCAGGTGCACATGTTACAGAATGATATTTGACAAATGTAGAAATGATAAGGGTTATCTGATCTGTCTGAAATTAATCAGAAGCTTCAGTTAAGTAGAACTCCAGTTCTGATAACATTCCATTATTATTATCATCATTATTATTGTTACTATTAAGAATTATAGCCCCTTTTCAACTCATCACTACCTTTATTGTGGAATCACCTGTGTTCAATGTACCTATATTTTAGAAGGACAACGGGGCACCAAAGTTGCTAGCCTGATCCTATAATTGCCATCTTCATCTTTCAGTATGGAATATATTATATTTACATTAAAAATTATCCCTTACAAGATCCCTTTGAACAATTTTTCAAATATATGTTTAAAGACAAGTACATTAATTTCAAGAAAATTTCTTATGAGATTAGAGGATGTAATGTTAGTATGATCTACTAATAACCTAGTAACTATCATTTATTGATTACCTACAAAGTCACTTGTGTTTTATATTCATTATCTCTAATTTTTAAGGTACCCCTGCAAGGTTGGCAGTATTATCTTCACTGTCCAGAAGAAGAAATAGTTTCAAGAGGCTAAGTAATCACAGTAAGATCATATGGTCAATAAGTGCAAAAACAAGACTCAAGCCTCACTGGGTTTTAATGGAAGAACCATGTGGTGTTTGAGTAGAAAAATCTATTCCCTCTCCTCTCTCTCTCCCTCTCTCTCTCTCTTTTCCCAGTGATAAACAGTAGGAAGTGGGATTAGTCTGTGTTGAACCCTATTACTTCAGCCCACATTCATTGCTCATCTTTCCACTATTTTTAGTTTTTCCTTCTGTTCTGGACTCTTCCTTTCTTCCTTCAAATAGAAAAAGGTCACACCTCTATTTAAAACATCACAGAACACCCATATTTTTGCTCTTCTATCAACTTACCAGTCTAAATCTTTTTTATTTTCAGCTAAACTTATTAGATGAATGTCATAATTGCCCCATTTTCACTTTGCTTTCACTCTCATGGCCACCACTGGAATGAAGCTGTTCTTCAGACTTACTTATGACATCTGCTCCAGTTTCAAAGGCTGTCTCCAAGTCCTGACTTTCTGAAATTCTCTGCAGCATCTGACACAATTAATCTCATCCACCCTCACCTACTGCCAGTAAAAATACTGGCAGCTGACACACATGGAACAGCGACTTGGTGCTAGGCTCTGGGTTAAGCACTTTATATGCATTATCTCATTTAATCCCCACAACATCCCTGTGAGGTTGGCACTGTTATGGGTCCCCATTTTACAGATGAGGAAACTGAGTCTCGGGGGGTAAAGTAACTTGACCAGTATTACACAAGCAAAAACATGGTGAAGATAGCTGTTGATCCAATATGCTGTGCTATCTTTAAAATTATTTAGCCAGTCTTTTACTATCTGCTGGGCACAAAGCCAAGTTCATTAGAGGTATTATCTGATTATTTTGTGTTATATTTTCTCCTATTATACCTAACTCTAGGTCTATTGCAAGATCAAGTTTGTGATCCTCTGCCTATTTCTCCTCTTGACTACTTCAAATTCCAAGTATTTTTTAGAAGATTTTAACTTGCATCAAATAATTATTGATGTACAGGTCATGGTGGCAGGGCTCTGGACATAGGAAAGTGAACAAGGTAGGCTTGCTGCCTGCTTGAAGTTGACAACATAGTGGATAGAAAGTGAGACAGAGAAGCCACAAATCATTACCTGAGCCAATCAGTGGCCCACTGAGAACACTCCTTCCAGGTCATGAAATTTCAAGTGAAGTGGCACACCAGCTCACCCACCTACTTCCCACCCCGACCCCAGAATCCCCTTCCTGGAAACCTTGTGCTACCTCCAAAGCCAAACTCTCAAATAAACCCCAGCACCTTCCAGAGATGCCGTTTCAGTGGTGGGGTTTGAGGTGAGTACTCTGGGACCCAGCCTGGGTTTCACAGAACTAGGAGACTATCTGCCCTGGGCTGGCCCCAAGGCCAGTGTCAGAAGTACCCCCACCCTCCTGATTATCAGTCAACCCAGAACAAACGCTTTCCTCTACTTTCCCTTAATTGTACTTGGTGCTAGTCATCTCTGTGGCAAGAATATGAGCTTCTCACAAGCTAATAATGAAACATATCTTTGGTTCTTTCACAGCACCCAGCTTTGGGCTAAGTATGTAAATGTGGGCGTCAGATACACCTGCTTGAGTAAATGTCTCCTCTCAATACCTGGAAGAATGATGAGTGTTTGCTCTTCTACAAACCAACTCAAGGCACCCAGAAAGCAAGGAAGCTTCCAAAGAAAAATGGAGTTATATTAAAAGGATGTAGGCATTATCTTGAAGGGTTTTCTACTGGTCAAAGTTGGGATAATTTAAGCATCAAATAAATGATAGCTGTAAATTGAATATATAAGAATCCATGAATCTATAATGATAATCAAAAGAGAGACAGCCAAAAGGAAAATCACTCATCACCAGTGAAGGAAGCTATTATAATAATATAATAATATTAAGTTATAACATTATTATACAATATTTAAAATTCTATAATAATGGGAAAGAATTAGGCATTAGCCTGCCTTTCCAACTAGTACCAGATGATGATAGAACATTCTTCTTTACAGTAAAGCCCCAGCTAATAATATATAGATTTACAGAATTTAAAAATCACTATTTTGTATCCCCTAATAAGAGAAATGATTCATGCATGTGTCATCAATACATGTTAAAACCATAATGGGATAGTTTGGTGCCAAAACGTCACCCCCAAGATTATTTCCCAGTCACAGGGGGGAAAGTCTGACTTAATAAAGGAGGGACCTGGCTGTTGCCACCTAAACTCAAGGCTCTATCTCAGTGTTCAGTGGGACAACCAGACAGTAGGCGCCTTCCATAATGAAGCAATGTGAAGTACAACATCAGCTATGACATGCTCTTGCCAAAACCACTTAGGCCGAAACTAAGCAAGTCTTTAGTTTTGACTTTCAGTTTACAAGAAATACAAAGATTAGGGAAATGAGTGAAATGATATCACAAATGACCAAATGTCCAGAAAGTGGTACACTGTAAAGGACCAGTGGCCTGGTTTTTGACCAATTATTGTTAAGGGGAATAAAAGGAAGGAGGTTGTTTAACATTAAATAAGGCAATGAGACTTAACAGACATAACAATGAAATGCAATGTGTGGTCCTTGATTGAACTCTAGTTTGAATAACCACTTGGAAGATAGTTTGGAGAGTTTTTCACATAGACTGAGAATTACATGATGTTAAGGAATTGTTGCTAATTTTGTTAGCTGTGATAATGGAATTACAGTTATATGGGAAAATATTCCCAAACTCCTCCACCCCAAAATAATCATTGTTAATATAGATAAACTTCATTTCAGACATTTATTTCAGAGTGAGAAAGAATAAGCATGAGAAATATTTTATAAAAATAAAATAATGCTATAGACTAATGTTAAGAAAAAAATATTACATTGAAATTTAATTGAATTTAAAGAAGAAAGAAAAATCAAAATGAAATGAAGAAATGCCTGAACTTCAGATAAATGCTTTTTCACTATTAGAGATTCCCTAAATATAGCACTAAAATTGATAACAAAGTTTAAGAAGCACTCTTAGAGGCTGGGGTCATTACCTTTTTAAATAAACCAGATGCTTAAATTTGAGGCAGCATTGATTGATTCATTCATTTACAAACTAAGGAAATTCGCCTTCCTTTCTTTCCTCCTATTGTCTTCTTCACATTTTAAATCTATTCTTACTTGTTTTTATTGGTCAAGATGCATAGCCATAGTTCTCACAGTTGTTGAGTCTTAGTTTAAATTTAATGGATTCAATTCCCAACACCAATTTGTTTATCATGACTTCTCTATTTTTAGCTCTTTATTTGTATTCATCTCTTAATTGGCTGGATTTTATCAAGCCACTTTTGCAAGGCTCAAGAATGCCTCAAAACACTTACAGGTAAAGCAGTAGAGATGGAAAAATGGAAAACTTCATCTTTCCAACTATTTAAAAAAACCACAGGATTTTATGATAGCAAGCGTACAAATACACTGAAAGAAATTTATTTTCAGATTCTATCAAAAAGGATGCAGGAAGTCAGCATAAATGATTAAGAGAAAGAGCCCCAAAGCAAGGATTCTGAAACTGACTTTTCACCCCAGTAAGTGCTAGTTATAAGTTTTGGGGGCCAGTTATAGCTGTAAGGTCCTGAGCCTTCATTTCTCTATCTGGAAAGAAAAATTTATGGAAAGAATTAAAGAATAAAAATCTGTGCAAAGGGCCAGGACAGTGCCTGGCACATAGTGAGTGCTCAATAAATACTAGCTATCTCTAATGGGAATCCTAGGAGAAAGACTTTCATCTCTTCTGATTAAGTTAGAAGGAAGTCAAATTAGAAGTGAGAGATTATCAGGAGTTGCCCTCTAAGGTTTCTGACGCAGAGTTGGCCAGAGTTCTATCACTGTCAGTGTATCAGTGGGCAAGCCCTAAATGAAGTTAAAGCACGTAAGGAATTAACCTGAAAAGTCCTGTCCACCTTTTAAAGAGAAATAAATTAGGAAAAATTGTGACTGATACTAAGTAGTCAAGGATTAGTGAGAAAAGCACCTGTTCATAACTCAACATTTCCATTTCTTCAAATTTTGCTCTAATAGAATTTTAATTTAAATTTTGGTGATAAAACCAGGTTTTATTGTTCTAATAAAACTAAGGAAGGTAATTAAATCATTAAATAACATGCATTTCTTATCAATACAGTCTATCCTTCAGGGATCAAGTGACAAATTGACGAAGCATTTTTCTTTTGAGGCTTTGGGGACTGGCTATGGGATATGAACATCTCTCAGAACAGCTCACAGGCCAAGGCTATTGTCTCATGGCACCAACATTTATTGAACTACCTGACTTCCTCCAAAACTTCTGAGAAACTGAATTAAGGAGGAAATGACACTGATGCAAGCCTAGATCTTATTCTTACTATAACAAGCCTCAATCTCAGTAAAACTCTTCCTTCACCCTTTCATTGCACAGCTATTTATTGAGCACCTGCTATGTGCCAGGCACTCATGAATGTGATGTTGAACATAACACATAAGGTCTCTCAAGTACAGTTACAGTCTATTATTCAAAGTAGCATGCAAATTAACATAGAATTACATCTGTGATAAATGGTATAAAGAAGTGGTGTCTGGTACTTTCCAAGTCAATGAATACAGGAAGAAACCAACTGGTTTTCCTCTCATACACCACTCTCAATACTTCACTTCAGACACAAGACATGTGGAATTTTTTCCATACCAACCAGTTCTCTGACATCAAATAGGTGTCCTACAATTCAATTCAATTCTGACACTAGTGCAGACTTAGCACAGACCTCATAAGTGAGGAGTTCAATCCCACATGACTTCCCCCCACTTCAGATGCTAGTCACAAGTGCCAGGTTGTGACCTGTACTCTTACCAACTGGCTATAAATTGAAGATTCCCACAACCCCCTCCTCAGGTTTAATCTTTTGCTAGAATGGCTCACAGAACTCAGGAAAACACTTAGGTATACTGGCTGATATAAAGATACTACAAAGGATACAGATGAACGGCCAGATGAAAGGATATGGAAGGCAAGGTTCAGAAGAGTCCTAAGCGCAGGACCTCCCTCCGCATGGAGCTGGGGTGCACCACCCTCCTGGTCATGGATGTGTTTTTGTTCACCAATGTGCAAGCTCTCCAAACCTCATACTTTGGGGATTTTTTATGGCAGCTTCATCATATAGTCATACTCAATTATTAACCCTATTTCGAGCTCCATTCCCCTCTGTCAGAGAATGGAGATGGGACTGAAAGCTCCAAGCTTACAATCATAGCTTGGACTTTCTGCATCCATCTAGGAGCCCACCAAGAGTTGCCTTACTGAACAACAACAACAAAAACACTCCTATCACCCAGGAAATTCCAAGAGATTTAGGAGCTCTGTGTCAGACACTCCTATCACTCAGGAAATTAGAAACTCTTTGGGGCTCTGTGTCAGGAACTGGGGATCAAAGACCAAATATTAGAAAAAAAAGACCCTCCTAAAGCACTCTCATCTACAAGAGTTTTAGGAGCTCTATGTCAGAAACAAGGGGGTAGAAACCAAAATATATTTATTATTATTTCAAATCAATAACAGAGCTGTGTAGTTTGAAACTCTATTGCACCAGGAAAGGCATCTTTGAGGACGCAACATTTTAGCTGAGGGCTAAAAGATAACCATTTGCTATTGAGTAAAGTAGAGTATGTGGGAAGAGTGTCAAAAAACAAAGGGAATAATAAGGGTCAAGATTCCGTAACAGGGAGAAACATGTCAATTCCAGGAAGACAAGAAGGGCTAGAGAACAGGGAGCTGAAGAGAGTGCAGTCTGAGAAGAGGCTGGAAAGGTGGGCAGGAGGCAGGCCTCCAGTGGCTTTGTATAAGAGCAAGCAGAAGGTATTGGGAGATCTTAAACTGAGGCTGAATATAGCATGGACAGATTTGTGCCTCATAAAGTTCACTATTTATTGGAGTAGGGAACAAGAAATGAGACTACTGCAGTTAAAGCTGTACTGGTTAAAAAAAAAAGAAACTTGTATCATGGTAGTGGTGGCAGAGATAGAGAAAATTGGTTAGATTCAAGAAACATTTAGGTGATAATTTGATAGCACTTGATGAGTCAGCTATGGAGAATGAGAAAAGGGAAGCCATTAAAGATGTCCCCTAGGTTCCTAATTGTGGGGTTGGATGGGTGATGTTGGTGTCACTCACTGGAGTAGGAAACAATGGAAGAGGAAGAGGGTTGGGGAAGGGGGTGATAAATCATAGATTCCATTGGGACGAGTAGAGTTTGAGGGCTTTTTAAGTATTTTAAAACTCTAAAACAGGGCCTGGAACACAATAGACTCTAGAAAAATATTCACTGATTTAATGAATGAAACTGTCGAAAAAAGGAAGTTGAATTATATGTCTGGGTCTAAATGACAGGTGTGGCTGGAGCAACAAGTTTGTGAGTCATTGGCCTACATGTAGTTAGAAAATTTGGATATTGAAGACGGTTCCTTAGAAGGGAATACAGTAGGAAGAAAAGAGAGCTACGGACTTAACGGAATTCCAAAATTTATGATTCAGTGAAATAGGAGAAATCTGCCAAGGAGACAGAGGAGGGGACAGAAAGGTTGGATGAAAGCAGGACAATGAGCTGACATGATGCCCAGTAAAATATGTTTCAAGCAAAAAGAAATCAATATATATTGGCATATCAAAAAGAGGTGACGAAAGTGTTTAATGAATGGATTATTTGCAAAGGGGTGAACAGTGTTAAGGAAAACCAGCACGGAATATTGAAGCACACCAGGGCCAGCAACAAGTTAGTCTTACCACCCCTAGGCTCAAAGGGGAATGAGGAGAGAGGGATTCTACCTGAATCCAGTAGAGCTGTAGCTGTCAGAGCGGGCTGCCCAGCAATTGCCAAACTAAGCCTGGTGGGGAATAAGCCAAGGGAATAAATACCCCGACCTTTCTCTCTTCTCTCTGATCTCCTCCCTGGACTTTCACTGGCCAAACCTAAACGTTACTCAGAAGGCATGGGGGCCTGTTGATGTAATCTGGGGCATAGAACAGGGTGGCAAGGATAAAGAACAGATCTAGAGGGGCAACAGAGACCATCCAACACAAGCAAACAGTGAAAGATTGAGGCTGAAAGGGCAAGTAAGATAAGGGCTGAAACATGTTCACCGGGAGGCAGAAGTCCTAGCTAACTTGGAGGTGTTGAGGACAGAGATGTTGTGTAAGTCTGAATGGAGTGGGTTGAGGAGTGAATGGCAGGTGGAGAAATGAAGAGATCTCACCAAGTTTGGCTGAAAATGGTGACAAAAGAGAGCCACCGCTGGAGGGTGATGTGAAATGAGAGAGATGGTGTGGATAATATTTCAAAGAGTCCACTGATATGTTCCTTGCATTCCCACCCTGCTCAGCACTCAGTGAATTTCCTTCCTCATACCCTGAGGGCTTTCCCTTATCCCAGCCAACCCAGTTAGATGTGAAGCACATACTGATTTGAGAGAAGGGGTCACTGTGAAACCAGGTAGACAATAGCAGCAAATTATGGTTCTTAAGTTCAAAAACAACTTGTCTGGGTGTAAGATAGAAAAACTCAGCCGGCAACTTGTAGAACCAGTTTATCCTACTCTCTGCAGCTGAGATAAAAGACCCTCTGGGCTGCTTTACCCATACTCACCTCTCACACCTTGGGCTGAATCTGACACACCCTCCCTTAGTTGGGACAGAATATTAGAGAGGAGTCATGCCTCACGCCAAAGTGCGACCCAGGAACGTGGTGGATGTCTTAGAATAGTCGCCCATGCATCCTGTGCAGCAGCTGTGTAGTAGAGAGATGTCTGTCATTTTGGCAGCCCACAGAACATCTGTCATTTTGGCAGCGCACAGAACATCATCCTACTTCATCACAGCAATGACATTATGCTAACTGTACCCCTGCTAAGTGGACCTCGGAAGCAGCAAGAACCCTGGATTCCCTGGTATCTTTAATTCTCAACATGGACCTCAGGACACCAGTTATAGAAAGAGGGACTATAAAAGCCACCCTGTATATTAATTGATGGGCTCCTACCCCTTTTCCTCATACTATGTATGAAGAACATTGGTGGTGTCTAATGCTTTAGATTTCAGAAGAAAGTACAACCAAATTTTAGCATATGTGGAAAATGGAAAATAAAGAAGTTTTTTTTAAAAAAAAGGTATGACCAAATTGACATCACTGCACAACAACATGGTACCTGACGGGACTTTACGTATTTCCAGTGTCAGAGACATGAGCCTTTCACCTCAAGGAAGGGAAGGAAGGGATGCTATGGGGCAGAAGGGTGGATTTTGCTTGACACCTTCCACTTACTTTTCCAGATTCATTGTCTTCCCTTCCCTACCCTTGTGGAAACCTGAATAATGGCCCCCAAAGATATCCAGATCACAATCTCTGGAACCTGTGAATGTTACCATCTATGGCAAGAGGAAGTATGAAGATGTGATAAGGGTAGACTATCCTGGATTATCCCATGAAGCCCTAAATGTGATCACAGTGTCTTTACAAGAGGGAGGCAGAAGAAGATTTGCTGACTGTGAGAAATAAGCGAGAGAAGCTGTATATCTGCTGGCACTGAAGATAAAGGAAGGGGCCATGAGCCAAGGAATGCAATGAATGAAGCTCTTGACTCTAGAATAAAGGCAAGGAAACTCATTCTCCCTTAGAAACTTGCAGGAGCATAGATCTGCTGATACCTTGATTTTAGCTTTCTAGGGCTCATTTCCAACTTTTGGCCTACAGAACTGTAAGAGGATAGACTTTTGTTGCTTAAGCAACCAAATTTGTGGTAATTTGTTACAGCAGGAATAGAAAACGAATACAACTCCATTCTCTGCCCTGAAGATGCTGACCTGCTTCGACTAAATTGAAGGTCTTTTGCCCTCTGATTTCTGGTTTTGTTTGGCCTGAAAATGTTTAGTTGGTCTTATCCAGGATTGAGGTTTTTTTGTAGTAGATTCAAGGATATATTGGAGCTGGTTTGTACCAGCTTGCAAGAACCAATTGTGTGCATCTCTTCCAAACCCATGTTCAGTTGCATCCTAGTGATAGCTTGAAATCATTGACAGTAGGAAAATTTACACCAAGAAAATTAGCAAATGGTACAAATCAATACATGCACACCCAAGCTTCCTGTTGAACATTTACAAGCACTCTACTAAACAGGTTCAATGAAAAGAGAAAGAGAGAAAAGAGATTATGATATTTGGAAGAGAATTACTAATTTTTTTAAAACATGCTGTATAATAAGTGGGCTGATGGATTCAAAGAATGTAGAGAAAGTAAAGGACTGGGTCACTCATTAAGATTAAAGACCAATGTAGTGAGAGGAGTGAAAAAGTCATCTGCTATTTATAGTTCAAAACCAAGAAGAAAACAAAACACTGTATGATTTAAAGATATCAACATGTGCTAAAACAATCTAGAAAGGCAAAGAATTGATAAGCACAAAATTCAGGTGTGGTTACCTCTAGAGATCTATGGAAGGAGATACAGGGCTGCTAAGGTCCTTATGATGATATACTTCTTAACTGTGGTGGACACATGGTGTTCATTTTACTACTATTTTAAAAACTTACAGCTATGTTTCATATACCTTTTTTGTAGGTATGGCTTACTTCAATTTGGTATTCCTAAAGTTTGTTTACAATGGTTTTAGGCTGGCTATTATACAGACTCAAATATTTTAATTGAGAGTGAATATCATTGAATGGTAAAGAATTTGGGCTTTGCAGTCAGACACAAGGTCCAATTCTGAGTCTTCCAATATCAGTTACATGACATATATACACCATGGAATACTACTCAGCCATAAAAAGGAATATAATAGTCTTTTGCAGCAACTTGGATTTCACCATTTTGGCCAGGCTGGTCTCAAACTCCTAACCTCAGGTGATCCACCTGCCTCAGCCTCCCAAAGTGCTGGGATTACAGGCATGAGCCACTGCACCCTGCCTGAACAGACACTTTTCAAATGAAGACATACATACAGTCAACAATCATATGAAAAAAAAAAGCTCAACATCACTGATCATCAGAGAAATGCAAACCAAGACCACCAGATACCATCTCACACTAGTCAGAAAGGCTATGATGAAAAAGTCAAAAAACAACAGATGCTGGCAAGGTTGTGGAGAAAAAGGAATGTTTTTACACTGTTGGTGGGAGTTTAAATTAGTTCAAACATTGTGGAAGACAGTGTGGTGATTCAACCCAACAATCCCATATACCCGAAGGAATATAAATCATTCTATTATTAAGACACACGCAAGCATATGTTCATTGCATCACTATACACAATAGCAAAGACATGGACTCAACCTAAATGCCCATCGGTGATAGACTGGATAAAGAAAATGTAGTACATATACACCATGGAATACTATGCAGCCATAAAAAAGAACAAAGTCATGTCCTTTGCAGGAACATGGATGGAACTGGAGGCCATAAACCTTAGCAAACTAACACAGGAACAGAAAACCAAATACTGCATGTTCTCACTTATAAGTGAGAGCTAAATGATGAGAACACATGGACACATAGAGGGGAATAACACACACTGGGGCCTATCAGAGGATGGAGAGTGGGAGGAGGGAGAGGATCCAGAAAAACAGCTAATGAGTATGAGGCTTAATACCTGATGATGAAATAATCTTTACAAAAAACCCTCATGACACAAGTTTACCTATGTGACAAATTTGCACATGTACCCCTGAGCTTCAAATAAAAGTTAAAAAAAGAAAATTTAAAAATTAGTTACTCGACATTGGACAAAATATTTTTCACTTCACAAATGTTCATTGAGTACTAACCATATTCCAGACACCAGTCTACATGGTGGGGATACAATGATTCCGAAGACAGACAAGCTGCAATCACAGATACAGTTCCCTGTTGTTGAGGAGTTTACACTTTAGCTTCTCTGAACCTCAGTTTTTATTGAGGACTGGAATTTTTGAAGACTAAATGAGTTAATTTTACAGGCATTAGCATAGGGTATGGTACTTGGTAAATACTCTGTCAGTGGTGGCTACCTTTACAATTAATACGTATGAGGAAGCAAAATGATCCTTCATTTATATGCCAACACTGGGAAATAAGATGTTCCATATAAATGAATTTTTCCAGAATTTAATACTTCATTGTCTAGGATTTATATATATATGTATAACATACATATAGTAAGTGCACAAATCTTAAATAGGTCTATATTTTTATGTAAGTATATACCTATGTAACTGCCATTGTAGATCACAATACAGAACATTTCCAGAACTCCACAGAGATTCCTAAAACTTTCTGATTTTTCACATTTTTAATAGTCAAATTACTGAAAAGTTCTACAAATTTCTGAAACATCTTGTATTTAGGAAAGAAGGACCAGAAACATAACCATGTCTTGATGGCTATTGCCAAAGGCTATTTTTCCTTCATTTTCCCCCTTACAATCTGATTGGTTTATTTTTAATCAAACTAATACATGCTCAAAATATAAAGTTTCAGCTACTTCAGTGTAATTTGCTCTCTCATTTTCTTCTTTTTTATTCTGTATCTCTTTTAGATATACAAACAGAACATAAACACCTTCTCTTTGTAAAAGGTTGGATACATTTATCTCTGATTTTTGGTAGGGCTGACCATCTCTTTCCTAGAGAACATTATACCTTTCTTTTAAGGTCCAAACTTTCTTATTGTGTGTTGCTTTTAATTTGTTGCACAATGATAAATACATTACTACTGATAACTGCATATTAAATAAGAATCAACATGGTGCTAATGGTCAACAAAGCCCAGTGAAGGACTCTGTAGTACTAAATTCTGGGACATCTGCTTTAGGGCTTCATAGGGATTTTGTTTGCTTGTTTGTTTTTAATTATCTTTTTTCTCTTCCATGAGAAGCTTTGCATATGTTGGGCTTGAGATAGAGTGTCCTTACATACTGACTTATTTATCCTTGTAGCATCCATGCAAGACTAGTAATAATTTGATTCCTTCTGATAGATGGGGAATGAGACACACTGCATAAAGGCTGGCCTCACACCAGAGCAGCATTCTTTTTTTTTTTTGAGACGGAGTCTCGCTCTGTCGCCCAGGCTGGAGTGCAGTGGCGGGATCTCGGCTCACTGCAAGCTCCGCCTCCCGGGTTCACGCCATTCTCCTGCCTCAGCCTCCCAAGTAGCTGGGACTACAGGCGCGCGCCACTACGCCCGGCTAATTTTTTGTATTTTTAGTAGAGACGGGGTTTCACCGTTTTAGCCGGGATGGTCTCGATCTCCTGACCTCATGATCCGCCCGCCTCGGCCTCCCAAAGTGCTGGGATTACAGGCGTGAGCCACCGCGCCCGGCCCAGAGCAGCATTCTTATCCAATGTCTTTCCCCTCCCAGCTGGGCACTTGAGATTTTAGAAATATCTCTTTTCACTTCTTTAGGAACCAAGTAAAACTGAGAGTTGACAATTATCTGAACAGCCAGCTAATCCCAGCAATTATTTCCTTTAGGATGGACTGTGGTCCACTGGAGATATACTCCAGATGACTATTTAATCTTGACTAATTTCCTTCTGTTCAGCCATGGATAATTCTAGACTTCAGATCACATTAGGGGATGAATTACTGGAATGGGATGGATGCACTGTGTATGCAGCACAAATTTCTGAGTGGGTGCAGCCTGCCCAAATGTAACCCCTAAGGCTGTTTGTGGATACTCGTCCCAGCAGGTTTATTTAATTCTTAAACAGAAATAGAATAAATAAAATATTAAGACTACACTTTGGGAATGTATGAATCTCACATTCATTCATTCATTCACAACTTGCTATGTGCCAGGCACTGTGCTTGGAGGTTCAGGTAACTCCTAAGAACACCTGGGCCATCCCTTCCTGCCACTTCTGGATGGATATGCTTTCTTGGCTTGGTTTCATTTCTCTTTTCTCAGAAGCCTATCATCTCCATGCAGTATGGACCCAGTTTAATCTTGGCTTGGAAATAAGCTCATTTTTCTCCCCATTTATGGAAGGGATTCTCCACAGAAAAGAGGTGATGTTGCTTGCTGGGCTGCTGGGGAGAGATCATCACACTGCCTGAGATGGCTTTTCTCCCCTCTGCAGATTCGTAGAGTCCCACTTGGACTCCAGAGTCCCATTGAGAGTATGACAGCAATGTTTATGTGCAATTCTAATGCTGGTTTTAGCAGCATAAGTGCTTTTTAATGCATAGCACTACAGCGAGTGGGCCCTATTCTCTCAGCCTCTGAATAGCTGTCTAGAGGGGCGTAATTCCCAGCTCTGCCTCCAAGCACAGTTATTTACAAGCTCAGTTACACGTTTACGTCAAGTGTGGTGAACGCCGGGATGGAGACAGGCTGAGTTTAAAGCAATTTGGCAAGTCTTTATTTCCTGCATAATCACTCAGGTCCCTCAGCGGCCCCTGACCAGAGCGTCTGTTCACATATGTCAAAGGGAGCCTGGGAATTCGGGGAGACTGGCTGCAGGAGTAGAATTCCTTCCTTCTACCTCTCTCCCTCCAAGGTTCCCCACTGGCCTTTTAGTTGCCCGTTAGATCTCCACTTAAACCAAGATTCTCAGCCCAAATCTGCGTACTGGTTTCTACCTCCACAGCCTTCACCCCGTCTGGAATTCTGTTAAAGTGTTTAAACTTCCTGTCCCACGCTGGCCCCCGGTTTCCATCCTCTGCCCCAATCCAGCCCCAGAAAATCAGACTCATTTTTTAAAAGAAAAAAATCAGATACTGATACTACTCTGCTGAAAATCCTCCAGTTACTTCCCATCAAACTTGGAAATAAATCTCTTTACAAGCACCTACGAGGCCCAGCAGGATTTGGTTTCTGCCTGCTTCATATACCCATCGCAGGCTCCCTTCCCCCACCGCTCACTACCACCCAGTCACATTGGCTTCCTGGCTATTCCTCAGACACACCAAGTGTGTTCCTACCTCAGGGCCTTTGTATGTTCTAAGCTCAGAACACGTTATCTCTGCCTCTCCCATGGCTGCCTCTTCATTGCTCAGGTCTGAGCTGAAACCTTACTTCTTTAAAGAAGCCTTCCCTGACCATCCAGTCTGAATAATCATTTCTTTCTCCCAGTTACTCTCCACTCTACTATCCTTTATTTTCCTCAAAACACTAAACATTATTTTAAAAAATCTTACTTATTTGATTATTTATGCACTTTTCTGTCTGCCCCACTAGAATAGAAAATCTAAGAGAGCAGGAATCTCAACTATTATAATTACCATGGCCTGGCACATACTGAATGCTCAATAAATACTTATCAAATAAGTGAACTTTCTTACCAAAGTATTAACTGATGCATGTTGTCTTATTGTTATTGCTATTACTGACAGTGCTGTTTTGTCTGTGACTATGACCTTTTTCTATATAGTCATCTTAAAATAAATGAAATTGGGTCAGCATGATTTATTTTTCCTTCATTTTCCCCCTTACAATTTGATTGGTTTATTTTTAATCAAACTAACACATGCCCAAAATATAAAGTTTCAGCTACTTCTATAATATATGTTGTTTAAAACATAAACTAAAACAAGCCAGGTGTGGTGACTGATGCCTGTAATCCCAGCTACTCAGGAAGCTGAGGCAGGAGGACAGTTTGAGGCCAGGAGTTTGAGACCAGCCTGGGAAAAATAGTAAGATACTGTCTCTAAAAAAATTAATAAAATAAAATAAAACAAAACAACAGACTTTTCCTCATCTCTTTCTTCCTCCTTCCCACAGGCAACCATGTTTTCCTGTTTTTGCTGATTATTTTCTGATTATTTTAGGATTTTCCTCTATGTTTCTAAATAACATATCTATATTGCTGATTCATGATTTTTCATTTTTAGGCATTATTTGTTGACTACTCTCTATCAAAGATGCTAATTTATTGAGCTCTCACTATGAGAGATGGGGGTTTAGGTCTCTTTCCTACTCCCTGGCCAACCATATATATGTGCCCTTCTCAGCCATGAGCCTTCCACTAGAATAATCTTAGTTTTGGTGAAATTAATATTCCATGTTTACATTATTACAGCCAAAGCATAGAATAAAATAAGAATATTTTCCTGTCCTGCACAACCTCTGGTCACCAAGCAGGTGCCCAGGTATTCCTATCCAAGATCCATTTGTCTTCACAGGAACTGGAGAATTGGAGATTCCTCCTTGGACTTCAGAATTGTGATGCAGCTTGGACATTCCGTCTGTGGAAAGCAAAAACGCAAAACTCTGCTTAAGTCAGTCTCCCATGCCTTGACACGTTCGCTCATCCAAATCACTGAAACTTGGGAAATTGGTTCAGAAGCACATCTGATTATGTGTCTCATGTATTCACACTGTGACACCATCATGCAGGATCCCTCTCTAGGGGGCTCTTCTCCATGGAAGCCTGAGGTTGTTGACAAACATTGTCATCAAGAGATGTAGCTTCTAGTGCACAGCTTTGTGGTCCTAGGCTTGGCTAATGCAAGTTCTTCAGTAGGAGGCTCTGAAGAAGGGCCATTTGGTCATTTGGTTCCCATTGGAGTTAAACAGAACTTATTCTAGAATAGTACAACTCTTTCCCAATCACTTGTGTTATGAGCTGAATTGTGTCTCCCCAAAACTCATGTATTGAAGCCCTAAACCCCAGTGTGACTGTATTTGGAGAAAGGAACTTTTAAGAGGTAATTAAGGTTAAGTGAGAGCATAAGGATGGGGCCCTAATCCAATAAGACTGGCATTCTTGTAAGAAGAGGAAGATACACCAGGGGGCCTCTGCACATAGATAAGGCTATGTGAAGACATAGATAGAAGACAGCCATCTGCAAGACAAGGACAGAGACCTCAGGAGAAGCTGAGCCTGCCATTACCTTGATCTTGGACTCCATTCTTCAGAACCATGAGAAATAAATTTCTGTAGTTTAAGTCACCCAGTCTGTGGAATTTTGTTATGGCAGCTACAGCTGACTAATACACCTTGTGATGTCCATGGCATTTTAGAGCCAAGAAGGGCTCACTGTGGCAGAGAGGAACATTTACTCCTGCCCAATTTACTCAGCCCCTACAATTTCTTGGGGGCTGATTATTTGATTATTTTAGGATTTACCTCTATGTTTCTAAATAACATATTATATTGCTAATCCATGATTTTCTCATTTTTAGGCATTATTTGTTGACTACTCTCATCAAAGATGATAATTTATTCAGCTCTCACTATGATAGATGGGAGTTTAGGTCTCTTTCCTACTCCCTGGCCAACCATATATATGTGCCCTTATATCAGCCCCAACCCCTTTTCTGGACCATACTGGGTCCACACTGGGACCATACCCCTTTTCTGGTGTATGCATATGCTGAGTGGAATTTAGAATCTCTTTCTTACCGACCTACATGCTGCTCAACTGCTTTTTCTACACAAGTAGAAGTATTTCACTTTTAGAATTCATCTTGATTCCTGAGGATTTACATGCTGAGTTACTTCAAGTTGAAGGAAGCCAGAATTTGTATGGACCTCATGCCTCCACCCAGGGTGGAATTTACAGCATTATAAAGGCTTTTCATGGCCTTTGTAAAGTTTTAAAACTGTTAAATTTTAACAACTCAGGTTGTAGGTTCATAGAGACACCCTATAAGTATTCTCATAATGAGCAATGAATTTTCTTCTGGAAATGGATAGAAGCTCATTTCTGTTGGGTGCAGTTTCATCTTTTCTAAGGAAGCCATTTTTCATTTGTCATAGGATTTGAAATTTTAAAAAATTGTCTAGAGTTGTATAGCATAGCTGTCTTAATCACAAATAAATTGGCTTTTAAATGCCATTCACATACTTTCTCATACCTCAGCTTGAGTTGACTTTTTATTATTTGCTTCATTTTTTATCAATGTAATACATGTATGTTTTTTAAAAATTGCACTTTATCAAAAAGGAAACAATGGCCCTTTATCCTAGCCACCTCCATCCTCATTTCTGTTTCCCCAACACCAGCATTTGTTTTTTACTTGTTTAAGCTATTTTTTTCTACTAGTTACTTCTATATTTCCAGATAATGTGCTTCTACCACTATTTCAATGATTTATCCACTGTTGACATTATCTATTGATTATGGTGTTAAGATTAATGGATGTTTAACTTTCTTAGGCTGTCCCCTCCTCACCCATCCATGTCCTCCTAATATAGTTATTTCACCATTTTTGTTAAATCAATAATAGGTAGCTTACATCATTATGACACAGTAAACGTGTCCTCTCCAAAGCAAAGGAAGGTGCATAACTACATTTCCTCTCTTGTATAGTGTTTTGTCTTGTCTGGTGTCTCATTGCCTTACTCATTTCCTGCTGTCTTTCTGTCATTAGCATACCCATAGCATGTGTTTACATCATAATATCAGGAATTGCATTGAGTCCCCTCTTTCCGGAAGACCCCTTTCCCAGATCCCCCTCTCCAATCTGCACCAAGTACACTCTGGACCTGCTGCACAGTCGCTGTCCTGGAAAGTCCGTCCACTGCTGTGCTGGGTTGACTGCCATCCTCCTGCATGCAGTTACTACTCTCGTCTTGTTTCACCTCTAGTTTTACTCAAGCACATCTAAGAGGAGAAGGTATCTGTAACTTTGCATGTAATAAAATGTTGTTATTTTTCTCCTCACGTTTGATTGGTAGTCTGATGAATGTAGAATTCTAGGTTGAAAATAATTTGCCTTCACATTTTTTGAGACACTGTACCACTGTATTCTTTTTTTTTTTCTGAGTCAGGGTCTCGTTCTGTCACCCAGGCTTGAGTGCAGTGGCACAATCTCTGCCTCCTGGGGTTCAAGCGATTCTCATGACTTAACCCTTAGCCTCCTGAGTACCTGGGATTACAGGTGCAGGCTACCGCTCCTGGCTAATTTTTGTATTTTTAGTAGAGATAGGGTTTTGCCATGTTGGCCAGGCTGGTCTTGAACTCCTCAGCTCAAGTTATCTACCTACCTCGGCCTCCCAAATTGCACCATTATATTCTAATATCTAATAGTACTGATGCTGAGGAGTTTGTTGCCATTTTGATTCTTGTTTTTTCTACATGTTCTTTTTCTTTCTGCTCTGGAAGCTTTTAGGATTGTCTTTTATCCCTGAGTTTCTGAAAATTCATGATAAAATTATTAATGTGAGCCCTCTTAAAATTAATTATTTTGGAAACTTAGTGCTGAAACTAGCTGAAGGTCACTAGGTAAGGCTTGCTGACTGGTGAGCCCTGCTTTAGACTGAGCAAGCAGGGCTGCTGGGGCACCCCTAGGTGTCAACACACAGGACCATCCAGAGAAAAACCTCTGAGCCACATGATGGAGTGGACACCTGATCACTGACATTCTCTAGATGAGGTGGTGGGTGATGGAAGACCAGGGTTGACTGATGTGAGTTCATCTTTAGTGTTAATCCCCTGTCTTCAGCCCTATGCCTCCTCACTTCTTAAATGGCACCTCCCAGTTACTCCCCAGGATCCTAAGGGCAAATTGGCTCTCTGTTCAATCCACACTTCAGGCAATGGCTTCCCTCTCTGCTTTTCTATTTACCTTCCAGCATCTAAAATTAAGTTTCCTGTCACTGATGTCTTCTCTATCAATCCCTGTGACCTTGTTGGTTTATATATTATATTTCTTTAACAGAGTCTTAGGAAGGAGAGTACATAATCCTCCACGTCTAACGCTTTACCTTTAATAAAAAGACAGACTGAGTTAAGTCATATTTTTAAAATACAGTCATTATATGATTCCTTTTATAGGAAATATCCAGAATAGGCAAATCATAGAGACAGACAATAGATTAGTGGTTAGCAGGGGCAGCGGGGAGGATGGAATGAGTAGTGACTGCTCAATGGCTATGGGGCTTCCTTTCAGGGTGACAGAAACATTCTGGATTAAATAGAGGTGACAGTGTGAATGTACTTAACGCCACTAAATTATACATTTTTAAATTGTTAAAATGGAAGTTTTATATTACATGTATTTTACCACAATAAAAAAAATACATAGTAAAAAATATACAGTGACCATGGAGAGCTTACAAAAGATTTTCACAAACAGTATATTCAGGTTATGCTGCCATTAGAGTCCTGTTGTTCTGTAATTGGTGGTAATATCCTTTACCATGGAAATTTAAAAATACCAGCCTTCCCCATTTAGATTTTTAAAAATCAACTCATATTTGGATACTCCCAGTTGTTGTTGTTGAAACAGTGGTCTTACTCTGTCACCCAGGCTGGAGTGCAATGGCTCAATCACAGCTCACTGCATCCTTGACCTCCTGGACTCAAGCAATCCTCCTGCCTCAGCCTCCGAAGAAGCTGGGACCACAGTCATACACCACCCTGTCCAGCTTATTTATTTATTTATTTAGTAGAGATGGTGTCTCCCCATGTTTCCCAGGCTGGTCTTGAACTTCTGGGCTCAGTCGATCCTCCTATCTTAGCCTCCCAAACTGTTGCGATTACAGGCATGAGCCACCACACAAGTCCTATTCCCAATTTTGACTTTTCCTCCACAATTATTTAATTTCTGACACCTGATGTCTCTTAGCTATCCTAAAACCAAATAAAAGATGTTCTCTTATTTACTGTAAGAATAGATATATAGAATTATTTCAAGTGTAAAATATCAGTATCTCTTGTCATTCCACAAAGAGCCCAAGCCACCCCTAAATTTTCTCTCTTTCATTTGCTTAGAAAGTATAATACTCAGCTGTTAATCAAATGAACAAATAAAATAGCAGCTTTTTATGAAGAGTTATTGTAAAACTACGAACTATTTCATTAACTAAATCAGAAAATGCAAATAGCAACTTAGCTATTGAGCAGCCTTGGGTGTTTGGAAGAAACAGGCCCACACATCTGGGAAGTGATAATTCACTGAACAAAGGTGGCCAGATTTCCCTGACCTCATCAACCCCAGGGATCCTGGGATGAGAACCCTCCAGCTCTGACCAGAGGCCAGTCCCCCTTCCTGGTGCCCCTCTGACCAGCCTGACCTGTGCTGTCTTTAGGTCATCCTCACACTGGCTTAAAACCAGCTAACATTGATTGAGCAGTTAGTACATATTAAGAGCTTTAAATGGACCATCTTTTTGAAACCTCACAACAAATTATTGTTCCTCTTTTACAGATGAGAAAGCTGAGGCCTGGGGAAGTTAACTAATCTGCCCAAACCTTTATAGGTAGTAAATGGCAGGGCCTGAAGGTAAACCCAGGCAACCTGCCTCCAAAGCCTAGCCTTGTAACTATTAGGTAATATCTTCCCTTTTGCAAATTAGAACCTACAATTTCAGACCCCATGGTCACTGTACAGCTTACATATGTTTTTTAAAATCATAAAGCCTCTGGAGGAGCAATTGTCATGGGACCCCAATTTTCCTCATAATGTCACATTTATGTGTGGTGCCAACAAAATAGAGTTGTCAGGAGGAGGAGGGAGCCCAGGTGCAGCTCTCTCTGAAGTACTCTGGCATGTTCATGGGATGGCCTTCCCTGGCCCTAAGAGGATGGAGCTTCTGCAGGCTATGGCTGTCTGTCCAGGCCTGCACAGGCCGCCTATCTGGCTCGGTCGCCTCACACTCCTGTGATGGGAACTGAGGGGCCGGTGACAGGCTCGCTACTTCAGGGCATGTGGAAAGGGCTAGGTCGGCCAAGTTGCTCAAACTTTTCACAAGGTCAGGAGAGAGTGCCAGCCACTCCTTATACCTGCTTCTCGGGCGCCTTTTTCCCTGCCCTTAACCACAGTTGTACCCAGGGCACTGACTGCTCATACCTCCCTGGGTGGGCTCATCCATCCACAGGGATTCAACTACCAACTGTATGCAGAGGACCCTAAATTTCCCACTCCAGCCCAGATCGCTCCTGACCTGTCCCCCCAGTTACAGATCCCCACGTCTACCAGCCCAATGAATACAGCAACCTAGGTGCCCTCCAAAGTCATCATCTGCCTCACAAACTCTTCCTGTTGTGTCCCTAACCTCTGTGACAGGCACTCCCACTCCCACCCCACTCAAATCTGATGAAAAATCTGGAACTCATCACAGCCCACTCACTCTCGAGTCTTTTCAGCTCCATCCGCCGCCTGCTGCCCATCGTACGTGTCTGTTCTCCTAGATGCACAGCCACCCACTGGCCTCCTGCCTCTGGCACCCCTGCTGCCCTCTATCAGGTCTCCTGGCTGACTCACTAGGTCTCCTGAGCTTCTCCAAAATGGGGAAGGCAGGATAATCTGTTTAGGTAATGGCAGAAAATGTTAGAATCTTTATAGATTATCTCAATAGATAAATTCAATATGAATTATTGATAATCTATATTTAACTTGAATCTGAAAATATAAGAAAAAAATAGCCTTTTAATATATAGGTTGACACTGTCACCCTTGCTGGTCCACTTGTCATGTAGGGATCTCACGGTTCCCCAATGAGTGCCCCACGGGGTCGACAGTGGCATCCTCACTGGAAACTTCAGCTGTTATGTGTTCACATGTGCCCAGGTAAATAGAATTATGGACTAGATTCTAGTTACTACTGATGCAAGCACACGTGAGCAATGAGAAAATGAAAGGGTGGACCCTGTATACCTAGGACAAGCTCATCTGCAGCCATAATACCAGGTCATAAGGGTGGCAGGCTGACCAGATCTGACATGAAGCTGGCATTAAAAATAAAGTTGAAATGGCTGGACGCTGTGGCTCACGCCTGTAATCCTAGTACTTTGGGAGGCTGAGGCAGGCGGATCACCTGAGGTCAGGAGTTCGAGACCAGCCTGGCCAAAATGGTGAAACCCCGTCTCTACTAAAAATACAAAAATGAGCTAGGCATGGTGGCAGTCGCCTGTAGTCCCAACTACTCGGAAGGCTGAGGCAGGAGAATTGCTTGAACCCAAGTGGCAGAGGTTGCAGTGAGCCAGGATCGTGCCATTGCACTCCAGCTTGGGCGACAGAGTGAGACTCCGTCTCAAAAAAAAAAAAAAAGTAAAGTCGAAATTGTGAAAAAGACTATTTATAATATTAATTTTATACTCATTATTGTTTAAAATAGACCTCGCCTCAGGAGCATATTATAATTTTAGCTGGTACCTAACACTATCATATTAGAAAAAAATCTATAATTTCTTGAGTAGTGTTTAAGTCATAGGAAACATAATATAATACTTTATAAAATTTCAATTACTTTGGTAAGTATTTAAAGGCTTCTCTTGAGCTTTCTTAATATATAACTACAGACTTACCTATTATCATTCAGAAGTAAATGAACAATTTACTCATGAATTTGAGGATACAGGCTCAAATTGGTTTTCACTGATAGAAAGGTGAATTAAAGAGAGGTTTGGAGACCTCAGTTCAGCTAACTTATGTCCTACCTCCGTCACAGGAAATACAGCACACAGGCCAGGAGCTGTGGCTTGCACCTGTAATCCCAGCACTTCGGGAGGCCAAGGTGGGTGGATCACCTGAGGTCAGGAGTTCAAGACCAGTCTGGCCAACATGGCGAAACCCCATCTCTACTAAAAATACCAAATTAGCTGGGTGTGGTGACCCCAGCCGTGCGCCTGTAACCCCAGCTACTCAGGTGGCTGAGGCAGCAGAATCTCTTGAACCTGGGAAGTGGAGGTTGCAGTGAGCCGAGATTGCACCATTGCACTCCAGCCTGGGCAAAAAGAGTAAAACTCTGTTTAAAAAAAAAAAGAAATACAACACACACACACATCAGGCTCCTGTTGTCTAAACATGTCGCTCCCTAAACCTAAACATCAACCTCCTTGCTTCACCCAGGTGTGTACTTTTATGTCCAGCCCAGCTATGCTGTCAAACTCATTTTAATAAAGGAACTAGAAAAAATTTTGTCAAAGCCTGCCTAAGATAGCACAAAAAGAAAATACAGACTAATTATTCTATAGATGTGATAAGCACATCTTAAATAAAATATAAGCAAATCGAATATAATAATTCTTTACATGAACAACCCATGGAAAAGTTGAATTCATTCAGGAATGCAAGGAAGGTTAAAGATTAGAAAATAATATTTTCATATAATTCATTATATTAAAAGATCAAATGAAAAAGAATAATGTGATCACCCTGATAGATGTAAAGAAAACACTTGACAAAATTTAATACGAATTACAGTAAAAATTTGTAGCAAAATATAAATAGATAAAAATTTCTTTAACTTGATCAATGTGCAGACATGCTTGCTTGTATATATACAAATGTGCACATATATGTGTATACCAATATATGTGTGCACACATAAACACATACTTCAAAAGCTAGCATTATGTTTAATGTCAAAGTACTAGAAGACATACTATTGGAACAGACACAGTATCACTATTTTAAGTTCTATGATTTTCTACGTGAAAAAAACCAAGAGAATCAACTGAGAAATATTAGAAACAATATAATATAGTAAGATTAATGGCTGCAAAGTTATAAAAAGTAATTTTTCTGTATTCAATCAGTTACAAAATATATTGAAAATTATTGCATTTAATATTACAACCAAAATCATCCTTTTACTCCCATCTCTTCAAAAAGGAATAAACTTCGAAATAAGTGTGAAAGATCAAGATGAGGAAAATACTTTTACTTATTTCTGAAGAAAGGCAACAAAAAATTTAATGAATACAAAGGACTACTATTCACAATAGCAAAGACAGGGAATCAACCCAAATGCCCATCAATGATAGACTAAACAAAGAAAATGTGGTACATATACACCATGGAATACCAAGCAGCCATAAAAAGGAATGAGATTATGTCTTTTCCAGAGACATGGATGGAGCTGGCAGCCATTATCCTAAGCAAACTAACACAGGGACAGAAAACCAAACACTGCATGTTCTCACTTATAAGTGGGAGCTGAATGATGAGAACACATGGACACACAGCAGGGGGAACAACACACACTGAGGCATGGTCAGGGGTAGGGAAAGCATCAGGAAGAATAGCTAACAGATGCTGGGCTTAATATCAAGGTGATGGGTTGATTTGTGCAGCAAACCACGATGGCACAGGTTTACCTGTGTAACAAGCCTGCACATCCTCCACATGTATCCCAGAGCTTAAAATAAAAGTTGAAAGAAAAAGAAAAAAGAAAATAAATCTGTAAAAATAAATAAATAAATAAACTAATAATAAAAATAAAAAACGACATGACTGACTTTTAAAAAAAAAAAAAGGAGTATATTCCTATGGATGGGAAGATTAATGAATGAAGCTCATTCTTCCTAAGTGGACTACATTGAGTGTCATCCCAATCAAAATACCTGCAGCATTTTTTATTCAACAGAATCATATATGTTTAATGATAAAATTAATAAATAACAATAGCCAGAAAGTATCTGAAAAGGAAAATGACAGAGATTAAGCCAACCACATATTGAAATATATACTCAAACTACAGCAATTAAAACTCACATAGGATTTGACAGAAGAGTGAATGGAACAGAGCAGAGAATTGAAAAAAAAAATAGACCCAACAGACGTGGGAGTTTTGTACATGATAAAGCAGCATTTCAAATCAGTAAGAGAAAGATGGATTTTTCAGTAAACAGTGTTGGGACAACTGGCTAGCCATTTGGGAAAAAATAAAGCCTGATCTCTATTTCACTCCTTACATTAACTTGAATTCCAGATGGAGCAAAGATTTAAACATTAAAAAGATAAAACCATAAAAGCACTAAAAGGATTTTTTTTTTTTTTATGTAGAGGGAAGGCCTTTCTAAGCGTGGCACAAAACCCATAAACCATAATGGAAAAAGAGACTAACAAAGTTGCCTATGTACATTTTAAAGCCTCTAAATTTAGCGATAACTATTTAAATTTTAAAAGACCATTCATTTTGACCTAGCAATTACATTTCTCAAATTTATCCTCTAGCTATACTCATAAATTTGCACCAAAAAAAGAAAAGAAAGAGAATCCTATATGTAAGGATGTTCACTACAAGATTATTTACAATAGCAAAAAGAACTGCAACAACCTAAACATCCATCAATAAGGGACTAGTTAAGTAAATTATAGTACAAGCGTAGGATGAACTACATGGAGCCATTTAAAAAGGAACATGGGGCAAAGGGTGGGAGGGGGGCGAGAGATAAAAGGCTACAAATAGGGTGCAGTGTATACTGCTCGGCTGATGGGTGCACAAAAATCTCACAAATCACCACTAAAGAACTTACTCATGTAACCAAATACCACCTGTACCCCAATAACTTATAGAAAAATTTAAAAAATTTTTAAAGGCACAAAAAAGGGAACATTGTAAATCTTTTAAGTACACTAATGGAAAGCAATTCAAAATGCTATTAATTTAACAGACACACAATGCAAATCACAAATGGGGTCATTATATACACTCCTTGTAACATAAGCATTTGCAGTACCTTGTAATTTACAAAAACTTTATACCCATTATCGATCCATTATATCTCCTTTCTCCTAAGATTACAGCCTCTTTTTCTAGCAACTTTTCCCCTCAGCAGGTAGAATGTGTTCCAGGGCAGTGCTCTCAAGCATATTTGACCGCACAGCACAGAGGGAAGACAATAGTGTTTACACAGTCTATCGAGGGAATTAGATGAGGTTGCTCATGCCAGAAGTAACCTGCAGGTAAGGGAGCTCCAGTGTCCCCTCAGCGTCTCTTGCATTACCTAAACCACATTCCAGTGTGCTAGGTGTAGGAATCTTCCCTCAGGAATCCTGGAGGCTGGAGCCTTGGGTTGCAGAGATGGGCTTGGTCTGGGAGGGAGGTGAGCTTGTCCTGGTGCATTCAGGGTCAGTAGAGAAGACAAGGTGGCAGTCAAAGGAGAAGTTAAAGGGTGGAATCTGAGAGATTGTGCTAGGGTAAAGCAGGCTCTGAACTTCAGGGAAGACATGCCAGCTTCATCCCCTTCTAGGAATTGAAGGCAGGTTGATATGTATGGAGGCTTTTAGGTTGTGTCTGAAAATGAGCAACCTCTGCCAACATGGAGCACTGGAAACGTGGTACACATGGAGGTGGACAGACCCTGGTGGGAGTCCTGGCTCTGCCACTTGTGCGCTGTGAACTTGAACAAGATACTTCCCCTCTCTAGGCAAAGTAACTTCATCTATAAAATCTGTTTAGTAGCTGTCTATCTTGCAAGACTGGGGTGAAGGAAACAAATATGTACTGGTTTTCCTTCAAATATGGCATCCTCTTTTATTTTTATAACAATCCTGCCAAGAAAAATTTGCCTTCAAGGCAACCCTTACAAGTAAGTATAACAAATATCAGGTGCTATGAAACTTCCTCATCCCTCTAAATCTCTCTCTACAGGTCCACACGATCACTAATAACTAGTTTTTAATCCAAAGAAAGTCTCTTTCCATATCTCTTCCATCTTTCTCTTCCTCCTTATTCCTTTTCCTCTCCCTCCCATTCTCACCCCCTCTAATTATAGGGATAGAATATAATATACAAATGTCTAGAGGGAGAAGCAACACATTGAGCCTCATTCATCCTCAAATGCAAGCAGTCCTTACGCAAGAAGACAAATGATGATTTTCCATTGTTTTCTGTTTTCCATGGAGCATTCAAAAAATGTGCCCGACTGAACTTCACATTGAGTCAAAAATCCAGGAGGCAAGGCAATGGGAGCTAAAAATCTCAAGTCCTAGAACAAAGCTACATCTCAGGATCAAGAACACACAGATTCTATTTTCATTCATGTGGGTCTAGGCAACTCTCTGGGGCAGCTGTCCTACGTGTAGTGACCCAGCATCCAGACTGCTTCCATTCTGAGGCTTGGCCATCTCAACACAAGACCTCCTTCACACTCACTATGACAGGAGAAAAGAGCCTGAGAAAACACCCATGGCTCTTCCAGGCTTTTCACTGTCTCAGCCTAGAAATATAACTGAGGTCACCCCTAACATAACATTGGCTAGAACAACACACATGGTCTCATACAACTGTTGGGAAATGGCAGGGGGGAGGGTTGCAGAAATGCCTAGAACTGCTGAAAGGAAAGGGGAATCAGACAATGGTAGCACTCATGAAGGACTTGTTGACTTTCCAATTCCAATAGAGGCTGGCTCTGTTTAATCTCAGCTGAGCCCAGGAGTGTGGACAAGGCTAGGCTTTGGCCTGAGGGGTGCACATGGGGCACCCTCCTTCAGCAAACCATTACTGAGTGCCCACTCCACCCCAGGATCCATCCTAGGGATGTGAAGAAACACAGTCCTACCTTTGCTCACACTCTAGAAGCAACTTTTGAGTTCAAGCACAAGGTTTTGATTTATTATTTCAGCAGCAAAGCATGTTTCTAAACAGGCCCCCAGATTCCTGCCACTGCCGTTTTCTAGAGTAACCTGAGATGAAGTTTATCTGGATCCAGGACACTGGGCTGTGTCTACCATCACAAACACTGATGTGACTTCTGACAGCCAGGCTCAAAATCATAAGCCCATTCATTGCCTGAGCACAAGAAATGCTGCACTAGGCTCAGGTGGTGTATCAACAGCCAGGTGAGAACAAAATGTCATCAATAAGAAAAGCCAGTTAGAGGCCAGCTGTGGTGGCTCATGCTTGTAATCCCAGCACTTTGGGAGGCCGAGGTGGGCGGATCACCTGAGGTTAGGAGTTTCAGACCAGCCTGGCCGACATGGTGAAACCCCATCTCTACTAAAAATACAAAAAAATAGCCTGGCATGGTGACATGCACCTGTAATCCCAGCTACTTGGGAGGCTGAGGCAGGAAACTTGCTTGATCCCAGGAGGTGGAGGTTGCAGTGAACCAAGATCAAGCCACTGCACTCCAGCCTGGGCAACAGAGTGATACTCCATTTCAAAATAATAATAATAATAATAAAACACTACTTAGAGAAGTTATTTAGCATTCACACAGATCTCTGAACTGGTTGGAACTTTCATCTGTATTTGCCAGTGGTTCTGAGTGTGGTCTTAAGATTAACAGCATCAGCATCACATGGAACTGATTAGAAATGCACATTCTCAGGTGCCATTCCAGACCCACTTAATTTAGAAACTATGAGGTAGGGCCCAGAGATCTGTGTTTTCACAAGTTTTCTGGTGATTCTGATGTGTATTCAAGTAGCACGTGAAATACAGAAGCTACCCGGAACTAGACTTGAAGGCTGCTTTTCATGCCTGCCAAGAAGAGCCCACCTCTGTAGCCTTGGGAGGATGGGGATGGGGTGGGGAGGATGTTAGAGGGTACATGGTCCTTGAGGTTTCATCCCTTTTGCTTCATTTGAAGAGGTTTCAAACACAGTGTATCCTGTTTTTTAAAAATTCTAAATGGAGATTCAAATCATGTGGAGAGTTTTTTTAAGCACACCTGTGCTCAGGCCTAGTCTCAGAGATTCTGACTCAATAAACCTGGGTGCTATGGTTTGCATATTTGTCCCCTGCAAAACTCATGTTGAAACTTAATCCCCAATGTGGCAGTATTGAGAGGTGGGGCATTTACAAGATGGTTGGGTCATGAGGACTATGCCCCATGAATGGATTAACCTATTCATGGATTAATGGATAAGTGGGTTAATGAATTAATGGGTTGTCTTCAGAGTGGGATGGGTGGCTTTATAAGAAGAGGTAGAGAGACCTGAGGTAGCACACTCAGCCCCCTTACAGTTCTATGCTGCCTTGATACTTTATAGAGAGTCCCCAGCAGCAAGAAAGCCCTCACCAGATGCAACCCCTCAACCTTGGACTTCTTAGCCTCTGTAACTGCAAGAAACGAATTCCTTTCCTTTATAAATTACCCAGTTTCAGGTAGTCTGTTATAAGCAACAGAAACCAGACTAAGACTCCAGTCTGGGGCCCAGGCATGCACAATTATTTTAAAAGCTTCCCAGATGATTATCTTGTGCAGTCAGGTTAAGGATCACTGGTTTAAACTAGAGTAAAGGTTGGGAACTGGGGATGATAACTCTGCGGCCATGTCCCTTTCCTAAGTACTGGCTTTTATGCTTTTGAATAGATAAATATACTTGGGAACCATACATTTGGGCCAAAATGTGGAACTTATTAAACTCCCCCTAGAGGCTTTATACACACCTTCCAAAACATCCATGGTAGAGCCTCACACTGAACATTGTAGATAATCCTAATCCTTCCTGTCCTTGCTACCAGCTCCCCTACCCCCACTACAAAACTCAACATATATTACTGCTTTGCCTGGGGCTAGCATTCAGGCATTCTCCTATCTAGGTAGGACAAATGTCTTGAAGATGGGAGGAAACATCAAATTAATATTTATATCAAATCAAGCCCCCTCAATAAGAATCACTCTGGTGTGACAGGTTCCATCTCCAGCCCATGCCATCACCCAATTCAACATATTAATGCTGCACTGACCTTCCTAACCCTATCTATGCAATCGGACAGGTATCATGAATAATAAAAGAGACTTAGGACCAGCACAGAATAGCATCCCTTCACCTAGGACTAGGGTTTGGGCCCAATTCTGCTGTGTTCTGTCCCTTTCCAGCAAGTTTGGTGCATTTTAGGTTTTCTACTGAGTTGGAAGCAGAGGCCACCAGACTTTCCAGGGAAGCACTTACAGCATCATATTCAGATATTTTCTCATTCTTCACACACACACACACACACACACACACACACACACACACACACACACACAATATTCAGACCAAATCCCTCCAAGGCATTAAGAGCTCCACTGGATAATGAAGTATTGCCTAGTTCTTTCCCCATTATTAAACTACCCAAGTAATTATGACAAACTTCTCAGCAACTAGACTTCACTCCTTTCTCTGCTACCCCTCTTGAAGACAGAGATTCCTTGAAGAATACTTTCTCCACTATCCCCTTGAAGACAAGGATTCCTTAGAAAGTATGTCTTCAGAAAACCAGGTTTTCCCTTGTATCTCTTAGGGGAAATCAGAATCCCCATTCAGAACCTTCCTGTGTGCTGGAGTAAATTATCTAACCTTTCTGCATGTCAGTTTTCTTATCTGTAAAAAGGTATAATATTAGAACTTATTTCATGGGATAATCATGTGAATTAAGTGAGATGTTCATAAAGTTGGCTGAACACAGAGAAGCAGCTTGATGAATGAAAGTTATTATTCTTTTCAAATACTTACCGATATTCATCTTGGGTATTAGCCTAAAGGTTCAGAGATGTGAGGTTTTTGAAGTTACAAGTACAACTAGGAGGCAAACAACAGAACGCAAACAACCTATAAGGGTCTCTTTAGCCCTCAGGGCCCAACGCAGTTTCACATATATATTATTGCTTAACAAATAGTTGTTGAATAAAAGAAAGAAGGAATAAGGAATAAATAACATCAGCTCTCACTCAGAACAGAGTTCAGTCTTGCACAACATGGGGATATGTTTTAGAGGTCAACCAGTTTACCCAGCCTTTTATTTCAGACCGCATCTTGCCCAGGATGCCTGAGGGATATGGCTTCACTTCCTATTAAAGTACTATATTCTTATGCTTTCTTACAGTGCCCAATGCCTAAGCTCTCTTTGTTGCCCAGGAAATAGGCAGTGTTCTTGGTTCTTCTATCCCTGGCTGGTCACAAAATATGACCTCAGACCACAACTGTAGCTGGCCTCCTGATTCCCTCACCCCAAGAGGGACATTCACCCTCATTCCAGACCTCCTTTTCTTCCATGCTCCCTTTTTCTTTGAAACATGTAGGTCCTCCCTTGCCTTTTATTTTTAGGAGAGTTTTTGCATCCATACCTCTTGAAAGTTCTCAGTAGACACAATTTGTTTGGAAAAAAACATGGAAGATAATGCTCTATTTTTAGGAGCCTCTTAGTAGTCAAATGCAACTAAATAAAATAATAATAACTAGACCTACTGAGCATTTTCTTCGAACCAGGCACTGTTCTATAAACTCTACATGGATTAACTCATTTATTCCTCACACCAACTATGTGAGACAGGGAGTAGTATTATCACTGTTATACAGTTGAGAAAACTGAGGGACTGAGATGTTACAAAACTTGCTTGAGGATAGACAACTAATAAGTGATGGAGCCGAGTTACAAAACCAAGCAATTTGTGGCTTTTACCACTATACTATGGTTGCCTCTTAATGGACGGCTGCATTTTCTTTATGCCTGCATAATTGAACCTTTAATGATGGCAAGGAGGCCAATCCACATCTCCAAATCAGTTGGGAGCAATGGTTGCTGAATCTAAAATGAAATGAGAAAGCTGGAAATGCTCAAATTCCAGCACCTTGTTGTTCTTAAGATTGTCTGACAATTGGTTCCTGGGAACATAACATGCAGTGGAAAGACCACAGATTTTTCAGCAGTATATTAGTTGTCTAGCCTCAAGCAAGTTTTATAACATCTCAAAACTGGGCAGGTTATTTAAGCTATTTAGCGTCAGTTTCCTTATCTTTAAAATGGGGATAATAATAACCCACTGACTTATACTCCAATGCTTGTCCTTATAGTTCTGCTCGGTACTGCCAAAGCAGTAAGCCTAAAAACTACATTTTTCAGCCTCTGATGCCAGCTAGAATGGCTTAGTCTCTGCCATTGAGAGAGACTGAAGGGAAATTAAAAAGCAACTGGAAAAGAGCATCATTTTTTTCTGCTTCTGACTCTGGATGTGGGAGCAGCAGGATAGCAGTAATGTCATAGAGGCCCCAGAGGATAATTAAGAGGTGTTGTAATAATGGCAATGATTACTGTAACCATGGGGTGGGGGAGACAGTGGGAGCAATGACTACAAGATGAAGGGGTGGAATGGCTGTTTCTGATTTTCCTGGAGAGCTTACAGAAAGAAAATGACAGGTTTAGAACTTCACTCTCTCAACTCAATGTCTAGTCACAGAACCTGAAAGCTTCTGTGATGGCACTGAAGAATTCTCTTATCTTTTTAGACATATGACTGATATAGATCCAAAATTTTATCCCACAGATTGGACAATTACAATGAATGTGAATTCATGAACTCATCAGGTCTTTTATGTGGGAGTCTGAGGATTGATTTGGAAGGAGTGGAATCCTGAGAATTGGAATGGAGCCATCAAGATGACTTTATTCAAATCTAAGGAACTCCTGGTCACCTATACCCCCTTTCTAGTAAGAGCAGTCTCTCCTTCCCACACTGGGAAGACATGATAGTCATCTCTTGCAAGAAGATCCTGTTAATAACTTCATCCATGGCAGTTGCCCTACAAGGGGATACTGATTCTTCTCAAGATTCACTCCTTCCACCTCTCATGACCTCCATATCCACACCAGAATCAAATTCCAGCAACCCTCAGGGCAAAAGTTTAAAATCTGGCCTCAAAGAATATGGCTTTATATACCTAAATAATTGCAATATTTTGTTCATTATATTGGCAAAACTCTAAGTAATATATATATGGAAATGGATTATGCAGCAGTTAGAGCAAGGAAGATGAAAAAATAATGGTTTGGACCAATCGAGATACATACTAGAGATGGCTAACCAATTGGTCTTTATATTTTTCCTTTAGGAAGAGGGTAAAAGTATCTTTGTGCAAGGGATAATTGCATTGTATTAAATGGAAGCACAAATTCACTGATGTTGGTGGTAAAAGTTTATGAGAGTAGAACATACACAGAAGTGACTAAACAAAAGGGGAAACTCTTCCAGATATTATCTTTGGTCTCAGCCCCACACTTGTTCTTCTGTACTATTCTTTACATTGCCAAGACCAGAAGTTTAAAAACTACATTTCCCAAACTCCCTTACCAGATGACTTCTTTTTTTTGTTTGTTTGTTTGTTTTCTTTTTTTCTTTTTTTACTATACTTTTCAGTTTTAGGGT
The DNA here is from genome assembly GCF_000001405.40 of Homo sapiens. NCBI lineage: Eukaryota > Metazoa > Chordata > Mammalia > Primates > Hominidae > Homo > Homo sapiens. The sequence continues at coordinate 137,827,662 of NC_000003.12, forward strand.
ACATGTGCACAACGTGCAGGTTAGTTACATATGTATACATGTGCCATGTTGGTGTGCTGCACACATTAACTCGTCATTTAACTTTAGGTATATCTCCTAATGCTACCCCTCCCCCCTCCCCCCACCCCACAACTGGCCCCGGTGTGTGATGTTCCCCTTCCTGTGTCCATGTGTTCTCATTGCTCAATTCCCACCTATGAGTGAGAACATGTGGTGTTTGGTTTTTTGTCCTTGCAATAGTTTGCTGAGAATGATGGTTTCCAGCTTCATCCATGTCCCTACAAAGGACATGAACTCAACCTTTTTTATGGCTGCATAGTATTCCATGGTGTATATGTGCCACCACATTTTCTTAATCCAGTCTATCATTGTTGAACATTTGGGTTGGTTCCAAGTCTTTGCTATTGTGAATAGTGCCGCAATAAACATACGTGTGCATGTGTCTTTATAGCAGCATGATTTATAATCCTTTGGGTATATACCCAGTAATGGGATGGCTGGGTCAAATGGTATTTCTAGTTCTAGATCCCTAAGGAATCGCCACACTGACTTCCACAATGGTTGAACTAGTTTACAGTCCCACCAACAGTGTTAAAGTGTTCCTATTTCTCCACATCCTCTCCAGCACCTGTTGTTTCCTGACTTTTTAATGATCGCCATTCTAGCTGGTGTGAGATGGTATCCTGACTGACAGAACAAAGCTGGAGGCATCACACTACCTGACTTCAAACTATACTACAAGGCTACAGTAACCAAAACAGCATGGTACTGGTACCAAAACAGAGATATAGACCAATGGAACAGAACAGAGCCCTCAGAAATAATGCCACATATCTACAACCATCTGATCTTTGACAAACCTGATGAAAATAATAAATGGGGAAATGATTCCCTATTTAATAAATGGTGCTGGGAAAACTGGCTAGCCATACGTAGAAAGCTGAAACTGGATCCCTTCCTTACACCTTATACAAAAATTAATTCAAGGTGGATTAAAGACTTAAACGTTAGACCTAAAACCATAAAAATCCTAGAAGAAAACCTAGGCAATACCATTCAGGACATAGGCATGGGCAAGGACTTCATGTCTAAAACACCAAAAGCAATGGCAACAAAAGCCAAAATTGACAAATGGGATCCAACTAAACTAAAGAGCTTCTGCACAGCAAAAGAAACTACCATCAGAGTGAACAGGCACCCTACAGAATGGGAGAAAATTTTTGCAATCTACTCCTCTGACAAAGGGCTAGTATCCAGAATGTACAACGAACTCAAACAAATTTACAAGAAAAAAACAAACAACCCCATCAAAAAGTGGGTGAAGGATATGAACAGACACTTCTCAAAAGAAGACATTTATGCAGATGACTTCTTTTAATGTCCACCAAAGAGAGGCACTCTCTAGAGATTTACAAGACAGATGGAAGGCCAAAGCTGCTTTTCTGCTTCTGGATCCAGCAATAACCACATTGGAACCGTAGGCTACTTCAGGTGATCACAGTTTTCTAAAAGAGTGGTGACTGCTACAGCTGCAAAGTAGGCGACTACAAGTTCCTGCAATAGTGACAGCGGTTTCCATAGCTGAGGCAGTTGCTGTAGCAAGAGGTGAGGGAGGGGCATCCAAGCTTCCCGCTCAGCAGCAGTAGTGCTGGTTCTGCCCATCACACAGGTACACAGGTGCAGCAGTGGAGCTTGGTCAGTCTCAGCAGTGAGTGCAAACTGATGAGCTCTGGGTACCATCACCTTTTCCTTTCATTTCTCCAGACCTTTCCATTTTTGTAGTCCTTTTTGTGTATTAAATTCTCTCTAGTTAAAATACTCAGGTAGATTTCTGTTTTTCTAACTGGCCACTGACACAAAAATGGAGAACTATTATCTTCTTCCTCATGTGAATATTAGAGGAGAATATTAAAGAAGAAAAACAAAAAGTGCTCAACAATACAACATCTAAAACAAAGGAGGTATTAAAAAATAACTTTACAGTCTCATATTCATTTATTTAACCAAAAGTTGTTAGAGCATTAACTTTGTGTATTAGTCCATTTTAAATTGCTGTAAAGGAACACCTGAGACATGGTAATTTATAAATAAAAGAAGTTTATTTGGCTCACAGTTCTGAAGGCTGTACAAGTATAGCACCAGCATCTGTTCAGCTTCTGGTGAGGCATCAGGAAGATTTTACCCATGGCAGAAGGTGACAGGGGGAGCACACATGTCACATGGCAAAAGAGGGAGCAAGAGAGAGGAGGAGGTACCAGGCTCCTTGAAACAAACTAGCTCTCATGTGAACTCATAGAGTGAAAACTCACTCATTACCAAGGGCATGGCACCAAGCTCTTCATGAGGGACCCACCCCCAAGATCCAACAGCTCCCACTAGGCCCCACCTCCAACATTGAGGGTCACATTTCAACATGAGATTTAAAGGAAACAAGCATCCAAACTATGTTACTTTGTGTTTCGAGTGTTTGCAGCTTCAAGTCCGGGATCTTTAAGGTGGGCACTTAGAAAAGAAGAAAACCATGTTCAAGGAGTCTTCAAGATAAAGATGGGAAGCGACAGTTATTAAGCTGTAGTATCTCAGCTCTAAACTGACCCTTTTGTACTCTGCTCTTTGATGCTGCTGCTGGAACTCTAGAAACCACAACTTTTCTTTGCAAGCTGAATGATTCCTGTTAGATTCTATCAAGAGGAACTCCAGAGGGAGGCTGAAAGGCAGGGGGCGGTTGATGGGATTTGTTCCTTCCCGTTTGCTTGCTGTTCCTATTAGTATGAGCTCTTCCCCTTGAAGTAGCAATTGGTTTCAGGAGCAGTAGTTTCCAGTTTCTGTCTTCTTTCAGCACGCCCAGAAATACTGTCACTGCATCCCTGTGGATGTATCAGCACTGTCCAGGCAGTGCCGTCTCCTCAGAAGGGACAGACTCAGCTCCACAGAGGCTCCTCCAAGCCTCTAGGTTCCAATAGATTCAACCCCTCCTGCCTTGTTCTCTAGTCCTTGGAGTATGTGGCTTCTTCCTGCAGTGTTCCCTTGTTTGCCTTCAAGTCCTGCAACAGTTGTTTACCCAATTCCCCATATTAAATTCGCTCCATAAAAACAACTGATATGGTTCTGTTTTTCTGACTGGGCCCTCATTGATACAAGAAACCAGACATGATGAATATCTAGGTGGAGAGCTGAGGAATAAATATTGACCCAGGGCCATAGAGTGCTGATAATTAGAGATTGGGAGCCACAGCAATTGGAGAAGTCAGACCTAAACTCTGTTTTAAATGGGTATGTGTGTGTATTGGTGATTAAATGGAAGCCTCTGAACTGATTCTAGATACTAGAGAACTAAGGAGTGTGAAATGAAAAGCTGAAAACTATTACAAGCTACAATCATGTTACTTTCAGGATATACTAAATAATTTGTATTATCATTATGATGCTTTTTATGATAATAAAATAATGATAATCCAATTATTTAGCATTATTATTAATATTATTATATCAGGTACTTTTGCTATATAATAAATGGCCCCAAAACTTGGGGCTTAAACAACCATTTATTCAGTCCATGATTCTGTGAATTGCCAATTTGTGCTAGGCTCAGTTATATGGTTCTTCCAGTTTTGGCTGGGCTCATTCTTATGTTTGCAGTTGGTCTCTAGTCAGTTACGCAGCTCTTCGAACAACTGACTGGCTGTCAGCTGGGAGAAAAGGGAAAACTGGGTCACACACTTCTCATCATCCAGTAGACTAGCCCTACCTTGTTCATATGACAGCATGGCATGGTTCCAAGAAGGAAAGAGGAAGCTGTAAGGTCATGAAAGACCTAGACTCAGAATACAACGTCACGTCTGCTGCATTCTCCCAGCCAAAGCAGTCACAGAGTGCGCCCAGATTCAAAGGATGGAGAAATAGACTCTACCTCTTAATGGGAGGAACTGCAAAGTCACAGTGCAAAAGTACATATACAGGTAGGGGTGGAGAACTGTGACCAGTTTCACAATCTGCCACAGATATTTATTTAATTAAATACTCTTCAGATTAACTTTGTTGTAAATTTTCCATAGTTTACATAATTTATTACAAATAGTCACCTACTTATAAGCTTACATATTTTGAAATAATTTGTTTTAAGTAGCATTTTCTTCTATACTCGAATATCCAGCAACCTAGAAATTATCACTGTGTAAAAAGGCTTATGCTAAAATTGTTTCTTGGAATAATACTCTTTTGCTCTTAGAAATCCAAGGACACCACCAGTGGTCAGATCAAATTAAGCAACAACAAGCAGAGGTGCATCCTCCTGAGAAACCAGGTGCTCTGATTTGCAACTCTAGACAGGGAGAACTTAGAGCTCTGGTTCTACAGATTGTCAGGTTTGTTCTTAATATGTTTGAAGAATTCATCAACGTCCCTTCAAAAGGAATTTGGGTAAAATTCATCAGATCCAAAATTCCAAAAGCTAGTGTGATATTTAATTAAAAGAAGCAGTATTTAATTAAAGATGAGGTTGTTTTATTTCATTGTCCTGTTAATTATAGGAACATGTCTTTGTGTAGTGTCATGTCCACAACCACAAGAGAGGAAAGAACAAATCTGTACACCAGAAACAGAATTTGTATAACATGGGTGCTCCTGGGTGTTCCCAGATCAGAGCAGATGCCAAACATGTCAACTGTCTGACTGAATTCAGCCCTAAATTGTGCTGTTTTGCCAACTCAGATTTCTTTTAAAATCCTTAGTGTGAATTATGTTGGGTGAATCATAGCCCAAGTGGATAGGTCTACCATTCCACCTCTCTGCTTTGACTCCTAATAATCAATTTACAGGTTGATGTGGTCTACCTGATTCCTGTAGGCAGGCAAATTTTTGACCCTTGTCTTAGAGTTTTCTGTAGTAATCTTTCCTTTAATCCCCAAATAGAACTATTTGAGAGTATTTGTGACATCCTGGGGGAAGCACCTTAGTGTTATCCCTAGAGTCTCTGAGTATGCTAGGCTATATTGCATATGACAAATTAACTATGCCAAAGTACAATGTCAGAAGTTATAGTTTCTAGAACTCTATCAGCCGTTCCTTAGAGAAGGGAGTTTCTGAGCTTATGTAATTGGCTGGGTGTCTCTTCTGTCCCATTTTCTGGCATTTCTTTTCTCTGTCCTCTACTGCATCCATTGACTGCTTCCCCACTCCATCTCCTGCCTCTAAGCTTTAGTAACTTTAATATACAAATTTAGTCAACTTAGTTCTTTCTAGATTTAACTCTTTAATTCTTGATAATGCAGGAAGAGTAAGGACTGTTTACCTTACCACCCCCAAAAAACAAGCAGTGATTCTTAAACAAACAAAACTCAACTGCTCTGAAGTGAATTATTCTATTTCCCAGCAATTAGTGATGGTTTTAATAAATAGTTCACCCCTTTCCACCCCATAGTTGTCTCAGTGACATAAAAGTTGCTTAATCCAACCCCTTGAGTTAAACTCAGAAGATAAAATCTGAGTTACCACCCATCCTGCTCAATGATCAAGGACATATTTCTTGCTGGTGTAAATGTCAAATAGTATAAAAAGAATTCAAGAACTCATAAGGGAAAGAAATTCAGAACTCCTTTACGTTAGCTGTAGGTCTCCAGACTGGGCAAAAAGGATTAAAGATGACTGGTATCTAGACCAGAAAGGGTACAATAAGAGAAAAGATGTCCAGGAACATTCTTCTTTTGCCCTGACCCTCCTCAAGCCTTTCTGTAATACTTTCCTCTTCATCATCAATTTCTTGTTCCTGAGTTCTCCACGCAAGGATTAACCTCCTGCAGTGACCTCTTTGGGGATATACACCTGTTCTTTTTTGTCCTTTTTATGCACTGCCTGATGGCATCTCCTTTCCCCTCATTTACAGTAATTCTCTCTTTTTTTAACTGCTTCTTTAGCCCTTAGGCGCATCTCTTCCCTCCTCCCACCTTTTCCTCCCCTCAGGACCCTCCCACATGCTTCTTTCTCTCTACACTATTTGTCATCAAAAAGGCCCCTTCATTCCTTTGAGAGAAAAGAGTGGTGATTATCTGTGGTACATTTTCATAAAGGGAAGAAAAGAAAGACTGGGGGGAAAAAAGCCTGTTTCAGCAACTTCTCACATTCCTGAAAATTCCTAGAAATTCCCTGACAACCTAAGTTCTATTGAGACTCAAGGTAAACCCTGCTTTTTTGTTTGTATTTTTTTTCCCTGTTATATTTTGTCCCTATAGAGTAATAGTAAAATTCTGTAGAGGGTTTTTCTAGAAACACTTAGTATTTTAATTACCTGATGGGTTACATAAGCTTTGTGGATTGTAACAACATCTCTAAGATATTTTCTACAAAAACATATTTTTTGACTTCCAAACTCATTTCCAAAATTTTTTTTGAAAAGTCTAGTTATAAGTCAGGGACATCCTCATGTTAGGCTAGATTCCCAAGAAGCAGAGTCTGAGACAAAAATTCAGGCTAAACTGATTTATTAGGATGTGTTGTCGGGTAAAAACAGGAAGAGAGTGGAGATGGGCACCAGGAAGGGAAGGAGGGGAAGCAAATGTGTCTCCTATCAGTCATTGGCTATGTGCTGTTCTCAAAAGGGTAAAAATCCTCAGGCACTTTGGCCTCAGGCAAAGTGGGTTCTAAGTAGACTGAGGGAGTCCTCTGAAAAGAGGCAGGAGTTCTAGCTGCTGGGCGGAAAGCATCCAAGTAAAGCAGAATAATGATAATGGATTTGAGGGGATATTCACAGAGCACCAACAATGTCTGGTACTGTCCGGCACTTTCGTTATTCAGTGTTTTGCAGGTGTTTGCTCTGGTGTATTTAACGGATGAATGAGTTTGGCTGCCTGGATATAATCACTGTAAAGAAATAAGATCATCTCTTCTCATTTGTCTCCAAAGTGTTCTACAGGTTTTAAATGTCTTTACTTTCTGTTTTTCTTCTTTCCCTCCTTATTTTTTGTAAATAATAAAATAATAGCTAACATTAATGGGGTGCTTAATATTGCCAAGTACTCATTTGATTTTGTTCACAGGGCGCTTCATTTGCTCCAGATATTTTATTTAATCCTCATAACAGCCTCCTTCTCAGATTAGTAGTATTGTTATTCCCATTTTTAACTGAGAGTTGTAAACAGATTAACAAGCTAATAAGTAAATGTGATTTGACTTTTCCCTCTTCTCTCCTCCCAGACCCTCTACTTCTCAGCCTCTTTTCATTTCTACACACACAGACACAGGCACACACACACATACACACAGTGATTTTAATATCCATTCATTTTAATGGGAGTTGCTTGCAGATATCAAGTCTCAGTTGGTTATCAGGGAGAGAGTAAGCTGCCCTGGTTAAAATAACACTGTGCAGCAGAACAGAAAATAAGATGTCACGGCAAACTAAACATCTTCACTTTCAACATATGAAGGAGCTGCCTAAGTGTAGACTTGAGCTGGCCAGAAGGTGCCAAAGTCTTCAGCAGAAGCCAGGTATTGGTGAATTTTACCCACTTGTTCACCTGAACCCCAAGGAAGCCTAACACATGGGACAGGGAAGCCGGGCTTCCTCCCTCTGGTCAGACCTAGGCCCCTCTATGCTCCAGTCAACTTAGATATTTGTCCAGAAAGTGAAGATGTTTAGTTTGCCATGACATCTTATTTTCTGTTTCACTGCACAATGCTATTTTCACCAGGGCAACCAAGCTCTCTGATAAACTTTGAGAACATTTGAGCCAGCTTGACAGTGAAAAGACTCAGTGCACTCTGAGTTTTATATATTTATTTATTTCACTTTATTTTATGTTTAGTATGACTGAGTAACCAGTGCAATAAAAAAAAGGGGGGTGGTGGGAAACCAGTGCGGATCGTATAATAAAGCAGCCCTGGTTACTGCAGACCGTATCCCAACAGTTCCAATATTCCTTTCAAAGAACAGATTCTTAACACCGATAGATTACGTGTGATGGGCAGCCGGTATTTCACCTCAAATCGCGTTATGGCTCTGAATAGAAACAAGCAAGAGTGTACCTTTTCAGATAGGCAGAAGGCACATGCTTCCCAAGACTGCTTTCACCAGGCAATGCAGAAGCAGTAAGAAAAGACTTGAGGAAGAGCTCTAGCCTAACTAGCACAGAAACAAAAGCATCAAAAACTGCAACCAGCCTCCTTTCTTGGGAGCTAGCAGTATTTCCAGGGATGTGGCAGGAATCAAAGCAAGCCAACTTCACCACTCAGTGTCTGTATTTTCACTACCTGTGTGGGTGGTCCCCCTTGGTGTCTCCCACTTTTGCTTCTGGTTTTTAGAGGGTTTTGTTTCACTTCCTATTTTATTTAGGAGAGATTGGATTTGAATTCTATTTTTACTTCCTGCCTTGCAGTCTGCAGACTGGATAATGCGAGAATCAAGAAACCTTATAATTGGAAGAGGCTTGGGAAGTCATTGGGCATAAATCCCATCCAATGCAACAATTCTTCTCCTTGAATACATGTAATGATGATGATCTCAGTACTGTATGTATCAGCCTGTGAAATTATGGAACAGTATTTTCCTTCGTAGAGTTTTTACTTGTATGCTTTGTTTGAATTTTCTTTGTCCTAGATATGTCTTCTTATAGTTTTACCCCTTTAACTCTTGTGACACTATTAATATTGCCAGCTCCAAAATGACACCACCGTCTTCTTCTAAAGTTTTTAGCACTTCTTTTTTGGATTGAATCGTGTCCCCTCAACATTCATGTGTTGAAATCCTAACCCCCAGTGCCTCACAATGTGATATATCTGGAGATAAGGCCTTTAAAGAGAGACTAAGTGAAAACAGGACCATTATGATAGGCTCCAGTTGAATCTGACTGGTGTTCTTAAAAGAGGAAATTTGGACACAAAAGGAGACACCAGAGGTAGGTGCATGCAGAGCAAAGATTACATGAGGACATGGCAGGAAAACAGCCACCTGCAAGCCCAGGAGAAAGGCCTCTGGTATGGTTTGGATGTTTGTTCCCCTCAAAACTCATGTTGAAATATGATCCCCAATGTTGGAGGTAGGGCCTGGTAGGAGTTATTTTGGTCATAGGAATGGATGAATGGCTTGGCGCTCTCCTCATGGTAATGAGGGCGTCCTCACTCTGAGTTCATGTGAGATCTGGTTGTTTAAAAGAGTGTGGCACTTCCCCCTCTTTGTCTTCCTCCTGCTCTTGCCAGACAATACATCAGCTCCCCCTTTGCCTTCCACCATTAATGAATGAATGATTGTAAGCTTCCTGAGGCCTCACTAGAAGCCAAGCAGATGCCAACACCATGCTTCCTGTCCACCCTACAGAACCATGAGCCAATTAAACCTCTTTTCCTTATAAATTACTCAGTCTTAGGTATTCCTTTATAGCAACACAAGAATGGACTAACACAGCCTCAGAATAAACCAAACCTGCTGATACCTCGATCTTGGACTTCTAGCCTCCAAAATTGTGAGAAAATAAATTTCTGTTGGTTAAGTCACCCAGTCTGTGGTATTTTGTTATAGCAGCCCTAGCAAACTCATATAATTTCCAGGTCAGAATTGAATCCAGACCAAAAGTTCTTCTTTGCTTTATCCTCAGAGAAGAAACTGTTATTAAAACAATTAAAAATTAATCAGTCCATACATCCAGTATGATAAGACTTCCATCATGAATGCTATTTCTAATAGATGTACCTAGAGTTGAAGTTTCCATTCACTGATTCATCAGCAAATACTTATTCAGCACCTGTTATAGATCAGGCCCTGCACTAGGCACTGAGACTTCAAAGATGAATATTAAAATTTACACGTGAGTATACAGTGGCATTACATTTTAACAAATGTCACTCTGGAAGAACGAGGTAGCAGATGGGTGACCAGTTAACTCCTCGGGAGTAGGGAGAAAGAGAACAGAGAAGTGATGGCATAGAACAATGACTAGGAGTTTGCCACTGTGCAACAGTAGGAAGAGCTTCTCGGGTGTGTGTGATGGGAAATAAACCCAGAAAAATCAGGTAGGGTGATATGTTTTGGCTGCGTCCCCATCCAAACCTCACCTTGAATTGCAATAATCCTCATGTGTCAAGGGCATGGCCAGGTGGAGATAATTGAATCGTGAGGGTGGTTTCCCTCATACTGTTCTCATGGTAGTGAATAAGTCTCACAAGATCTAATGGTTTTATAAGTGGAGTTCCTCTGCACAAGCTCTCTTGCCTGCCGCCATGTAAGATGTCCCTTTGCTCTTCCTTCATCTTCCGCCATGATTGTAAGGCCTCCCCAACCATGTGGAACTGTGAGTCCATTAAACCTCTTTCCTTTATAAATTAACCAGTCTTGGGAGTATGTCTTTATTAGCAGCATGAGAAGGGACTAATACATAGGGCTAGGTGATACACATTCTTATGGACCTTGCTCAGGGATTTGAGTTTTATTTCCCAGGTAAGAGGCACCCACAGAAGGATTTTAAGCAGGGGACAGGGGAGTGATGTGTTTAAATTTATACTGTCACCAGTTCACATAATCTTTTTTTTTTTTTTGAGACAGAGTTTCACTCTGTTGCCCAGCTGGCATGATCTCAGCTCACTGCAACCTCTGGTTCAAGCAATTCTCTACCTCAGCCTCCCAAGTAATTGGGATTACAGGCGCCCACCACCGTGCCCGGCTAATTGTCGTATTTTCAGTAGAGATGGGGTTTCACCATTTTGGCCAGGCCAGTCTTGAACTCTGACCTCGTAATCCACCTGCCTCGGCCTCCCAAAGTGCTGGGATTACAGGCGTGAGCCACTGCACCTGGCCTGTCACCAGTTCACATGATCTTTAAGCATCTCATTCATCCTCCATCAGCATAGGTAGACTGGGGTATATTCCCACCACAGTATTGCTTCTATTTCCCTTTTAAATATTATTTCGCAGTCATTGTAAAAAATTTAAACAATACAGTAGTTTATAGAATTAAACGTAAAGTTTTTTTTTTGTTTTTTTTTTTTGCCTGCTTTTATAACCCATTCCCTTCTAGAGGCAATTTGGTGAGCATCCTTCTAGTGACCTTTGTATGCACAGATGCTCCTCGACTTACCACAGGGCTACATCCTGATAAATGAATTGTAAGTCAAATATATTGTAATTAAAGATGCATTTAATATCCTGACAAACTCATTGTAAAGTCAAAAAATCATAAGTTGAACCATCTTAAGTTACTGGGCAGGTGGGTACCTCTGTACGCATAGATAAATATGTGTCTATACATGCAAGATTTTTAAATATCTAAATGAAAGCATACCATTATGACCTGCCTTTTCAGTATTCTTGGAGACCTTTTCATACCAATACTTATAGATGTTACTCTTTTTTATCAATGACATAGTATTCCTACTACCACTATATCATAATTAACTTAACCATGCCTTATAGATGGACATTGAAGTTGTTGCCAATATTTTTCTATTAAAAATCATGAAACAATAAATATTATTGTGCAAATCTTATCTCTACTTTACAAAAGAGAAAATTGAAACTCAGAGAGCTTAAGTAAATCCTCTAAGTCACACAGTGATATGCTGCAAAACTAGTTTGGAACCTAGATCTGGCTATTCCCAAGTCTAGAAGCTTCATCTTTGTATTATACTAGCTCCATAGGTAAGCAGCTTGGACTGCAGCTTGATAGTTTTCATCTTATTTAGAAAATTTTTCAGCCACTATTTCTTTAATTATTTTATGCCTTCTCCCATCTTTTTTCTTTCTGGGACTCCAGTAACACAATAGCAGGCCATTTAATTTTGTCTCACAACTCAATATTCTGTTCTTTTTTTAAAATATATATATATCTTTGTATGTTTTATTTTGGATACTTTCTATTGCTTTGTCTTCAAGTTCACTAATTTTTTTCTGCATTGTCTCTTCTGCTGTTAATCTTATACAGTGTAGTTTTCATCCCAAACATTATATTTTTATCCCTAGAATTTAATTTAGATCTCTTAAAAAATCTATCATGATTGTCCTTATCATGATCTCATTTTCTTCTACCTTCTTGAACCTACAGAGTACGGTCATCCTTTCACATCCATGGGTATTAATTCCAGGACCTCTCCTAAGATACCAAACTTTCCAGATGTTCCAGTTCCTTACATAAGTGGTTCCCAACCTTTTTGGCACCAGGGACAGATTTCACGGAAGACAATTTTTCCATGCACCCGGGGTGGGGGTGGAGTGGATGGCTTCAGAATGAAACTGTTCCAACTCAGATCATCAGATATTAGTTAGATTCTTATAAGGAGCATACAACCTAGATCCCTTGAGTGTGCAGTTCACAATAGGGTTCATGCTCCTATGAGAATCAAATGCCACAGCTGATCTGACAGGAGGTGGAGCTCAGGCAGTAATGCTCACTCGCCCACCGCTCACCTCTGGCCATGTGGCCCAGTTCCTAGTGGACCACGGACTGGTACCAGTTCGTGGCCCGAAGTCTGGGGACTTCTGCCTCACATCAAATGGCCTAGTATTTGATATAACCTATGCACACCCTCCCATATACATCATCTCTAGATTACTTATTATATCTAAAACAATGTAAATGCTATATAAATAGTTGTTATACTATATTTTTAAAATTTTGTATTACTGTTCTATTGTTATTTTCTATTGTTTGAGGTTTTTGGGTGAATACTTTTGGTCCATGGTTGGTTGAATCTATGGAAGTACAACTCACAGAGGGCCAACTTTATAATAGTTGTCTTAATGTCTTTGTCTACTAATTCTATCACCTGTGTTGTTTCTGAATCTGTTTTTATTGACTGGATTTCCTCCTTATTATGCATTACAGTTTCTTGCTTCTTTGCATGCCTGATAATGTTTTATTTAATGTCAAATATTGTTATTTTTATGTTTCAAGGTGCAGGATTTCTTTTTTATCCCTTAGGTATTTTTGGTCTTTATTCTGGGACATAGTTAAATTCCTTGGAAACAATTTGATTTTCTCAAGGTTTGCTTTTAAGCTTCCTTCAGTGGGCCCAGTACACCATAATCTAGGGGCATTTTGACCCCACTCTTGAGGCCATATTCTTCAGAGGACTCTATTCAATGCTCAGTGTTTTAGGAGGGTTTTCCTCTATGACTGATGGGAGCACAAACTATTTGTGGTCCTGTGTGAGCTACAGAAATTGTTCTGCCTGCTTCTTTCCAGTGGTTCTTTCCCTGGCCTTAGACAGTTTCCTCTGTAGATCTCTAGAGGTCTTTCTTTGTGTAGCTCTTTGTTCTCTGGTACTCTGCCCTAAAAAGTTTTACAACCTTGGTATCCCTGAATGTTGAATTGTTTCCTCGACTCGGGAAGACCACTGAACTCTGGGTTTTCCCTTCCTGTGCTGGAAACTCCAAGCAAAAAGTGGGGGCAATTATAGGACTTACCTCATTTGTTTCCCTTCTCTCAGGGATCATTGCCCAAAGAGAGACATTATACAAAATGGCTGACCAGTAAATACTCCTAAAGACAGCCAAGACCACCAAAAACAAGAAAAGTCTGAGAAGCTGTCACAGTCTAGAGGAGCCTAAGGAGGCTGAGTATAATATGGGATCCTGGATGGGGTTACAGGACACCAAAAGGACATTAAGTAAAACAAAGAAAATCTGAATAAAATATGGACTTTAATGTATCAACATTAGCTCATCAGCTGTGACTAATGTATCATATTCATGTAAGACATACTGGAAATAGGAGAAATAGGTATAGGGATATACAAGACCCCTCTGTATCATCTTTGCAACTTTTCTGTAAATCTTATACTGTTCCAAAATAAATATGTTGTTTTTAAATAGCAATAGTAAAGCTGAAAAAACAGTCTACTTTTTAAGTATCACTATCACCTACGATTCTAAACAATTTTAGTGATAAAATTCTCCTCTCCACTGGGAACCATGATTCCTCACACATGCATGCACGTACACGCACACACACCTGCCCCACCTCACCCTCACTGCTTCATCTTCAACCACCTCCAACCTTGGTATGCCATTGATCACTCTAACCAATGTTAGTAAAGCAGTGGAAACGACTTCAGGTTCCTATTGCAATCAAACTTAGGCATCCACATTTCTGATACTTTAATAGGTCTGCACTCTTTAATCCCATGCCCGGCTCATACCTGCCAATGTTTGCAACCAATCAGTCTATCAATGAGCACTAAATTCCTCAATGTGCATTGCCCATTATGATTCACGATAAGAATTACTTGGGGTTCTGACCCAGAGCTGTGACTCTCAACCCTCACTGCACAGCAGCATCACGGTACAGCATTTAAAAATCCAGACCCTAGCCCAGATCAGTTACATCAGAGTCTTCAAGACAGGATGCAGCCATCAGCACTTTATTAAGCTACCTGGGTGACTCTAGAGGGCAGCCAGGGTTCAGAACTAGACACAGAGCTTTTCAAACACCCCCTTGGAAAGTCTGATTCAGGAAGTCTGGGATGGGGCCTGAGAACTTATTTTTTAACAAGATCTGAGGTGTTATTTTTTTCGCCTAGAAAATTTGCTTTAAAGGACCAAATATGAAGCCATCCTTTGCCACAGCCTCTGAGTGACTCTGTGTGCAGTACTGTGCTCTCATTCATAAGTGACTGATTTTTTTGTATCTTTTTTAAAACAAAGAAACCTTCCAAAAGGAAAAATCATAAAGGTTTGAACTTGCCATGTTAGAGTAGACCTTAAAAGAGTCTAGCTATTGGCCGGGCACCGTGGCTCACTCCTGTAATCCCAGCACTTTCGGAGGCCGAGGCGGGCAGATCACGAGGTCAGGAGATCGAGACCACGGTGAAACCCCGTCTCTACTAAAAAATACAAAAAATTAGCCGGGCGCAGTGGCGGGCCGCCTGTAGTCCCACCTACTCGGGAGGCTGAGGCAAGAGAATGGCGTGAACCCGGGAAGCGGAGCTTGCAGTGAGCCGAGATCGCGCCACTGCACTCCAGCCTGGGCGACAGAGCAAGACTCCGTCTCAAGAAAAAAAAAAAAAAAAGAGTCTAGTTATCTACTTGGTCACTATAATGACCAAAGCCACCCACCCACATTTTCAAACAACCCCTAAAGGAGAAAGTAGTACTGTTCTGGCTGAGAATCCCTTGGCTGATGCTTACAACCCAGCCACAAAATCTCTACCAAGCTGACACCTACTCTAGGGACAGAAAGTTTACTATTTCCATAGGCAAGCCACTAAATCTTTGGACAGTGCTAGATAATAGAAAAATAGAAGATCTAATTTTTTTCCTTATAGGAAATGGGAGAAGCACTGGTATTCATAGAATTTCCCATCACCTCTGCCATTCTCCTTGTTGTCTCTAAGACAGAGTAAGTGGCTTGGTGCTGCTATGGTCTGAATATTTGTCTCCCTGCCCCCAGAATCATATGTTGAAATCCTAACCCCCAATGTGATGATATTAGTAGATGGGACTTTTGGTAGGTGATTAGGTTATGAGGATAAAGCCTCCATAAACGGGATTGGTGCCCTTATATCTGATGGGAAAAAAAACACAATCACTTTTGCACCAACCTAATAAAAAAAACCCTGGAGAGCTCCTTTGTCCCTTCCACCATGTAAGGATGTAGGCGAGAAGACACTGTCTATGAACCAGGAAGAGTGCCCTTACCAGACACTAAATCTGCTGGTACCTTGATCTTGGACTTCCCAGCCTCCAGGACTGTGAGAAATAAATTTCTGTTGCTTTTAAGCCACCTAGTCTATGGCACTCTGTTAGAACCCAAGCAGACTGAGACACACACTTTCTTCCAAAACTCTCCACACTGAGCTGTACTACATCTAGGGCAGGAGATCTGTACTCACTGACAGTAACCCACCATCCTCCCACTTGCTTCAGGCCCAGAGGCTCTGAAACACTTTGGAGATGCCCTCTCCTTTGCAGAGAAAATGAGCCACAAGAGATGGATGCATTCTAATTCTTATTTGTTGCCTTTAAGTTTTATTATACTTATCTCGAAATAGGCTTATAATGTACTCTGAAGATCCCAGGGAGGCTCATCTTCCGTGTGAAACAAACAGAATAAGAAACTACTGTGGACTTTTATTAGCAGATGGCTCCTTAATTCCTAGGTGTACTCTTAGTAATCTGATTTTGGTGATCCAAATATCACCATTTTTTTTCCTGCTTATTTTCTTCAAACTTTTTTTTTCAGAATTGGGTTCCTAAAAATGAGTATTTTGTGAATCAATAATTAGTTTTGGTGAACTTGGATATAATCCTTCCAGAAATGACTAGTTTTCTGTTTTATTTGTTTTTGTTTTCTGCTGCTGTTGTTGTCTGTTTTTTGTTTGTTTGTTTTCTTTTGTTTTGGGTGATGAAAGCTTAAACATACTCACACATTTTGTTTTATGTTTTTAGGTTGTCTGACTTGTTTGCCCAACTGTACTGATAAATATTTGAGAAGCATTTGTAACAACTAAGTAGGTAAACATAAAATACTCAAACAAAACAGCAAGTTGCTATACACCAGATGGACAAATGATAATGCAGTGAAGAAGAAAAATGAAATAAAGACCATTATAAAAATGAGGGAAACTGTTTCAAGTAACACTCAGACTGGCAGCTGTTCTCTTTCCACCAAGAAGCCCAGGTTGTCTAACACATGGCTCTGAGATGAAGGCATTTCAGGAACACAGGTGTAAGGGCTAAATTGGAGGAGAGTGATGCTCCCAGGATTTGCAGGATTTTATTCCTAATAATAAATAGAACAAGAAAATTTACAGAATGAGTGAGAATTTCCTGCAATGACCGCATTAGCCCTTAGAATCCAAGAGTCCATTTTTCTTGCCAGCATTAATCATGATGAGACTGACAGCACAGGATGCAGGAGCAAGACAGGAGTCTTGCAGAGACAGAAGAGGCATGCAGAGACAGACAGACAGAGAGAGCTGTGATAGGGAGGGTGGATGGGTAACACTGGAGTACTCAGTAATCCGTCATTGATATATACAACTGATGTGAATGTATATATGTTCAGATTGATGCTTTAGGAAACTGCTGCTTATTTATTTTCAGGCTGTGCTTCCAAGCCTTCTTGACTTTTTAGTAAGCATTTCTGCACCATAAGGGCCCTTCCTAAGGTTGCTGAAGAGAAGCAACTGATGGAAGGTAGGGTGAAGGGATGTGATTAACTATGGAATTAAAATCTAAATACAAATCAGAATACAAACATTGGGTATGGAATCTTCTCACAGCAACAGACCGAATCAAGCTGGTGTTTGTTTGCATGAACAGTTTTATTCAGAACCCAGAGTATAACAGTCCAACAGCCAAAAGTCTCCCTGACCATCCATCCTCTCCCTCTCCCTCCCTCTTCCCTGTTTCCTTCCCTTCTTCCCCAGATGTGCTTCTCATTCATGAAATTCTTATAAACACAGGTGCTGGGCTAGTTGGGGTGGGCACCAAATGTGAATTCCCCATAGATCCTGGGCTCCCAAGGTTCCCATCTGCAGACAGCCAACTCTGTGCAGATGCTCTCCCAGAGCAGGGAGCAGTGGGCTCTGGGCCCAAAAGAGACATAATTACCCTGCCTATGAAGGAGAGGGGAGGATTCCAAGGCAGCTTCAGAGAGGAGAAATTATACGTTCAGTCCAAAGCCGTTTGATTCAAAAGGTAAATCAGTTACCTGAGGTAACCTAATGCAAAGCGCTCCTGGAAAGATACCTCCCACTTCTCAGATGTCAGGTGATCCTATTTCAGATTTATCAAAGCAGCAGGGATTAGCAGAGCCATACACCCTTCAGTTCTGCTCCCTCCTCCTCTCCGCTGCTTTGTTTGTCTAAATAGTTGTTTTAGTGAGTGAGAAGAAAGAATGGGAGGTAATTAGTGTTTCTTGTAATGTTCTGTGTTTAGTTTTGTAATCCTTCTGTCAGGTTTATTTTCATGTTAAGCAAAGGAATTCCCACTGGAATATTATAATCTCTTCTTAGTGTTAGTAGAAAGCCATAGTATTTAAATTAATAAGGAATTTTTCAAGAAAACTAAGGCTTTCCTTGAGAGTGTCAGTTTAAAGAGCATGTCATTCTTCAGAGTTTGCCTGTCTCCATAGTGTTTAAGGCTAGAGATAAGAACCTTTCTAAGAAGCTGGGTAGGTGTTTTAGGTTTGAATTGTATGATCCGCTGAAAGTGACATCTGTGCCATGGCATTCTGCACCCACAGAGCCTTACACTTTCGTCCCCTACAGCCTGCAGCATCTGCCCCAGTTTGGGCTGATCATGATCCCCTGGGCCAGTGCAGTAGCCTCTTGACTTGACTTTCACTTCTTGTCCTGCCCTTTGCTACCAGACCAACTGACCCTTCATTTGCTTTGAGACCCTCAAATCCCTCTACCCTGCCCCAATGACCAGGTCCTAATCCAGCTTTTCCCTGACCCCTAATCTTCTCTTTCACACACGGATTTCAGACAAAGTATTGCTTTTTCTCTTATCCGTCTTACACTTGTCTACCCCCATGCCTGTCCCTCTGTCCTCTCCATCCCTGGCAGGCCAGGTCTGGCCCATCTTTCAATCAGAGGCTGCCTCCTTCAGGAATTTTCCTCCACTCCTCCAGCTGGAAGTGCTCTCTTCCACCTCGTGTTCCATAGATTCCATCTCTCTCTGTCTGTGGCACTGACCAATTTTCTCCTTGTTTTATGCATTTTTTCATTCCTTAAATAATGTGTCAATAATTTACCTTTTCACCTTTTGAGAAACTGGAACACTACATATAAAACTTAAGACCCCTTCATCTCCACCCTCAAGCTCTTCTCTGCTCTCCAGACAGAGATAACCACTCTGATGAGTTTGCTGTGTTTTTTTCTGGGTTTAGATCTATGTCTATATACACATATAATTACATATAAACATATACAATTCTGCAACTTGCCTTTAACACAGCATTTTTTTTAATCTATGTTGATACATGTAGATTTAGAGGTTTGCTTTTCATTATTCTGTGGAATTCCATTATATGACAACACTTCACATTTTATTTAGCCAGACCTTTACTTGTCAAAATTCTATTTCCTCTACCTGGAAGATTTTCCTGCTAGCTGGCCCAGCTAATGAACATCCAGGTGTTGCCTCCACTATAAGTCTTTTCTGACTCCCACCCTGGACTGAGTATTTCTGCCCTCCTTTGTCACCACCCCTTCAGCTCATAGTTCTGGGGAGACTGGCATCCAGATTCGTTCCCACTGTCATGTCAAGCAGCTTCTCCTTCCTCACAAGCCCTGGCATCCAATGGCCAAGGCCCTGCAGGCCCAGCTTTCACCCTGCACACTATCAATCAATGTATTTGCCTAGAAAGAACAGCTCTCTCGCTCTCTCTCTCTCTCACTCACTCTCCAAGGAACCCAGGTGCTGACTTTTAAAACAATACATTCGGCAGTTGATACACACTTCTGGATTTTCATGTGAGCTCCTTCAGGGTGCCCATTCATTACTGTGTCTCAGGAACCTGGCAGAGCTTGATACATGGTAGATCCTCAATAAATATATTCTGGATCCATGTGTCTTATTTTTCATATGTGATTTCAATTTCCTTGAGGTCAACATTTGTATCTGATTCATCTGCCACCCTCTCAAAGATCTTGCAAGGGGCTTTATCTACATGTGCTAAATTAATAGTAAATGAATCACAAAACAAGTCAGTCTGGCCATTTCAGACAAAGAACCACTGCCTTCAGAGAAATGAACGGGAAATGAACTGGAAAAATAGCAGTCAGTCTTTGGTATAACCAAGCAAAAAATAATAATAATACTTGCAGAAGAGGAGACAGGAACAAGATCAATGCTGAGCTACCACCCTGTGGTGATGGAAAGGATGCTGCCAGCAGGCTGTGCCTGCCCTGGGCTCCAGATCAGCACCAGATTCTAAACCTGGGCCTCAGCATCTGTCAGTGCTGGGTCCTTCTCCCTGAGTGGGGCCAGGAGCTCAAGGCAGCAATGAGATTTACAAAGACAATTTGAAAGATAGTGCCTGGCCTGAGTTTCTGCTGGTCTGTTCTGTGTCAATATAGGAGTCTTGCGGTGTCTGTGAGGAGTTTCTGAAGCCCTTCTCTTGGCACTATCTTGGCCTTAGCCCTGCCCTGACTTCCCCAGAGAACTTCTCCTAAATCTCAGTGAGGCAAGCACTGGCATTCAGGAGAGCTTCCTGAGAAGGGTCTGTTTGCTCTTTAGGAGCCTTTTTCTACCAGGATCTCATGTACCAAGGTCTCCAGGGCTGTCCAGACCCAAACCTTTGCTCACAGAACCCAGAATGTATCCCCCTGTTTAATACCTTCAGTGACTCCCCATTATCCCTGGGATAAAGTTCTAACTCAAGCTGTTGTTGAGATGGTTTCTGCCTTATCTTTCCTCCTGGTTGTCTACAGTTCATCCACTCCAGATTCACAAAACTACATGGATGCATTATGTTCTCTCTTGATTCAGACCCTTTGCACATGTAGTTCCTTCTACCTGGTACACTTTTCCCCCCTTCTTCCCATGACTTCCTGCATCTCTTCTCTGGTCTCAGCCTCCCTAGAACACTCCCTCCCTCCCCACCTCATCCTCATGCCTGGCAATATGAGATCATCTTAAGATATGATGATCCCATACACCCCATACATCTCCATTGTAACCCAACGAGCGTTATTGCTAATTTAATTGTGCACCCTACAATCTCTGAGGGCAGGAACCATATTTGTCTGGATCACTTTATTATCCCAAGTGCCCAGCACAATGCCTTAAATGCAGTAAGTACTCACTAAAGAGTCAATGAGGAAACAAATGAAAGAATACCTTCTCCTGCCCTATGCCCCTGATCCTACAGTGCCTTCAGGGCCAAGTTTTTCCTCAATTCTTTTGTTGAATAGGAATCCCTGGGGTGCTCTGATTTAGAGTCTTTTCCTTGAGGGTTGTACTATGTTTTAAGAAAATGACTATTCCCAGCTGCATAGGTTAGGTACATAAAATTTGCATATTGCAATAAATATTTGGCCTCATGAATTTCTAGCCTGTTAAATAACAAAACTTAAAATGCTAGGTAAGCATGTAAAAGAAGATAGCATCGTAAATACCAGAAAATTATAGGTTGGTGATTTTTTTTCCTTTGATCTTGTAACTTTTCACCACATGAAAGAGTGGTTGATTCAGAGAGAGTGTTAGATAGAGTTTTTCTTTGACTTCTTTCTTGCTGATCCATTCAGGACAAGGAGTCAAGCGTCTGCTGTGGTAGACACGAACTAGATGGCTGCTCTGTTCACAACAGATCTCCCTTCTCCAGGAATGTCCCCAGACAAAGGAGTGATCATCAGAAACTACACCTGTGCTATATGATAGGGATTGGTGAAGAATAGACTTCTGACTCAAGCAAAGCCAATTGGTCTTTCTTCTGAAATTTGAAATTTAAAACAGTTTTATATTCCCAGAGCCTGGAGTATTGGAGTAGAGTTAACATAACAGTGATCCCTACAGACACGGCTCACAGATCCCACTGGTAAGGTCTCCTGAAATATTTGCCCTGGCTCTTGCCCTTCCTGAAGTCTGAGTTCACTCTTTCCTCACTCCTGTAAGCCATCCCAGGATCTTTTCAATACATTATCTTTTGGGATACACTAATATACCCACAAACTCATGTACCTATTCCAGGATAAAGTTAGGATTTCATTGCTCAAATATTCTCTCACCTTGTGAAGAAAGGTGAGACAAAGTATCACTGCCTTCAGCGAAATGAGTGGGAAGTTAACTGGAAAAATAGCAGTCACTCTTTGGTATAACCAAGCAAAAAAAAATAATAATAATAATTGCAGGAGAGGAGACAGGAGCAAGACCAGTGTTAAGCCGACCAGTGTTGAGTCTCAGCCTGACCTACAGACTTGGGTTGCTGCTGGACTGGTCAGTGGCTACCTCTCATGCAAGACTTCCTGGTACCTGGGAAAGACCAGGAAGTAGTAGGGGCTTCAGCTATCCAGAGCTTAAGGGGAAGGCTTGTTCTACCAGAGAAAGAACATTTGATTTGCCTTTCTGACAATTATTTGGTTCTAAAAGTAGAGGAAACAATGAATACAATTGCTATGTTGAGTTTGCTAATCAGCACGAGAGAGATAAATCACCAGTGGTGAGAAAGTAGCCCATCACGTCAACCACATGAACTAAAGTGATGCCCTAGACTTTAAGAAATTAAACATCTGAATGTTCTGAGGAAAGATAGTCAAGACTATAGAGCCATGCCTTGAAAGGAAATATGGCTCAAGAGGCTTTAAAAATAAAATTCTAACTATAAAATCACAAATGACTCCAAAGTGAAAGAAAAAGAACAGATAACTAGAGAAGCAGCATGGTTTCAGAGGGAACTACCTGATAAGCCTAGATTTTAAATATGAAAGAACATGGTTCCCACCTTCAAGGACATCACAATCTGGTGGAGAAGATAAAACTCTTAACCTAATAATTCAAACCCAAAGGAGAAAGTGCTAAGAAACCCTGGAAGAGAGACAAGCCACAGGCTACTGGGAGTGGCCACCAGCCACTTCTAGCTAGTGGGGGATAATATATTGTCCTGGCCACCATTTGTTTCATATTGACTAGGTCGGGCTCCTTATTACATTGTACAACAGGAAAGGCCTTTGTCTTCTTTATTCTTACATGTCTTTGGGTACTTAGTAATTGCTCAGTAAATAACCTAGTACCTGAGTAGCTGACCCATCACACTCTCATCCCAGTGAAGATTGCTAGCATCGGTAGAACCTTAAGGAACTACCATTTATTTATTGCTTACAACTGCAAGATACCTTGTGGACATTACTTCATTCCATTTATACTATGTCTACCCTTATACTATATCTATGGGTAAATTGTGTTCTTCCCATTTTACAGATGAGAGAACTGTCCTTTGGAAGGGATAAGATGACCTGCCCAAGACCACACAGCTAATAAGGCATGAAATCAGGATTCAAAGTCAGATATGGAAGTCTTTCCATTCTTTCTGCTCTCTGCCTCTTGAAAGAAGTTGAAGAATACAAGTGCAACCCCTCATTTTACATACAGCCAGGAAAATGCGGTTGCCTCATATTGGCTGATTCAAGAGGGTCCTCAGTCCACCAGAGGAACAGAGGGAGAGCCCAGTGCTGGAACTGCAGCTGACTCCTCTGTGCCTCCAGGAGAAGCCCTGGGACACGTCAATTTGAGTCACAGGCAGCTCAAGCTGCACATGCTGAGCAGAGTGGTACCTGGGAATGTGTCCCTCTGTGCCTCCACTTAGGCGAGGCTTTCTAGAAGAAGACCAATGTAAAACTCTAAGTAGGAAGTAGGTTTTACGTTCTTCCAACCTGGGATTATGGCAAATAGCGAGGTACTAACACATTTCTTACAGTGTTCATAGGAAAGCATTACTCAAAAGCTTTCTTGTCAACTTGAAAGGATATTCTTCCCAAAAGATAGAAAACATAAAAACTCAAAATAAAAAGATTGCAAAATCATCAAATTGCTCCATCAACTGATGAATAGTTAAACAAAATGGAGTTGGAGATTCCATTCCAGACAATGGAATACTATCCCATCATAAAAAGGAATAAAATACTGATTCATGTTACAGTATGGATAAACCTTGAAAACATTATGCTAAGGAAAAGAAGCCATACACAAAGGTCACATATTCTATGATTCCATTTCTATGAAGTGTCCAGAATTGCAAATGCCAGCCTTGGGTGGCTAGTGTTTGTCTTGGGTTGGGAAACAGGGAGAGATGGGTCATAGCTAAAGAGCAGAGGGTTTCTTTTTGGGGTGATAAAAAAAAGTTCCAAAATGTATTGTAGTGATGGCTGAAAAATTCTATAAATATACTAAAAACCATTGAATAGTACACTTTGTACACTTTAAGTGGGTGAATTATATGGTATGTTAATTATATGTCAATAAAGCTGTTACCAAAAACCCTTTTAAATCATAGTCTTATTTCATTAACTGAATTTGTTTCCCTTGTTAGCTTTGCCTCTCAGACTGAGCTTTGACAGAAAAAACTTGACAAAACACTGGGCCCTCCTTCTCAGTTCTTCAAGCCCAATTTCACGCAGGAAGTACTGCCTTTATTTTACGCTTATTAGTAATACAGAGAGTTTTCTGTCTTCACCTGGAAGGATGGGTAGCAAGGTGGACCGAATCATTTAGGGCATGCTAGGAGCCCTAATGAAAGGCCGGATTGCCACTAACTACTCAAGGGGGATTGAAAAAGCCCCTGTTTCAACCTCAGCTTGAACAGACCAGAAAGATGAAAAATTGGGAGATCAAATTTTCGATCCACAGGCCTTGAAAACACCAAGTTAATCTCACCGCCATGGCATTCCTTGTTGCTCCTTTCTTTATTAAAGGAGACTTTCTTTCATGTGGTGTTAACTTTAAACACGACTAACAAAGTAATTGCCACTTCTGTATTTAATTTTTTTTGTCCTAGACTACAAAAGACAGCTGAGTTCTCCCTCACGTCATAAATCTTAGGCTTGTTATTGATGAATTACTCCAGCTCTGTGTGTGTATGTGTGTGTGTGCGTGTGTGTGTATGTATGTGTGTTTAAATTTACTACAGCTTACGTCTCAGTAATTCTGTCAACTCCTGGAAGCACTCTGTGAGGTGGTCGCAGCAGTCAAAAGCCAAAGACTTCCCTGGTACTTGTTGGACAACAGCTTTCAAAGCAAGGAAGGAAGAGGTGGTCAGATCCAAGCAATGTGAATAATAAAGCTTTGAAGCTGGGAGGGCGGCACACAGAGGTGATGCATAATTCATCAGGCAAATTAATCAAGTCCCCTTTCCTATGCCCATTGCAATTACTGGGAGCACGCACAGTCGTCATCTTTCTCTCCCTCCCTCCGCCCCTTCCCTGGCACTGGCAGCTCCGGGAGAAGCCCTGGGACACCTCAATTTGAGTCACAGGCAGCTCAAGCTGCACATGCTGTGCGGAGCGGTACCTGGGAACGTGTCCCTCTGTGCCTCCGCTTAGGCGAGGCTTTCTCCGACCAGTGGGGAACCAGGAGAAGCACAAGTGGGGGTTTGGTGTGCAGCAGAGCAGAGAGTGGGGACAATTAGTTTTCTTCATGCTTGGCTGAGCCTTAGTGTAAGGACGGACCAGCTTAGAGGGTGAGACAGATCGCAGATAATAGAAGCTTCATTTCCAACTGACCCTCCAAGCGTTCTGCCAGTCCCAGGAGGAAGGAACAATGCCGACCACCTCAAGAAACGCCAGCGCTGAATGCTGAGGCAAAGCCTGCAACAAAACAGGGAGGGAAAAACAAAAGCAATAGACAGGGCTTTGCCTTGAAATGGTCTCTATTGTCCCCACCAAAAGAGAAAAGAAAATGAAAAAGGCTCCATTGAGGACAGAAAATGAAGTCCCATAATGAAACATATATTTCTCACACAAGCAAGAAGCAGACACACACACTCATACATACGGGCCATTGTGTGGGCAAATTCCTTCTGGACCAGGGATATGTATCTCTGAGAAAAATTTATTTTTGCTTCCAATAGAAGAGCTCTCACTACATGGCCTTCTAGCTGTGGTACGTGTCACCAAAAAGACTCCATGGTATGCGTGACTTGAGATGAATGCTAGGCACCAATGGAAGAAGCAGGCAAAGAAGATTTCACCTCAGAAGTAGGAAAAGAATCACTGCTATCATTTGCGCTTTTGATCTCCTCTTCTTTTATATGTCATAAACCAACCCAAAACTTAATAGCTTAAAACAATATCCGTTGTATTATCTTTCATGGTGTTTGGGGTCAGAATTTTAGGCTCAGCTCTATTGGATCCATGTTGTATCAGCTGAGGTCACCTGATGATACTCAGCTGGCATTTGGGCTGGTTTGGATGGTCCAAGATGTCTTTACTTATTTATCTTGTGCCTAGGAAGAGATGGCTGGAAGGCTGAGCTCAGCTGGGACTGTCGACTAGACCACTTGCTAGCCTCTCCAGCATGGCATCTCCGGGTTCCCAGAGAGAATGTTCTCATAAACAGGAAGTGGCACTGGCCACTTTCTCTCTCTGGGTCTGGAAACTGGCATAGCATTACTTCCAACATTTTCTGTGGGTTGAAGCAGTCATAGAGCCTTCCAGGGGACACAGACCTCACCACCTAATGGTGGAAGAGTTAAGAATATGCAGTCATATAAATCTACAATTATCTCAAAAAATTCATTTAAAATATATGAAGCAAATTATAATATTTAAAAAATAATATGCAATTATCTTTAATCCATCACACATTTCTTCATTATGGGGAGCAGAAAGAGAAAATTAGGTTACAGATGGTCCAGTGTGGAATGTGGCATTTGGGAACATTAGAAGAAGCAAAGAGAATCACTCGTACATTTACTGCCTGACAACCAAAGTCACAAGTTTCTGGAAGGTTAGACTTGGATGAAGCTGAGGAGACATGAGATACATGTGGGGAAGGAGTAGAGGTCTCCAAATCAATTTCCCAAATTCTGCAATTCAATTCCCAAATCTCCAATTCAAGTGGTTTTCTCCCTTTTCTGAACTTGCCATAAAAATCGTGGCAAATTTCTCCAGTGTTTCCTCCAAATGATCATCATTTTTGAATGGCTGCCAGCACAAAAGTATTTATTTCTTCAGTGAATGGATAAACAAATGAATCTAACTTGGCTTCTTGAGGGCAGAAATGTATCTTAAATATCTTTCTATTTATCAGGAGCTATGTAGTGCATGAGGAATGCACAGGTCTGCCGTATGGTTTCTGTGTTTCTTTTTCTTCATTGGTTCTGACTCCTTCGTCCTGACATAATTTATTGGAAGAAATTTCACTGCAGGGTAGCTTGTCTTCTAAAGCCTCGTTTTGTCCACCCATTCTTTCTGGATGTTTTTCTTCCACTTCATGGGATAACTTTCTCTTCTTTAGGTTTAACACTTTGAGGAAGTAGTTGAATATTCCCTGTTTGCAAGACTTGGTTTCATGAGAATCTTGGAGGTTTCTAGTCCCCATTCAGTTGTGAGAGGCTGGGCAGGGACTCTGATGACACAGCCACAGGGGAGGGCCTAACGCCAGAGCTGGGAAATTCACCCCTTTTGTTAGTGCTTTGCATCTGTCAAATGCCAATTCAGACTCCCACCAACAGGCACATTTAAAAGGATACATGTTCAGGAAATTTGTTATCCATGCCATTTCAGTGAGAACCAATTCTATTAACTCCTCCGAAGCCCGTGCTTTATGACTGGGCTTTCAGAAGGGAGTCTTGAATAAACTTTTCAGTGATTTCACAACACTTCCATTATGGCTGTTCCATTATGAAGCAGATGAACATTTTCTTGAACAATTAGACGGGGTTGTGTAGAATAAAGAGTGAGGTTTGCCTGAGATCACAGAAACCTATCTGCTTAGGGTGATTCATTTTCTTCCAACAAGGCAGCCAATAATAAGCTTTTCTTCT
This sequence comes from Homo sapiens, assembly GCF_000001405.40. Classification (NCBI taxonomy): domain Eukaryota; kingdom Metazoa; phylum Chordata; class Mammalia; order Primates; family Hominidae; genus Homo; species Homo sapiens. The sequence goes on from NC_000003.12 coordinate 137,855,069, forward strand.
GGAGCCTTGTCTTGCTTCCCATTTCAATTAGTGACAATCACTGGAGAATGGGAGGAATGTCTTCTTCATGTCCTTGTGCTGCAAACAAGGCTGGCCAATGACAAACAATGAGGGAGGGAGGGTAAAGCAGAGTGGGGGCAGCAGAGGAACTGCAGGAAAACCAGCCTGCTTTCCCAGGAAGACTGCAGCACAGGCTGGAGTCTGGAGGAACCAGGTGGCAGAGCTAGGATGGAGAAGAAAGATTTTCGACTTGGATCTAAATGCAGCAGGGGACCAGGTCGCTGCAGAGAGAGTGGCAGGTGCAGCGTGATGCCGAGCATCACTGCCTCGCTCCATATCTGAGGCAGGTCCGATCCTCGGGCCTTGCCCCTGGTATTTGGGGCAGAGCAAACTGTCACACTTTCTATGAGACATTTGTACACGTATGTTTCTTGACATAGTTCTGCCGCGTTGCTGATTGGACATAGAGAGTTTCATTGTTTTCCTCCCACTAGGTGTGTCAACTGATGGCTCTTTTAGAGGCAATGTGAAGATGAGAGAAATCCAATATCAAATTCATTCATTCATTTATTCATTCTGAATAATGAATGAGGGCTTACTGGGCATATACCGCATACAGTGATTTGCAGGTGTCTCCACTTCAGGCACATGCACTAGAGAGGCAAGCTTTTCACTTTTTTGTGTCTGTTCCCTCCTCCATCACACTTCTCTTGTCCTCCCTCTCTACATGCAATTCTTATCTGGCAAATATTAAGAGCTCACTTCTCCATTCCAGACCCTGTTTATGTTCCTGCAATACAAGAGTGACCAGATCACAGCCCCTGCATTAAATTCTAAGAGCTACTGTTACAAAGTACCACAAACTTGGTGGCTTAAAACAACAGAAATTTATTCTCTCATAGTTCTGGAGGCCAGAAGTCCGAAATCAAGGTGTCAGCAGGGCCATGCTCTTGCCAAAGGCTCTGGGTGAAAAAGGTGAGGATCTTTCCTTGCCTCTTTCTGGCTTCTGGTGTTTGCCAGCAATCTTTGATGTTCCTTGACTTGTAGATGCATCACTCCAGTCTCTGCCTCTGTCATCACAGGGCATTCTCCTTGTGTCTCTTCATATCATCTTCCCTCTGTGTATGTCACTTTCTGTCTCTTCTTTTCTTCTTTTAAAGACACCAGTCACATTGGATTAAGGGTCCACTCTAGTCCACTCTAAGGTGGTCTTACCTTAACTAATTACACCTGCAAAAATCCTATTTCCAAATAAGATTGCATTCTCAGGTTCCAGAAGGGAATGAATCTTCAGAGACGCTATTCCACCCAGTACACCGCTCTTCTGGAGCTCAGAACCTAAGGGGGAAGAAACTCAAGTAAAAAGTAATTGCAGCTTTGAATGATAAGCAATACAAGGAAAGTCTGCACAAGACCCAAAGGGAGACACAAATAAAGAAGACATCAGTTCTGAAAGTTGGTCTGGAAATTGAGTGAACTTAAAGGGAAAGATAGGGATGGCCCAAACCCAGGGTGTTAAATTCCCAGCCAGCTGCCCATCACCCCTGAAGATCTTAAGGGAGCAATGCAGGAGACATAATTTTTTTTTTATTTTACTTTTAAGTTCTGGGATACATGAGCAGAAAGTACAGATTTATTACATAAGTATACATGTGCCATGGTGGTTTGCTGCACTCAGCAACCCATCATCTACATTAGGTATTTCTCTTAATGCTCTCCCTCCCGTAGCCCCCTGCCCCCCGACAGGACCCAGTGTGTGATGTTCCCCTCCCTGTATCAATGTGTTCTCATTGTTCAACTTCCACTTATGAGTGAGAACATGCAGTGTTTGGTTTTCTTTTCCTGTGTTAGTTTGCTGAGAATGATGGTTTCCAGCTTCATCCATGTCCCTGCAAAGGACATGAACTCATCCTTTTTTTATGGCTGCATAGTATTCCATGGTGTATATGTGCCACATTTTCTTTATCCAGTATATCATTGATGGGCATTTGGGTTGGTTCCAAATCTTTGCTATTGTGAACAGTGCTGCTATAAACATACGTGTGCATGGAGACACAATTTTTATTTTTGTTTTGTGGAAGGGCAAACCTGTGAGCTGGGCCAGACTGTGGGTGACTTACCACACTGCCTTTGTGTGGGCCAAAGAAGCCAGGTGGCCTCCCTAGCTTCTTGTTCCCCAGTGCACTCCCAGGACTTGGCCTCCACAGGGGACCCCTTCATGGCAAGATGAAACAAAGTAGATGAAATGCAAGGAGAAAAGGTGGGATCTCATGGAGGTCCATTTATTGCAGAGCCTCATAAAGAGGCAAACCATACAATGACTTGGGGTTTTAGCCTCTTCCTAATTTCCAGCCCCTAGCAGTACCCTTGGCCCTCTCTCCCAGTGCTCTTCCTCTTCCTCTGGGGTGCAAAACAGTAGCAGAAATTTTAGGGTTTCCCCAGATATCAACAAGTAAAATAAGAAAAGAAGGAGATGTTTGAGTTGAATTGTTTGAGCTCTTTTATGAAATGAGAAGAGGATTGAGAGGCAGGATTGGAGAACCTAAGATGCAAAGGCAAAGAGTCACAGCATAGCCACTGGCATGACCGCCAACACCCCAATATGCATACATTTCTGTACTATAATTTTGGCTGGAAAAGGCTTCTCAGATGTATAGGTGACTTTGGGCCTGATCCAAGCCACCACACTATTCTCAGCATCTTATGCTAAGCAGATAGGTGTCTGGGATACTATAAAATCCTTTCAGCAAGGATATTTTATTCTTGGGAACTGTTGGGATATATGAAAAAAGATAAAAAAAGAGTCTACCAAAGTTAGATCTTATTTTAAAACCTGCACCTAACTGTTGATAGGTCCCAGAATCATCCAGGATAGTATAAGTATCATAAAGTATTTAGTGTTTAGTGATGGGATCAGGATTCAGCCTAATCAAGTTGGATACATAGTGTTCAATAATGTGCTGAATGTGGAAAGTTAGTTGCTTAGGCAATGGTTCTCACTCTCTGCAGGGCCAAATAGGTTTTTTGTTTGTTTGTTTTGTTGTTTTGTTTTGTTTTCCCCACTCCCTTCCATTCTGAAGAAATGGTCTAACTGTGTAAGACCATACAAGGATGTCATACCAAGGACAAGGGTAAGCCTGGACCGGGAGCAGAAGAGGGATGGATTGCAATATCTAATCTGTAAGCACATCTCTGGCATATATTACTATCTAATAAATAGTTGGACTTGATCTTCACCTTGAGTCATATTACAAAGGGATTCATCCTATTACCTTACACTCTAGGAAAGGGGGAATGCCTCGACCTCCCTGGGAGAAAATATATATATATAATTCCTATTCTCTCCCACACAGGGAGTAAAGAGGACTGGAACATCTCAGTTAACACCAACGTTAACACCATGTTAAATTAGCCACATTAAGAGATGTCTTCATCCAGACCATCATGAGGTAATTGAGCTGCTTGATGGACTTCTCAGATCCTTCTGTGATGAGCTGACACCTGCTCCCCAGTGGTGGAAACGCAGCTCTGCTCACATCCCACGGGTATCACCACCCCTTCCCCAGTGATGCTGGGTTTTTGTTGTTTGTTTGTTTGGTTGGTTGGTTGGTTGATTGGTTGGTTTTTTGATGTTTTTATTTTTTTTTTCCAGCTTCACTGGATCTTTTGGACTCAAATGCTGCTGCATCTGGATCTGAGCTCACAGAAGGGGATTGCTGCTTCTACATGATGAGGTGAAAGGTGCTCCATCTCTAGGCTGGGCAAATTTTCTTTTGCTCCACCCAAGGGGTAGCCTCCACCTCTTTCTACTCATCCTTACCACCTTCATGCTAGGAGATGGTGGGATCCCTTTGAGGTCCATTTGGAATACTGCCTGTTGTCCTATGTCCTTTGTGTGAATACCAGTGTGCTAGGACAGAGTGGAAGCCCTTGACCAAGTTCTCATAGGTTCAGTGTTACCCTATAGCACTGAGACAGACATACCTCAGCCTCAGAGCATTTCTCAAACTGGCAGGAGTACTGAGTGGTGCATTTTAAATGCAGGGTTCCTGAAAGCTACGCTATCTCATTTGAAATGAGGCCTGTGTCTGGCCTACATGTCCTAGGACCACACATGAGGTCTCAGGGAGTTCCTTTTTTTTTTTTTTTTTTTTTTTTTTTTTGAGACGGAGTTTCATTCTTGTCACACAGGCTGGTGTGCAGTGGCGTGATCTTGGCTCACTGCAAACTCCATCTCCTGGGTTCAAGTGATTCTCCTACCTCAGCCTCCAGAGTATCTGGGATTACAAGAGCTCGCCACCACGCCCAGCTAATTTTTGTATTTTTAGTAGAGATGGGGTTTCCCCATGTTGGCCAGGCTTGTCTGGAACTCCTGACCTCAGGTGATCTGCCCACCTCAGCCTCCCAAAGTGCTGGGATTACAGGCATGAGCCACCGCACCCAGCCTGGGAGTTCTTAATCATACCATGTTATGCTGGGATGCCCCAGTAGCCCATTTGTAATAGCTCCTGGAGAATATTCCTCAGTTTAGCAGTCTATGAGATAAGGCTACACTTTCTGCTCCTTTGTCTGCAGCAAAACAGAAAACAGAGGCCCACAGGTAGCCTGGCTTTGGTCTCAAAAGCAAGAATTGGGAGTGAAGAAAGTGGTGTAATTCCCATTTGAGGACCCATGTATTGCCTCCATGGGATTATACGTTTCTTTGGGATAATAGAGAGTAATTATAAGCTGTTTGACCTTCAGCGAGGAAATTTTTCATAATAACCAAGTCTCCAAGTCCTCCTTTGATTAGACTGAATCTGATCAGAGAAGAATTTTTCCCCTAATATCTATGCAATAATAGACACTTGCTCATCCCTGATAGGACATGCTTAGAATTCATGACTACAGGATTTGTCACCACAAAATCTGTAGTTTCAACTGTCAGGTTGTAGAGACAAAAAGTTGATGTATACTAATTGTTGTCCTTCACTGGTCTGAGTGGTCTGAGTTTTCAATCTCCCCCTGTCCTATCTTTGACAGTAGGTTTCCACTGCATATATATTGGGCAGGGGTGTCATAATTCCTCTAAATATACTTTGGGCCACAGGAATGGAGCTGCATTTATTTATAGCTACTTCTGCTTCTCTTATATCTGAGATCTTCATGCCCCACTTAGCACCGTAAGGTGATCTTTCCCAGAACAATAGTACCTACACTCATAACCTCACCCACAGCCCCAGTGATGCACATTTGCATATAATGTACTTGTCAATTATCTCCTTTTTTTCTAACAGGTGCAGCTGAAGTTCTTATCTTGGGTGGGGTTGAGAAGGGACAGGTACAAAGCAAGCATTGACCCCAGGGTCATTTAAGACTTTCTTTTTTCCATATATGTCCACTCATGTATAGTACACAATCTACCATCTTTACTTTTGTGTTTTTTAGGACACTACTGACTGCTATGGTCTGAATGTTTGCATCCTCCTCAAATTCATGTTGAAACCTAATCCCCAATGTGATGGCATTTGGAGTGGGGCCATTGGGAAGTGATTAGGTCGTGGGGGTGAAGCCCTCATGAATGGCATTAGTGCCATGGGATTTGAGGCTGAAGAGATCAAAGTCCTTGTGTTTTGTCATGTGAAGTTACAATGAGAAGATGTCCCTGTATGAAAGAAGTGGACATTCACTACACATCATATCTGCTGGTGCCTTGATCTTGGCCTTCCCGGCCTCTAGAACTATGAAAAATAAATTTTTGTTGTTTCAACTATCCAGTTTATGGTATTTTGTTATAGCAGCCTAAATAGGCTAAGATACTGATTCACTGAAAAAGACTGTTTTTCATTAGGCTTCCTATGTTGTGATCCCCATACTTACAAGATTGAAAAGTTTAGATCCTGCTTATAGAGTTATGGCAGAGTTTTTCTGTAACTCCATCATAACCTATAGCCTATAGTTCTATAGAGCAGATATACTGCTCCACAAATGAGTGATCATTTGGGCAATTTTGCAGATCTTATGATTTCCCTTTCTATGGATCTCAGCCTCTTGAAATCGTCCCACTGACCTTTCTCACAAGCTTCAATCCTACCCCGGAGTTGGAACCTAAGACTGACAGTTATTTGTTTTATGGCTGCTGGAAAGAACCTCTGGAAGTGATGAAGGGTGTTGGCCAGGCCCCTTCCCTTGCCAATCCCCAGGCTCTTGAGTCTTTCAAATGCACCAACCTCTCTGCAGCTAAGCCCTTACTGATAAAGAATACAGAAATCACTGTCCACTAGACCTCCCATCCAATGCTGCCTTGCAGCGTGCAATTTTCTGCTGATAAGTGAGGCGCTGTTATCAGTCCACATTCAGAATGCTACTCCATGCTTACTTCTTAAATGTATTCTCAATAGCCCACTTCAGCTCTAGAAACTGCAGATATAAGTAGAGTATCAGGCCTCACTGTCAGAAAGAATGCAAAAGGTTCGCTTTCTACAGTTTTCCTGGCACAACCTTCTACTCACAACCACCCATCAACCTTCCAAACCAGCTTGTATGTGATTAGAAAGGATATTGGGGTCAGCTGAAGGCACAGCAGGAGTGGAATGGCCATTCCACTCAGGTTGGCATGCTGATCACCTCTCACCAAACAGTTCAGGGCCTAGGCCAAACCCTTCTCTTTCAGAGCCTAAGACTGCCCACCCAGGCCATCCGTGCTCAGAAAACCTGAAGTTAAATTAGTAAGGAGTTTGACAAATTACTCATTATAACCATCAAACCCCAAACTCTCCTTAGTTTTCTAGGATGGAAGGTGAGAGCTCAGATCTTAGCCCCACTTATATGAGGACTCACAGCAGAACAGACAGCAGCAAAGAAACAAGGTAAGTCATCAGCAACAAACAGTTGGTTCTCATAACCCCTCAAATCCTTGCAACACAATCATGCCCTTCAGAGACATAAGTGCTTCCAAGGGGCTCTTAATCCCAGCTACCATCTCCAACTTCAGTCCACTCACTTGCTGTACCTACACCGGGCTCTTTTTTATCCAAGATCATGTTCTTTCCTTTCTACTTTCTTTGCACTTGCTGTTCCCCCTTCCTGAATAATTTGTCCCTGTGTCTTCTCATTGCTGGCTCTTTCTATCCCTCAGGTCTCAGGGCTCCTCAGAGTCTCTTTTTCCTGTCCCTACTTAAAGTAGCTCCTCGCTCCCACCTGCTTCCAATTTTTTCACCCTGATCATTTATATTTATACACTTGAAGATATTATCTGCTTCTGCTGAGTCTCTAGAACCCTCTCACCTCCCACAATGAAATGTTCCTAAGTATGTTTTGGGCTGTGGTTTCTCCATCAAATTCCATCTGCTTTCTGATTGCAACTATTCCTTCTACATTCTGGTAAATTAACATAGCCTTTTCTTGTTTTCCAGAACGGTTATGAGTTTTTAAAGTATTTTTCTGCCATTTATATGGTTTTATGATGAGAAAAAAGGCCAAAATATGTGTTTAGTATGCTATCTTGATCCAATCTCTTCTCTCCAATTTCTACATGCAGGAAATGAGGTTCAGAGAAGCTAAGTAACTTTCCAGTTCACACAAGCTAGGAAGTATGGCAGAGCTAACGTGTATCATGATGATAATGAATATCCCCTGGGATTGGCATAATAATGAGGGTACCGCAGAAGGGGAATAAGTCTTTATTTATACATTTACCTAGAGTCATCCCTAACTTCAAATTATCAGGTCTATCTGGATTTTTGGTCCAAGAAAATTAGACATGGATCTCATAGGTATAGCAAGTGATACAGATGGGAGGCAGGGAAATACTGGATAGAAGAGGGCAGTTCCCAGGCAAAGGCCTGACCCTCAAGCCTGGAAGCCACAGCTTGTCCTAAATAAGAACAATTATTCCTGTTTTCCCACCCAAACGTTGGTTTTTCCAAAACCACCCTGGCCCACCACACCCCCCAACCTGTATCCATAAAAACCCCAAACTTCACCAGCAGAAGAGCAGAGTGGCGTGGCAGAGAACGAGTGAGGAGAAGAAGCAACAGAGTGATGGAGACTATGGATATGCATGCTTAATCTCAGATGGCACAACTTTGGAGAGGAGCCCTGCGGGAGACAGCAAGGCTTCAGGGAATGATCATCTTCTTCTCGCATCATCCCCCTCCCAGCTCCTCTTTGTGAGAGCCACCTCCATCACTCAATAAAACCTCCTCATTCACCATCCTTCAAGTCCATGTGACCTGATCCTTCCTGGACACCAGACAAGGACCCAGGTATCAAGAGGGCAGGATGTAAAAGGCTGTCACCCTGACTCTCCACTGAACTGGTTAACACTTAGCCATCCACAGATGGCAAACACTAAAAGAGCATTGTTTGTAGCACACACTCTCTGGGGCTCCAGAGGTCTTGGGCAACCACTAGATGCTGCCACAGGCTGGTAAAGGGTTCATTCCTGCTGGTGCCTAAAGGCACTCACCCCAGCTCCTGCACCTGCTCACCTAAGTGCTCCCCCTCCCACAAGGGGTTTGAGCTCAGTGGCCAAGCAAAATGAGCCATCCCCCCGCTCTCCCTTCACAAATCCCACAAGAGGGTCAGGGAACTGCCCCATCTCACAAGGAGGTTCAATAGTTCCAATATTTCTTTTATAGAATATTCAGTCTATTTCATTAAAAATCGTTCCTCTTACAGGGATTATTCAAGTCTAAAGACCAGCTTTGCACATGTCAGCATTGCATACTATATTATGAGGCAGCAGAGGATAGAAAAGATCACTGACTTTGGAATTAAACAGGCCCAGTTTTTACTAGTTCTCTGATCTTGCATTTTGTAAAATGAGGACTTTAATTGCAATTCTTCGTGGTTAGAAGCAATACATGATAAGCTGTCATTAATTAGTAGTTGCTGTGAGTATTAATGGGATAGTCTCTTGATAAAACAATATAATACATATATATTTAGTTTAAGCAAGATTTCTGACCACCTTAAATTTTATTTTGGAACTTTTATTCAAAAGATTATTTTGATTTCTGTACTTTTCCCATAAAACCCCAGCTTCAGTTATCCTTGCCTTTTGATCTATGCTCTGTTTCTGCTACCCTCAAAACTTGTGTCTCTTGCCCCTTGGAGGCTGAGAATTCTCTCCATGTAAGCTAGATAATAACAGCGGGTTTTCCCAAATCAATTCATAAACTTTAGTTAATCGTTGCTGATTCTAAGGAAATAAGAAGAAATCTTTTTACCCAAACAAAATGTACCATAAACAAGGTTTGCCTACATTCCGCACAGTAATGCATTACAAAGAACTGAATACATGAAGCTGCTAAAGAAAGGGAAGCTATGGAGAATGTTTTCATGAGAAGAAATGGCAAAACTTATGGGGGATATTGAGAATGTAAGTCCTTGAACGGAGACTGATTGGAAAAAAAAATTATGAAAAGATTGTCTGCCTGAATAATAGAGTAACTAGCGACCTTGAACACAGAAGGAATGTAGAATAGAAGAGAAACAATGAAGTCTTTTTAGAACAGAGAATAATACTCATAAGAGGCAATTTTTAAATGAAAGACAGAATGCTCTATAATAGAAATACTGGAGGTCTGAACCACCTTGTAATTCATAGAGAGGGGAACACCAGTGGCCTTGCTTAGAAACCCACAGCTAAGAGAAGGGAGAGCAGCTTGAAATAAAATTATTGATTTCCTTGGAATGAGGCCAGTATGACATCCTCTTGTAAGGCTTGGCTGGATTCTTACAGGATCACTTTGAACAATGAAATCTAATGAATATGCAAAAACAAAAGCCAAGGCACATCTGGTTGCACCAACAAGATGTAGAGTAGTTTGCTTTTTAAAACAAAACACCCTGTTTTCCTTCCTTTTATACACTTTGTAATATTTTCCCTAATGAAAAAAGAAGTTTTCATCAAATTTCAGGCAAAAACAATTTATCATGAAATATTATAGAGCTTTGGTGGTAAAAAGATAACCATTAAGTGATATGAGGGGGGGAAATGATGATTTTTAGGCCTCTCTTCAAATATAGTTTGGAAAGCTATAGTGGCCTTTTATTATTTCTGGCTACCCAGCATCTCTCCTCTCCCTTGAGGTATTATGTGCCTCTTCTGGGTATCCCCACCTTTGGGGAACTGCTCCTGCCCCTTTTCACAGGTTCTGGTGGAATTGCCAAGCAAGAGACTCCATTCAGTGGCTTCCCATGTGCCTCTCTTTTCTGAGTTGGAGGTGATTGTTGTAACTTCATGTGGCAGAGGGGCCAAAGGAGATCTCTCAGGCCTCTTTTGTAAGGGCACTAATCCCATTCACAAGGGCTCCACCCTCACAACCTAATCACCTTCCAAAGACCCACCCCCTATTACCATTACTTTACAGGGTAAGATTTCAACAAATGAATTTGGAGGGGAGGACACAAATATTCAAACCACAGCACTGCACCCCTAGTCTCCCAAATTTCAATTCCCTCTCTCATACAAAATACATTTGTTTCATCCCAGTAGTCCGAAAAGTCTTAACTCATTTCAACACCAATGTGAAAATCTAAAGTTTCATTTAAATATCATGCTAATCAGATATGGGTGATATTCAAAATTTGATTCATTCTGAGGCAAATTGCTCTCTAGCTGTGAACTTGTGAAACCAAACAAGTTATGTGCTCCCAAAATGCAATGATGGGACAGGACAGGCACAGGACAGACATTCCCATTCCAAAAGAAAGACATAGGAAGGAAGAAAAAAGAGGCAGGTCTCGATCAAGTCTAAAGCTTTAAACCTGGAGAATAATCTTTTTTGACCTGATATTTTGCCCTCCAGGCTCACTGCGACAAAGGTCCTGCCATTAAGATGGAGGAAGAACCCTCACTTAGGGGATTGCAGGTCCCCCCAAGCATGGAAATAAAGGAAAATCTTGAGTGCCTTCAAGAGAAATCCCAAGTACCTAGCTATCCCTGAAAAGTAAATAAGTAACTTGATAAGCAAGAATGTAATAGTAGCTTAAAACAATAGCCCAGGAAGCTGGAATCATAGGATGTTTGGTTCCTCATAGAAACTAAAGATAACATCTTAACACATGTCTCTGTGTTGTTTTTCAGAAACCCATAACTCCACCAAATGGATCCACTGGCATGTAGATCTCAGATAAGGGGGAACTGCGGACTGAACTCTGACCACCATTCTTTATTCTAAAGTTCTTCCTGAAGGGCCTGGAGGAGGTCACGCTCATGAGCCAGAGCTAACAGTCTTTTCTCCTGACCTCAACATTTTTAACAAAGCTTCTCTTCCTTAACCAATTGCAAATCAGAAAATCTTTGACTCTACATAGACTATGACCTAGAAGCCCCCACTTCAAGATATCCTGCCTTCGTGTAACCTCTCAAAACTAATTTGTAGCCTCCATGTATTGATTTAGGATTTTGCTTGTAACTTCTGCCTTCCTGAAATTTATCCCTACCTTGAAAAAATCCTACCTTCAAGCAATCTGGGAAGTCAAGACTTGAGCATTAGCTGCCTGATCCTTCTTGCTTGGTGCCCTGCAAAGAAAGGCCTTGCTTTCTCCCACTGCAAATTTTGGTGTGGATATCTGGCCTTACTAAACACAGTGAGTGGACCTTAGTTTGGTTTGATAACATCTTCCCTACCCACTGGGCCAGTGGTCCTGCCTCCACAGATTTGGGCAGTCTCTCCCTGATGGCTTTGCTGGGAATAGCCAGTCCAAGGCACTCACAGGTTGGAGTTGTGTGCTTTCAGCTCTTCTGAGCTGGAATCACACAGGTGGCTCTACCATCTGGGGTCTCAGAGGTGACCCTGCCCCCATGGAAGCTCTCTGCTTCATCCCCAGCTCTCTGGAACATACTTTGGAATCTAGATGGAGGCAGCCATACCTCCGAAGCTTTGCTGGGTGCAGCACTTGCTGCACTTCAGGCCGCCAAGCAGCATGGCAACCCAGCGCAGTGAGAGAAGCCTGAGATGTGAGGTAACACAGGCACCAGGGATTCCCCACCCTTGATATTGCTCCAGCCCCAGGCCCTGGCACTCTAGGCCTATGATAGGAGGGGCAATCCCAGTGATCTCTGAAATGCCTTTGGGGACATTCTTGCATTGTCTTAGGAATATGTTCTGACTTCTGTTTAGACAGCTCACTAATCTCCCCATTGTCTTGATAAATAGCACCTGGCTTCCACTGAAATGCCTGATGTATCAATCACTTGGCCACACCCTTGTTGTCTTCCAAACAGGTTTTCTCATTTTTTCCGATAGAGATAGGCTGAGATTTTTCACAATTGTTAAGTTCTGCTTCCTTTTCATTAACAATTGTAGCTTCAAATCATTTCTCTCTTCTTGCATTTTATTATAGGAAGTCAAGAGAAACCACACCATACCTTCAACACTTTGCTTAGCAATTTCCTCAGCCAAATATCCAATTTCATTGCTCACAAATTAAATCTTCCTCAAAATAATAGAACACAAAACAATTTAGCCATGTTCTTTGCCACTTTATTAAAAAGATAGTTTTTCTTCCACTGTCCAATATCATATTCCTCATTTCTGTCTTTCACCTCACCAGAATGACCTTTATCATCCATATTTTAATTAACATTCTGTTTATGACTGCTTAGGTATTCTCTAATAAGACTGAGGCTTTCTCTATAGTTTGCCTCTTCTCCTTCTGGGCACTCACCATAATCACCCTTACAATCTATGCACGTCAATGCAGACTTATTCTAGCACACACTTTAAAATTCCTGCAGCCTGTACCCATGACCCAGTTCCAAAGCTGTTTCCACATTTTAGGAATCTGTTACAACAGCACTCCCACTTCTCAGTACCAATTTTCTGTCTTTGTCCATTCAGGTTGCTATGACAAAATACCATGAACTGAGTGGTGGCTTTACCCGATCAGTTTTTCAAAAAGGATCCTAATGATTTTTTTTTTTTAAGGCAACAGACCCATGCTTGAGAGAGGTGGAGCAAGATGGTGGAATAGAAGGCTCCACCAAAGTCCCCGCTACAAGGACACCAATTTACCAACTATCTATAGTGAAAAAAACACCTTCATAATAACCAAAAATTAGGTGAGCCCTCATAGTACCTGGTTTTAAGTTCATATCACTGAAATAGGCACAGAAGAGAAAGATGAAACAGTCCTGAATCCCTGATGCCACCCCTCCCTGACCCCCAGCAGCAGCAGCATGGTGCAGGGAGCATCTCTAGGTGCTGGGGGAGGGAGAACACAGCCATTGTGAGGCATTGAACTCAGTGCTGTCCTGTTAGAGCAGAAAGGAAAACCAGACCAAACTCAGCTGATGCCTGCTCATGGAGGGAGCCTTTAAAGGAGCCCTAGCCAGAGAGGAATCACACATCCCAGCTAACAGAACTTGAGTTCCTGCAACCCTCACCACTGAGGGCTGCAGCACTCTGTGTCTCCAAGTAAACTTGAAAGGTCATCCAGGCCATAAGGATTGCAACTCGTAGGTGAGTCCTAATGCTGAACTAGGCCCAGAGACAGTGCCTGAAGGAGGGAAGGGTGACATTTACCCACTCCCCATTCCCAGGCTGCACCACTTGCAGCTCCAAAAGAGACCCCTTCCATCCACTTGAGAAGAGGAGAGGGAAGAGTGGAGAAGGCTTTGTCTTGTGTCTTGGATACCAGCTCAGTCACAGCAGGATAGAGTACTCATCAGAGTTTTGAGGCTCCCCTTCCAGGCTCTAGTTCCCATACAATGTTTCTAGACACACCCTGGGCCAGAAGAAAGGCCACTGTCTTGAAGGAAAGGACTTGGTCCTTGAAACCTTTATCTTCTGCTCACCAAAGAGCCCTTGGGCCCTGAATAATCAGCAGGAATACCCAGGTAATATGTCAAGGGCCTTGGGTGAGGCTCTGAGACTTGCTGGCTTCAGGTAACAGCATGGCACAGGAGGGTAGGGCACTAAGTGAGCTTTTAGGATGTCTGATTCCAGGACTTGACACAGATGGCATTTCTGGACCTGCTGGGGCCTAGAAGGGAGCCCACTGCCCTGAAGGGTGAGTCCAGGTAACATTTACCACAGGCTGACGTAAGAGCCCTTGGGCCAGAAGGGAACATCGGCAGTAGCCTGGCAGTACTCCTTATGGCCTGAGGTGGCAGTGGCCATGGGGTGAGGCACCTTTGCCTTTGGGAAAGGGAAGGAAGGGTGGGAAGAACTGCATCTTGTGGTTTGAGTGCCAGCTCAGCTGCAGTTACAATAGAACGCCAGGTAGACGTCTTAAGGTATTTGATTCTAGTCCCTGACTCCCAGACAGCACATCTAGACCCAGCCAGGACCTCGCTACCCTGAAGGGAAGGACACAGGCCTGGTTGGTTTTGCTACCTGCTGACTGTAGAGCCTCAGGGCCTTGAGAAAACATATGCAGTACCCAGGGAGTGGTTATAGCACACCTTAGGCAAGACCTAGTACTGTGCTGGCTTCAGGTCTGACCTAGCACAGTCATAGTGGTGGTGGCCACAGGGGTGCTGTGTCACTCCACCCCCCAGCTTTAGGTGGCTCAGAACAGAGACAGAGACTCTGTTTGTTTGGGAGAAAGTAAAAGAAGAGAACAAGACTCTTTGCCTAGTAATCCAGAGAATTCTTCTGAATCTTGTCCAAGACTATCAAGGGGATACCGCTACAAGTCTGCAAGAAACACAGTATTACTGGGTTTGGAGTTTCCCCTAAGGCAGATACAGCTTAAATCACAACACCCAAGTCTTCAAATACCTGAAAATCCTCCCAAGGAGGACAAATACAAATATGCTCAGACAGTGAAGACTACCATAAATACCTAACTCTTCAATGCCAAGACACCAAAGAACACCTACTAGAATCAACACCATCCAGGAAAACACGACCTCATCAAATGAGCTAAATGAGGCACCAGGGATCACTCCTGGAGAAACAGAGATATGTGACCTTTCAGACAGAGAATTCAAAGTAGCTGTGTTGAGAGAGCTCAAAGAAATTCAAGATAACAGAGAAGAAATTCAGAATTCTACCAGATAAATTTATCAAAGAGATTGAAATAATTAAAAAGAATCAATCAGAAATTCTGGAGCTGAAAAACCCAACTGCTGTACTGAAGAATGCATCAGAGTCCCTTAATAGCAGAATGGATCGAGTAGAAAAGAAGAATTAGTGAGCTTGAAGACAGGCTTTTTGAAAATACACAGTCAGAGGAGACAAATGAAAAAGGAATTTAAAAAAAATGAAGTACACCTACAGGATCTAGAATATAGCCTCAAAAGGGAAAATCTAACAGTTATTGGCCTTAAAGAGGAGGTAAAGAGAGAAATAGGAGTAGAAAGATTATTAACAGAGAACTTCCCAAACCTAAAGAAAGATGTCAATATCCAAATACAAGATGGTTATAGAATGCCAAGCAGATTTAACCCAAAGAAGACTACCTCAAGACATTTAATAATCAAACTTTACCCAAAGGTAAAGGATCTTAAAAAGCAGCAAGAGAGAAGAAAGAAATAACATACAATGGAGCTCCAATACATCTGGCAGTAAACTTTTCAGTGGAAAACTTACAGGCCAGGAGTGAGTGGCATGACATATTTAAAGTGCTGAAGGAAAAAGGCTTTTACCCTGGAATAGTATATCTAGCAAATATATCCTTCAAACATGAAGGATAAAGACTTTTCCAGGCAAATGAAAGCTGAGGAATTTTATGAACACCAGACCTGTCCTACAAGAAAGCTAAACAGAGTACTTCAATCAGAAAGAAAAGGACATTAATGAGCAATAAGTAGTCACCTAAAGGTACAAAACTCACTGGTAATAGTAAGTACACAGAGAAAAAATTATAACACTTTAACTATGGTGTGTAAACTACTCTTATCTTAAGTAGAAAGACTAAATGATGAACCAATCAAAAATAATTATTGCAACTTTTCCAGATATACTCAGTACAAAAATATATAAATAGAAAAAACCAAAAAGTTAAAAAGTGGGGGATAAAGGCTTAGAGTTTTTATTAGTTTTCTTTTTGCTCATTTGTTTGTTTATGTAAAAGTGTTAAATTGTTATCAGTTTGAAATAATGGGTTATAAGATAGTATTTGTAAGCATCATGGCAACCTCAATCCAAAAAACAGGCAATGGAGACATACAAAAAAAGCAAGAAACAAAATCATACCACCAGAGAAAAATTATCTTCACTAAAGGAAGTCAGAAGAAGAAAGGAAGAGAAGACCAGAAAACAACCAGAACATAAATAGCAAAATGACAGGAGTAAGTCCTTACTTACCAACAATAACATTGAATATAAATGTCTCCAATCAAAAGACATAGAGTGGTTGAATGGATGAAAAAGCAAAACCCATTGATCTGTTGCCTACAAGAAACACACTTCACCTATAAAGATACACATAGAATGAAAATAAAGGGATTAAAAAAGATATGCAAATGAAACAAGAAAGAGCAAGAGTACCTATATCATGAAAAGTTTCTTTAAAACTGTTGATATGGCTTGGCTCTGCATTCCCAAACAAATCTTATGTCAAATTGTAATCCCCACATGTCAGGGGAGGGATCTTGTGGGAGGTGATTGGATCATGGTGGCATATTTCCCCCTTGATGTTCTCATATATCAGACAAAATATATTTCAAGACAAAAACTATAAGAAGAGACAAAGAAGGTCACTATACAATAATAAAGGAGTCAATTCAGCAAGAGGATATAACAGTTTAAAATATATATGCATCTAAGGACCCAGAAGGACCCAGAAATATGAAGCAAATATTATTAGAGTTAAAGAGAGAGATAGGTCCCAATAGAATAATAGTTGGAGACTTCAACACCCCACTTTCAGTATTAGACACATCTTCCAGACATAAAACCAACAAAGAAACATCCACCTTAATCTGCACTATAAACCAAATGGATTTCATAGATATTTACAGAACATTTTATCCAAGAGCTATAGAATACACATAATTTTCCTCAGCACATCAATCATTCTCAAAGATAGACCATATGTTAGATCACAAAATAAATCTTGAAACATTAAAAAAAAATTGAAATCATATCAAGCATCTTCTCTGACCACAGTGGAATAAAACTAGAAATTAATGCTCTCCCTCTCCCTCTCCCTCTCCCTCTCCCCTTTCCACGGTCTCCCTCTGATGCTGTGCCGAAGCTAGACTGTACTGCCGCCAGCTCTGCTCACTGCAACCTCCCTGCCTGATTCTCCTGCCTCAACCTGCCGAGTGCCTGCGATTGCAGGCATGCGCCGCCACGCCTGACTGGTTTTCGTATTTTTTTGGTGGAGATGGGGTTTCGCTGTATTGGCCGGGCTGGTCTCCAGCTCCTAACCAGGAGTGATCTGCCAGCCTCGGCCTCCCGAGGTGCTGGGATTGCAGATGGAGTCTCATTCACTCAGTGCTCAATGTTGCCCAGGCTGGAGTGCAGTGGCGTGATCTCGGCTCACTACAACCTCCACCTCCGAGCCACCTGCCTTGGCCTCCCAAAGTGCCGAGATTGCAGCCTCTGCCCAGCCGCCACCCTGTCTGGGAAGTGAGGAGCGTCTCTGCCTGGCCGCCCATCGTCTGGGTTGTGAGGAGCCCCTCTGCCCGGCTGCCCAGTCTGGGAAGTGAGGAGTGCCTCTTCCTGGCCGCCATCCCATCTAGGAAGTGAGGAGCGTCTCTGCCCGGCCGCCCCGTCTGAGAAGTGAGGAGCCCCTCTGCCCGGCAGCCACCCCGTCTGAGAAGTGAGGAGCCCCTCTGCCTGGCAGCCGCCCCATCTGGGAAGTGAGGAGCGTCTCTGCCTGGCAGCCGCCCCGTCCGGGAGGTGGGGGGGCAGCCCCCGCCCGGCCAGCTGACCCGTCCGGGAGGGAGGTGGGGGGCAGCCCCCGGCCGGCCAGCCACCCCGTCCGGGAGGTGGGGGGTGCCTCTGCCCGGCTGCCCCTTCTGGGAAGTGAGGAGCCCCTCTGCCTGGCTGCCACCCCGTCTGGGAGGTGTACCCAACAGCTCATTGAGAATGGGCCATGATGACGATGGCGGTTTTGTCAAATAGAAAAGGGGGAAATGTGGGGAAAAGATAGAGAAATCAGATTGTTGCTGTGTCTGTGTAGAAAGAAGTAGACATAGGAGACTCCATTTTGTTCTGTACTAAGAAAAATTCTGCCTTGGGATCCTGTTGATTTATGACCTTACCCCCAACCCGGTGCTCTCTGAAACATGTGCTGTGTCCACTCAGGGTTAAATGGATTAAGGGTGGTGCAAGATGTGCTTTGTTAAACAGATGCTTGAAGGCAACATGCTCATTAAGAGTCATCACCACTCCCTAATCTCAAGTACCCAGGGACACAAACACTGCAGAAGGCCCCAAGGTCCTCTGCTTAGGAAAACCAGAGACCTTTGTTCATTTGTTTATCTGCTGACCTTCCTTCCACTATTGTCCTATGACCCGGCCAAATCCCCCTCTGCGAGAAACACCCAAGAATGATCAATAAATAAAATTAAAAAATAAAAATTAAACAAAAAAACTAGAAATTAATGACAAGAGGAATTTTGGAAATTATACAAATACATAGAAATTAAACATTGTGCTCCTGAATGACCAGTGTGTCAATAAATAAATTAAGAATGAAATTTTAAAATTTCTTGAAACAAATGATAATAGAAACACAACTTACCAAAACCTGTGGGATATAGCAAATACAGTACTAAGATGGAATTTTATATCAATAGTGATAAGTGCCTACATCAAAAAAGAGGGAAAACTTCAAATGAAAAATCCAACAATGCATCTTAAAAGAACTAGAAAAGTAAGGGCAAATCCAACCCAAAAATAGTAGAAGAAAAGAAATAATAAATATCTGAGCAGAAATAAATACAATTTATATAAAGAAATCTAAAATATCAATTAAAAATTTTTATATAACTTAAGAAAAATTGACAAACTTTTTGCCAGACTAAGAAAAAAAGAGAGAGGATCTAAATTCATAAAATCAGAAATGAGAAAGAAGACATTACAACTAATACTGCAAAAAATCAAAGGATTATTAGTGGCTACTATGAGCAATTAAATGCCAATAAATTGGAAAATCAAGAAGAAATACACAAATTCCTAGACTCATACAGCCTACCAAGGTGGAATTTGGAAGAAATCCAAAACCCAAACAGACCAATGAAAGTAATGAGATCAAAGCCATAATAAAAAGTCTCCCAGTAAAGAAAAGCCCAGGACCTGATGGCTTCACTGTTGAATTCTACCAAACATTTAAAGAACTAATACCAATCCTGCTCAAACTGTTCCATAAAATAGAGGAGGAAATACTTCAAAACTCATTACATGAGGCCCATATTGCCCTGATACCAAAACCAGACAAAGACACATCAAAAAAAGGTAAACTTCAGGCCAATATCTCTGAATATTGATGCAAAAATCCTCAACAAAATACTAGCAAATTGAGTTCAACAATATATTAGAAAGATCATTCATCATAACAAAGTGGGATTTATCCCTGGGATGCAGGGATGGTTCAACATATGGAAATCAGTGTGCTACATTATATCAACAGAATGAAGTATCAAAACCATATGATCATTTCAATTGATGTTGAAATGCATTTGATAAAATTCAACATCTTTTCATATAAAAATCCCAAGAAAAAATTGGGGATAGAAGGAACATACCTCAACATAATAAAAGCCATATACAACAGACTCACACTAGAATCACACCAAATGGGGAAAAACTGAAAACGTTTCTTCTAAGATCTGGAACATGACAAGGATGCCCATTATCATCACCATTATTCAACATAGTACTGGAAGCCCTAACTAGAGTAATCAGATAAGGGAAAGATATAAAGGGCACCCAAACTGGAAAGAAAGAAGTCAAATTACCCTTGTCTGCAGATGATATAATCTTATATTTGGAAAAATATAAACACTTTGCAAGAAAACTATTAGAACTGATAAATTCAGTAAAGTTGAGGGATAAAAAGTCAACATAAAAAATCAGTAGCATTTCTATATGCCTACAGTGAACAATGTTAAAAAGAAATTTAAAAAGTAATCCCATTTACAATAGCCACAGATAAAACTGCATACCTAGGAATTGACTTAATCAAAGAAGTGAAAGGTCTCTATAATAAAAACTATAAAATACTGATGAAAGAAATTGAAGAGGACACCAACAAGTGGAAAGATATTCCATGTTCATGCATTGGAAGAATCAATATTGTTAAAATGTTCATGCTACCCAAAGCAATCTACAGATTCAATGCAATCCCTATCAAAATACCAATGACATTCTTCACAGAAATAGAAAAAAATTCCTAGAATATATATGAAACCACAAAAGACCCAGAATACCCAAAGCTATCCTAAGCAAAAAGAACAAAACTGGAGGAATCATATTACCTGACTTCAAATTGTACTACAGAGCTGTAGTAACCAAAACAACATGGTACTGACACAAAAACAGACACGTAGGCCAATGGAACAGAATAGAGAACCCAGAAACAAATCCACACACCTACAGTGAACTCATTTTCAGCAAAGGTGCCAAGAACACACACTGGAGAAAAGACGGTCTCTTCAATAAATTGTGCTGGGAAAACTGGATATCCATATGCAGAAGAATGAAACTCAACCCCTATCTTTCACCATATACAAAAACCAAATCAAAATGGATTAAAGGCTTACATCTGAGACCTCAAACTATGAAACTACTACAATAAAACATTTGGGAAATCTCCAGGACATTGGTCTGGGCAAAAAAATTTTGACTAATACCCCACAAGCACTGGCAACCAAAGCAAAACTGGACAAATGGGATCATACCAAGTTAAAAAGCTTCTGTACAGCAAAAAATACAGTCAATAAAGTGAAGAGACAACCTACAGAATGGGAGAAAGTATTTACAAGCTACCTATCTGACAAGAGATTAATAACCAGAATATATAAGGAGCTCAAACAACTTTATAGGAAAAAATCTAATAATCTGACTAAAAAATGGACAAAAGGTTTGAATAGACATTTCTCAAAAGAAGATATACAAATGGCAAACAGGCATATGAAAAGGTACTCAACATGATTGATCATCAGAGAAATGCAAATCAAAACTACAATAAGATATCATCTCACCCCAGTTAAAATGTCTTATATCCAAAAGACAGGCAATAACAGATGCTGGTGGGGATGTGGAGAAAAGAGAATGCTTGTATGTTGGTGGGAATGTAAATTAGTAAAATCACTATAGAGAACAGTTTGGAGGTTCCTCATTAAACTGAAAATTGAGCTACCATGTGATCCAACAATCCCACTGCTGTGTGTATATCCAAAAGGAGGGAAATCAGTGTATCAAGACATATCTGCACTACTATTTTTGTTGCAGGATTGTTTACAATATCTAAGATTGGGAGCAACCTGACTGTCCATCAACAGAAAAATGGAAAAAGAAAATGTGGCACACATACACAATGGAGTACTATTCAGCCATAAAAAAAATAGATCCAGTCATTTGCAATGACATGGATGGAACTGGAGATCATTATTTTAAGTAAAATAAGCTAGGCACAAAAAGACAGACATTGCATGTTTTTACTTTTTTATGGGATCTAAAACTCAAAACAGCTGAACTCATGGACACAGAGAGTACAAGGATTGTTACCAGAGGCTGGGAAAGGTAATGGGTGGCTTGGGGAGAGATGGGGATGGTTAATGGGTACAAAAAAGTAGGAAGAATGAATAAGACCTATGATTTGATAGCACAACTGAATGTCTATAGTCAATAAAAACAATATACATTTTAAATTAACTCAAAGAGTGTAATTGGATTGTTTGTAACTCAAAGGATAAATGCTTGATGAGATGGATATCCCATTCTCCATGATGTGTTTATTTCATGTTGCATGCCTGTATCAAAACATCTCATGTATCCCATAAATATAAATACCTACTATGTACTCACAAAAATTTAAAAATAAAATAACAAACCCATGTTTAAGTATTCATATATAAATGACATGAAATTCAGGGGGATAAAGAAAATACATGGTTGATATGGTTTGGCTGTGTCCCTGCTCAAATCTCACCTTGAATTCCCATGTGTTATGGGAGGGACACAGTGGGAGGTAATTGAATCATGGGGGCAGGTCTTTCCCGTGCTGTTCTTGTGATAGTGAATAAGTCTCATGAGATCTGATGGTTTTAAAAGGAGGAGTTCCCTTGCACAAGCTCTCTCTCTTTGCCTGTTGCCATCCATGTAAGACATGACTTGCTCCTCCTTGTCTTCTGCCATGATTGTGAGGCCTCCCCAGCCACATGGAACTGTACAGCAATTAAACCTCTTTTTCTTCCCAGTCTCAGGTATGTCTTTATCAGCAGCATGAAAAAAACTAATACAGTAAATTGGTACCAGTAGAGAGGGACACTGCTGAAAAGATATCTGAAATGTGGAAGTAACTTTGAAACTGGGTAACGGGCAGAGGTTGGAACAGTTTGGAGGGCTCAGAAGAAGACAGGAAAATGTGGGAAAGTTTGGAACTCCCTAGAGACTTAATGAATGGCTTTGACCAAAATGCTGATAATGATATGGACAATGAAATCCAGGTTGAGGTGGTCTCAGATGGAGATGAGGAACTTGTTTGGAACTGGAGCAAAGGTGACTCTTGTTATGTTTTAGCAAAGAGACTGGTGGCATTTTGCCCCAGCCCTAGAGATTTGTGGAACTTTGAACTTGAGAGAGATGATTTAGGGTATCTGGCAGAAGAAATTTCTAAACAGCAAAGCATTGAAGAGATTACCTGGGTGCTGTTAAAGGCATTCAGTTTTAAAAGGGAAACAGAGCATAAAAGTTCAGAAAATTTTCAGCTTAACAATGCAATAGGAAAAAACAATCCCATTTTCTGAGGAGAATTTCAAGCTGCCTGCAGATATTTCCATAAATAATGAGGAGCTGAATGTTAATCACCAAGACACTGGGGAAAATGTCTCCAGGGCATGTCAGAGACCTTTATGACAGTCCCTCCCATCACAGGCCCAGAGACATAGGAGGAAAAAATGGCTCTGTGGGCTAGGCCCAGGGTCTCTCTGTTGTGTGCAGCCTAGGAACTTGGTGCCTTGCGTCCCAGCCACTTCAGCTGCAACTAAAAGGGGCCAAGGTACAGCTCAAGCCATGGCTTCAGAGGGTGCAAGCTCCAAGTCTTGGCAGTTTCCACATGGTGTTGAGCCTGCAGGTGCATAGAAGTCAAAAATTAAGGTTTGGGAACCTCTGCCTAGGTTTCAGAGGATGTATGGAAATGCCTGGATGTTCAGGCAGAAGTTTGCTGCAGGGGTGGGACACTCATGGAGAACCTCTGCTAGGGCAGTGCAAAAAGGAAATGTGGGGTGCAAGCCTCCACACAGAATCCCCACTGAGGTGCTGCCTAGTGGAGCTGTGAGAAGAGGGCCACCATCCTCCAGACACCAGAATGGTAGATCCACTGACAGCTTGCACTGTGAGCCTGAAAAAGCCACAGACACTCAACACTAGCCCATGAAAGCAGCCAGGAAGGAGGCTGTACCCTACAAAGCCACAGGGGCAGAGCTACCGAAGACCATGGGAACCCACCTCTTTCATCAGTGTGACCCAGATCCAAAACGAATAAATGAATTCAGTAAAGTTTCAAGACACAGAATCAACCTACAAAAATCAGTAGTAGTTCTATATGCCAATAGCACACTATCTAAAAAAGAATCAAGAAAGAAGTTCTATTTATAATAGCTACCAAAAAAAAAACACTAGGAATAAGCTTAACCAAGGAAGTGAAAGATATCTACTATAAAAACTATAAAACATTGATGAAAGAAATTCAAGATAGCACAAATAAATTGAAAGTTATCTGTGTTCATGGATTGGAAGAATCAATATTGTTAAAATGTCCATACTACCCATGATGTTGTATAGATTCAACACACTTCCTATCAAAATATTAATGACATTCTTCATAGAAATATAAGAACAATCCTAAAATTCGTATGGAACCACTAAAGACATCAAATAGACAAAGCAATCCTGAGCAAAAAGCATAAAGCTGGAGACAACACACTGACTTCAAAATACACAAAAAAGCCATAATAATGCAATCAGCATGGTACTGGCATAAAAACAGACACATAGACCAATGGAGCAGAAAGAAATCCAGAAATAAATCCACACATTTACAGTCAATTAATTGTCAACAAAGGTGTCAAGAACACCCATGGGGAATAGGACAGTCTCTTCAATAAATGGTGCTGGGAAAACTGAATATTCACATGTGGAAAAATGAAAGACCTCTATCTTTCACCATATTAAAAAAAACTCAAAATGGATTAAAGACTGAAATGTAAGACCCAAAACTATAAACTACTAGAAGAAAACACTGGGGAAACACTTCATGAAATTGGTCTGGGCAAGAATTTTTTGGACAGGACCTCAGAAGCACAGGCAACAAAAGCAAAATAGACAAATGGGACAAACCAAAAACCTTCTGCATAGCAAAGGAAACAATCAACAGAGTGAAGAGACAATCTTAAGAATGGGAAAAAATATTCACAAACTTTCCATCTGACAAGGGATTAATATTTAGTATACACAAGGAATTCAAACAACTCAATGCCAAAAAAACCCCACAAAAAATCAGATTTTAAAATAAGCAAAAGACCTGAATAGACATTTCTCAAAATAAGACATACAAATCACCAGGTAAATGACAAAATGCTCAACATCACTAATCATCAGGGAAATGCAAATCAAAATCACAATGAGATACCACCTCACCTCAATTAGAATGGCTGTTATCTAAAAGATGAAAAGTAAAACATGCTGACAAGGATGCAGAGAAAAGGGAACTCATCTTTTTAAACACTTTTTTTTTTTTTAAAGATAATGTCTCACCGTATTGCCCAGGTTGGCCTCAAAGTCCTGGGCTCAAACTATCCTCCTGCCTCAGCCTCCTGAGTATCTGAGACTACAGGCCCACACCACTGTACCCAGCTGCTAGAAAGGAAAATTCTTACACACTATTGGTGGAAATGTAAATTAGTACAACTATTATGGAAAATGGTGTAAAGGTTTCTCAAAAAATTTAAAAAGAATTACCATATGATCCAGCAATTTCACTACTGAGTATTTATCCACAGGAATTGAAATCAGTATGTCAAAGAGAAACCTGCAATTGAACTCGCCTGCAGCTCTCGGGGTTCCTGTGGCTTTCTTCTTTGTTGGAGCCAGGCCTACATGCCAGCAACCATGTCGAAGGGACCTGCAGTTGGTATTGATCTTGGCACCACCTACTCTTGTGTGGGTGTTTTCCAGCACGGAAAAGTAGAGATAATTGCCAATGATCAGGGAAACGGAACCACTCCAACCTATGTCACCTTTACGGACACTGAATGATTGACCCGTCATGCCACAAAGAATCAAGTTGCAATGAACCCCACCAACACGCCAAACGTTTTTGATGCCAAATGTCTGATTGGATGCAGATTTGATGACGCTGTTGTCCAGTCTGATATGAAGCATTGGCCCTTCATGGTGGTGAATGATGCTGTCAGGCTCAAGGTCCAAGTAGAATACAAGGGAGAGACAAAAAGCTTCTATCCAGAGGAGGTACCCTCTATGGTTCTGACAAAGATGAAGGAAATTGCAGAAGCCGACCTTGGGAAGATTGTTACCAATGCTGTGGTCACAGTGTCAGCTTACTTTAATGACTGTCAGTGTCAGGCTACCAAAGATGCTGGAACTATTGCTGGTCTCAATGTACTTAGAATTATTAATGAGCCAACTGCAGCTGCTATTGCTTATGGCTTAGACAAAAAGGTTGGAGCAGAAAGAAATGTGCTGATCTTTGACCTGGGAGATGACACTTTCAATGTGTCAATCCTCACTACTGAGGATGGAATCTTTGAGGTCAAATCTAGAGCCGGAGACACCCACTTGTGTGGAGAAGATTTTGACTACCGAATGGTCAACCATTTTTACTGCTGAGTTCAAGCACAAGCATAAGAAAGGCATCAATGAGAACAAGAGAGTTTTAAGATGCCTCCATACTGCTTGTGAATGAGCTAAGTGTACTCTCTCTTCCAGCACCCTGGCCAGTATTGAGATCGATTCTCTTTATGAAGGAATCAACTTCTACACCTCCATTACCCATGCCCGATTTGAAGAAAAGAATGCTGACCTGTTCCATGGCACCCTGGACCCCATAGAGAAAGCCCTTCGAGATGCCAAACTAGAGAAGTCACAGATTCATGACATTGTCCTGATTGGTGGTTCTACTCATATCCCTGATTCAGAAACTTCTCCAAGACCTCTTCAATAGAAAAGAACTGAATAAGAGCATCAACCCTGATGAAGCCATCGCTTATGGTGCAGCTGTCCAGGCAGCCATCCTGTCTGGAGACAAGTCTGAAAATGTTCAAGATTTGCTGCTCTTGGATGTCACTCTTCTTTCCCTTCGTATTGAAGCTGCTGATGGAGTCATGACCGTCCTCATCAAGCGCAATACTACCATTCCTACCAAGCAGACACAGAACTTCACTACCTATTCTGACAACCAGCCTGGTGTGCTTATTCAGGTTTATGAAGGTGAGTGTGCCATGACCAAGGATAACAACTGTTTGGCAAGTTTGAACTCACAGGCATACCTCCTGCACCCTGAGGTGTTCCTCAGGTTGAAGTCACTTTTGACATTGATGCCAATGTCATCCTCAATGTCTCTGCTGTGGACAAGAGTACAGGAAAAGAGAACAAGATTACTATCACTAATGACAAGCGCCGTTTGAGCAAGGAAGACATTGAACGTATGGCCCAGGAAGCTGAGAAGTACAAAGCTGAAGATGAGAAGCAGAGGGGCAAAGTGTCATCCTAGAATTCACTTGAGTCCTATGCATTCAACATGAAATCAACTGTTGAAGATGAGAAACTTCAGGGCAAGATTAACGATGATGACAAACAGAAGATTCTGGACAAGTGTAATGAAATTATCAACTGGCTCGATAAGAATCAAGCTGCTGAGAAGGAAGAATTTGAACATCAGCAGAAAGCTGGAGAAAGTCTGCAACCCCATCAACACCAAGCTGTACCAGAGTGCAGGAGGCATGCCAGGAGGAATGCCTGGGGGATTCCCTGGTGGTGGAGCTCCTCGCTTTGGTGGTGCTTCCTCAGGGCCTACTATTGAAGAGGCTGATTAAGCCAACCCAAGTATAGACGTAACATTGTTCCACACATTTAAAACATTGAAGGACCAAAATTTGTAGCAAATTCTGTGGCAGTTAAGTTCAGCTGCTATAGTAAGTTACTGGGCATTCTCAATACTTGAATATGGAACATACGCACAGGTGAAGGAAATAAAATTGCACTTTATAAACACTGTATTTTAAGTGGAAAATGCAATGTCTTAAATAAAACTATTTAAAATTGACACCATTAAAAAAAAAAAAACAAAGAGAAACCTGCATTCTCATGTTTACTACAGCAGTATTCACAATAGCCAAGAGATGGACTCAATCTATATGTTTATCTATAGAAAAATGGCTAAAGAAAATGTGGTATATATACACAATTGAGTACTATTCAACTATAAAAAGGGAATGAAATCCTATTATTCACAGAAACACAGATGAACTTCGAGGACAATTTGCTAAATGAATCTAAGACACAGAAGACAAATGCTGCACGATCTCACTCATCCACAGAATCTACAAAAGTTAATCTCATAGAAGCAGAGAGTAGAATAGTGGTCACCAGAGGATGGAAAAGGGGGAATGAGGGAACAGGGAGAGGTTGGTCAATGAGTATAAAGTTACAATTAGATAGAAGGAATAAGTTCTAGTGTTTTATTACGTAGTAGGTTGACTACAGATCATAACAATGTATTATATATTTCAAGGTAGCTAGAAAAGAAGATTTTACCTGTTCTCACCACAAGTAAATGAATAAATGTTTGAGATGATAGATATGCTAATTACCCTGATTTGATCGTTACACAATGTGTACATATATTGAAACATCACACTGTATCTCATATATTTGTATAATTATGATGTGTCAATTAAAACTTTTTTTAACTGTCAAAAAAAAAAAAAGATTTAGCTTCTCACTCAGCCTCCTCTTACACCAATTTGGAGGAAAGGGAAAGGGATATCTTGTTACTACTGGGTGGCAATGTAAAGTCAGAATTTCCGCCTGTCCTCCACTGACATCATAGACTGAGAAACAAATAGCTTTATGCTATTGATTTCCAATTCAATTTCATTTCTGTAAGAGAATTTATTATGTATGATGTCAACCTTTTTAAATTTTATTGTGAGTGGTTCTATAGCCTAGCATATGGTCTCTCCTATTGCATGTTCAATGTTAACTTATAAGGAATCAGTATTCTGCTGCTGTTGAGTGTTTTATAAATGTTAATTGGTTGAAGTGTCATTCAGGTATTCTATATTCTTACTTATTTTCTGTCTACATCTATCTGTTCTATCAATTGCTGATAGAGGGAGTCTCAAGCTTTGTGATTTGTCTATTTCTTTTATATATTTGCTTTATATATTTTGAACTTCTCCTATTGTGTGTACACATGTGTAGGATAATTACTTTTTTTCAGCAAATTGACCCTTGTTAATATGAAATGGTCCTCTTTATCTCTGGTAATAGTATTTGTTTGAAATCTATTTTGTTTGATACTAATAGAATCACTTCAGCTTTCTTACAATTAGTTTTTGCATAGTATATGTTTTTATCCTTTTACTGTTATCTGGGTCATTATATTTAAAGTAGATTTCTTATAGGCAGCATATATATTTGTCTTGTTTTTTTTGTCCAATGTGACAATCTTTGTGTTTTAATTCAAGTCTTTAGATTATTTACAGTTAATGAAGTTTTCAATAAATCATTTGGTTTAATTTACCATCTTGCTATTTTCTTTCCTTTCTATCTCTTCTCCTTTTTTCTTTTTTTTTTAATTATACTTTAAGTAGTGAGGTACTTGTGAAAAACATCCAGTTTTGTTACATAAGTATACACACGCCATGGTGGTTTGCTACACCCATCAACCCATCACCTACACTAGATATTTCTCCTAATGCTATCCCTCCACTAGCCCCCCACCACTGACAGGCCCCAGTGTGTGATATTCCCCTCCCTGTGTCCATGTGTTCTCCTTGTTCAACTCCCACTTATGAGTGAGAACATGTGGTGTTGGGTTTTCTTTTCTGTGATAGTTTGCTGAGAATGATGGTTTCCAGCTTCATCCATGTCCCTGCAAACGACATGAACTCATCCTTTTTTATGACGGCATAGTATTCCATGGTGTATGTGTGCCACATTTTCTTTATCCAATCTATTATTGATGGACATTTGGGTTGGTTCCAAGTCTTTGCTATTGTAAATAGTGCCGTAATCAACATATGTGTGCATGTGTCTTTATAATAGAATGATTTATAATCCTTTGGGTGTATACCCAGTAATGAGATTGCTGAGTCAAATGTTATCTCTGGTTCTAGATCCTTGAGGAATCGCCACACTGTCTTCCACAGTGGTTGAACTAATTTACACTCCCACCAACAGTGTAAAAGTATTTCTATTTCTCCACATCCTCTCTAACATCTGTTGTTTCCTGACTTTTTAATGATCACCATTCTAACTGGCGTGAGATGTTATCTCATTGTGGTTTTGATTTGCATTTCTCTAATGACCACTGATGATGAGCATTTTTTCATATGTTTTTTGGCTATAAAAATGTCTTCTTTTGAGAAGTGTCTGTTCATATCCTTCACCCACTTTTTGATGGGGTTGTTTGTTTTTTTCTTATAAATTTGTTTAAGTTATTTGTAGATTCTGGATATCAGCCCTTTGTCTGATGGATAGATTGCAAAAATTTTCTCCCATTCTGTAGGTTGCCTGTTCACTCTGATGATAGTTTCTTTTGCTGTGCAGAAGCTCTTTAGTTTAATTAGATCCCATTTGTCAATTTTGGCTTTTGTTGCCATTGCTTTTGGTGTTTTAGACATGAAGTCTTTGCCCATGTCTATGTCCTGAATGGTATTGCCCAAGTTTTCTTCTAGGATTTTTATGATTTGAGGTCTTATGTTTAAATCTTTAATCCATCTTGAGTTGATTTTTGTATAAGGTGTAAGAAATGGGTCCAGTTTCAGTTTTCTGCATATGGCTAGCTAGTTTTCCCAACACCATTTATTAAATATTGTTTGTTTGTGTAAGGTTTGTCAAAGATCAGATGGTTGTAGCTGTGTGGTGTTATTTTGGATGCCTCTGTTCTGTTCCATTGGTCTATATATCTGCTTTGGTACCAGTGCAATGCTGTTTGGTTACTGTAGCCTTGTAATATAGTTTGAAGTCACGTAGCATGATGCCTCCAGCTTTGTTTTTTTGTTTGTTTGTTTGTTTGCTTAGGATTGTCTTGGCTATGTGAGCTCTTTTTTGGTTCCATATGAAGTTTAAAGTCGTTTTTTCCAATTCTGTGAAGAAAGTCAGTGGTAGCTTGATGGGTATAGCATGGAATCTGTAAATTACTTTGGGCAGTATGGCCATTTTCATGATATTGATTCTTCCTATCCATGAGCATGAAATGTGAAACTCACTCAAAACCACACAAATACATGGAAACTGAACAACCTGCTCCTGAATGACTACTGGGTACATAACGAAATGAAGACAGAAATAAAGATGTTCTTTGAAACCAATGAGAACGAAGTCACAAAGTACCAGAATCTCTGGGACACATTTAAAGCAGTGTGTAGAGGGAAATTTATAGCACTAAATGCCCACAAGAGAAAGCAAGAAAGATCTAAAATTGACACCCTAACATCACAATTAAAAGAACTAGAGAAGCAACAGCAAACAAATTCAAACCTAGCAGAAGACAAGAAATAACTAAGATCAGAGCAGAACTGAAGGAGATAGAGATACAAAAAAACCTTCAAAAAATCAATGAATCCAGGAGCTGGTTTTTTGAAAAGATCAACAAAATAGATAGACTGCTAGCCAGAATAATAAAGAAGAAAAGAGAGAAGAATCAAATAGACACAATAAAAAATGA
The DNA here is from genome assembly GCF_000001405.40 of Homo sapiens. Lineage (NCBI taxonomy): Eukaryota > Metazoa > Chordata > Mammalia > Primates > Hominidae > Homo > Homo sapiens. The sequence continues at coordinate 137,886,098 of NC_000003.12, forward strand.
TATAGGGGATATCACCACTGATCCCACAGAAATACAAACTACCATCAGAGAATACTATAAACACCCCTATGCAAATAAACTAGAAAACCTAGAAGAAATTGATATATTCCTGGACACAAACATGCTCCCAAGTCTAAATCGAGAAGAAATCGAATACCTGAATAGACCAATAACAAGTTCTGAAATTGAGGCGGTAATTAATAGCGTGCCAACCAAAAAAAGTCCAGGACCAGACAGATTCACAGCCGAATTCTACCAGAGGTACAAAGAGGAGCTGGTATCATTCCTTCTGAAACAATTCCAAACAATAGAAAAAGAGGGAATCCTCTCTAACTCATTTTATGAGGCCAGCGTCATCCTCATACCAAAGCCTGGCAGAGACACAACAAAAAATGAAACTTTCAGGCCAATATCCCTGATGAACATCACTGCAAAAATTCTGAATAAAATACTGTCAAACCAAATCCAGCAGCACATCAAAAAGTTTATCCACCACGATCAAGTCGGCTTCATACCTGGGATGCAAGGCTGGTTCAACATACACAAATCAATAAATGTAATCCATCACATAAACAGAATCAATGACAAAAATCACGTGATTATCTCAATAGATGCAGAAAAGGCCTTCAACAAAATTCAACACCCCTTCATGCTAAGAACTCTCAATAAACTAGGTATCGATGGAACGTATCTCAAAATAATAAGAGCTATTTATGACAAACCCACAGCCAATATCATACAGAACGGGCAAAAACTGGAAGTATTCCCTTTGAAAACTGGCACAAGACAGGGATGCCCTCTCTCACCACTCCTATTCAACATAGTATTGGAAGTTCTGGCCAGGGCAATCAGGAAAGAGAAAGAAATAAAGGGTATTCAAGTAGGAAGAGAGGAAGTCAAATTGTCTCTGTTTGCAGATGACATAATTGTATATTTAGAAAACCCCATCATCTCAGCCCAACATCTTAAGCTGATAATCAACTTCGGCAAAGTCTCAAGATACAAAAATCAATGTACAAAAATTGCAAGCATTCCTATACACCAATAACAGACAGAGAGCCAAATCATGAGTGAACTCCCATTCACAATTGCTACTAAGAGAATAAAATACCTAGGAATACAACTTACAAGGGATGTGCAGGACCTCTTCAAGGTGAACTACAAACCACTGCTCAAGGAAATAAAAGAGGACACAGACAAATGGAAAAACATTCTATCTCTTCTTTATTACATTTCTCCTCTTGAATTAACTGATTTTTTTTTTTTTTTTTTGAGGTAGAGTTTTGCTCTTATTGCCCAGGCTGGAGTGCAATGGTGCGATCTTTGCTCATGGCAACCTCCGCCTCCCAGGTTCAATCAATTCTCCTGCCTCAGCCTCCCAAATGGCTGGGATTACAGGCACGCACCACCACGCCCAGCTAATTTTGTATTTTTAGTAGAGATGGGGTTTCTCCATGTTGTTCAGGCTGGTCTTGAACTCCTGACCTCAGGTGATTCGCCCACCTTGGCCTCCCACAGTGCTGGCATTACAGGCATGAGCCACTGTGCCTGGCCGAATTAACTGAAATTTTTAAGTGTTCCATTGTGTCCCCACTATTGACTTATTCGCTTTACTGTTTTCTTCTTAGACGTTTCAAGAGTTACAAATTGCACCATTAATTTATCACACCCAACCTTCAAATAATATTATGCCACTTTCTGCACAGTACTGTTAGAACCTTATCACAGTATGTTCCAGTTCTCCCTTCTGCTCTTTGTGTTATTGTTATACATTTCACTTCTACATATGTTATAAACCCCACATTTACTATTTTTACTTTAATTGGTAAATTGTCTTTTAAATACATGAAAACAGGATAAGCAAAAGTCTCTAATCTACTTTCTAAAGACTACGTTTTTAGATAAGTTTTTGAATCGCAGCAAAATTGAGAGTAAGGTACAGCAATATCTCATATGCCCCCTTCTCTCGCACATGCATAGCTTCCCCCAATATCAACATTCCCCACCAGAGTGTTACAATTGATAAACTTACATTGATAGATCCTTATCAGCCAAAGTTTTAATCTATTATTAAATTTTTCCATTATGTTTTCAATTTCATTGATATTTTTCATTTTTATAAGTTAAATTTGGTTCCTTTCTGAATTTCTTGGTCATTATTTATGAGTTCTTATTTCATGCTTATGTTTTCAAGCTTGGCTTTTATCTCTTTAAATGTAATATGCATGAATATTTTATTTTCTGTCTCTATTAGTTTCATTCATGTCTATTGTTTCCTGTGTGTTTAGTTATTTTCTTCATGTGTTGCTCTGAAGGTGAATAAATTAATAATAGTATATTATTTTAAAAGATTATCTAAACTAAATATTATTTTGTTAGAATTTTGTCTACCCATTTCACTTAGGATTTGTACATATATGATATATTGAAATATGTGAAATTGATTTATAGTTTTGTTTTAAAGGGCCATTCTTGTAAATGTACACTTTATATAACTAACCTTCCTGATTTCCTGTCACAACTTGTATGTTGGCCTTAATTTTTTTGTTGTGGGACTTTTTTCTTGCCAAAAAGATTTATGTTTACCCTTTTCCAGGCACTTAGGGGCATTACCCATCCAAGGTCACTTTAAAATCAATTCTCAGCTTAAGATATTTTGATCCACCTGGGTAATTTGAATTTAGGTAAAAAATTATGATTAACAAAAAGGAGAGATATTCCCTCTTGCTTCCTTGTTAGTTTACCAGTGCATTTAAAATGTTTTCTGATATTTTATCTACCATTTTATATAGTTTTTTGTTGAGAGTGCGGGTAAGGAAACCTAGTTAGCCACGTTACCAAGAAAATTCAGAAGTCCAGTATCATTTATTGATGGAAGAATTACAAATTAGTACAATAACATCAAGAAGAAAAATTTGGTAAAATCTCTCAAAAGTAGAAGTGTTCCTAAGTTTTTGGGTTACCAATCTTACATTTAGAAAGGTCATCCAAGTGCACAAATACTCATTTCAAAGATATTTACTTAAGTCTTATGTGAACTAGCAAAAAATAATGCAAAAAAATAACCCTACTCTTAGAAGACTGATTAAATAAATTCTTGCTCTTCCAAACACTGAACTATTACAGCCATTTAAAAATGCGGTCATTTTATATACACTGATATGTTTTGGTTACCCAGATATATTAATAGGTGAAAGCAGGAAGCTGCAGAATCATGTGATTAGGAAGCTACAGATTGTGTAAACTGAGTAACTAACCTGCCAATAGGGTGGAAGAAACTTACTTTCCACGGTTTACCCTTTTATATCTTTAGAATTTTAGGCCATATTTATATATTACATCTTCAAAAAAAAGACAGTTATAAAAAGAAAATAACAGTTTTTCCTATTCTTAACATACTGTTTTTTCTTAAATCAGGAATGAGCATTGGATTTTGTACAATTGCTTCTTTAAGCATCTTTATTTGTGATCATATATTTCCCTCAAATCCATTATTTAATTCTAAAATAAATTAATGTTCTAGATTATATTATTAAGTTCTCTAATATTGAGCTGTTCTTGTATTTTCTAAATAAATCTATTGGGTAATATTCAATTGTTATTTTAACAAATTGCTAGAATTTTACTCAGTCCTTCTTTACTTATGATTTCTACATTTATATTCAAAAGGGAAATAAAAGTGAAGTAATCAATAGTTTAATGTTAAGAGTACACTCTTATTATATTTTGGAATTTGGATTATCCCTGAAAGAAGAGCTTGAGGACATTTCTAAGTTTTCCCTGTAGGACAAGAATTTAAGCAATGTAGGAATTATCTGGATTTTGAAGTTTTTATTAAAACCTAGATAACAATAATTCCGGCCCCAGTACATACAGGGGTAAATCTTTTATTTTTAAAAAATTCATGTTTGTGTTCTTCCAGGCTATTTGATGTTTTCTTGGGTAAATTTTGGTAATTTACAGTTTTCTGAAAAAGCATTTATGTTACTTATTCTATGAATAGCATATGTATTCTTTGTTTTACATAAATGAATAAATTTAAAGTGTATAGCTCAACAAATGTATCTGTATATATAATCATGTAGCTAATATCCAGATTAAGATAAAGAACATTTCTATCATTCCAAAAATTAATGGTCTCTTTTGGTCAATAGATAGTCATACCACACCCTGGAATATAACCACATTTTTTAATTTGTATCATCATAGAAAACTGTGAGGGGTTTGCTATCATTGTGAATGATAGGGAAAGATAAGCATTCAGACAGTTTTCCATTTATGATTCCAGGCCCTGGTGGAGACCAGAAGTCCACATCCCACTCCTTATGCACGGCCACAGCTTCTACAGATCCACCTGTAAAAATAAAAGCCCAACTTCCCTGGCATCATCAGACCCAATGGAAGACTGAGTTCCAACGGTGGCCAGCCGCCTTGTGTTCAGGTTTTGATGAATTTCCCAAGGTCCCCTTCTTGAACATTCTTTACTGTGGTCTCCTTCTTGATCATTCCTCTGACTTCTGCTGGTGGCATCTAAAATATGCCTGGGTCTTATTAAACGCATAATTGCCAGTAGCAAGTATAACAGGTGATGTAAAATGGTCTTCAGGAACTTTACTGCTCTGTCAGATTTTGTTTGTTTGGTTGACTGGTTTTGCCATTATTGTTAGAACATCTAAAATAAGCCATAGCCCTACCCTTCCTTCTTTAGACCTATTGTCAATGTTAAAATGACAGTGAGAAAAATCTTCCATTTTACTTAGCAAGTCTCCTATCAAGTGAGACCAGGGATTGAAGCCAACAGCCAGCCAATCAATGTGAGTGTGTGTGTGTGTGTGTGTGTGTGTGTGTGTGTGTGTGTGTGTGTTGGGGAAGGCTGGAGAGCTGACCGTTCTCCTAGCAACTGCCTCCAAGCAATGTCCTAGTCCCTCTTGCTCCAGCTTTTGGTTTTCCCAGTACTCAGTTGGAGAACTAGGTCAACTGATTTCTCTTTGGCTGATGCAGATATCTGGACTTTTTAAGCATTGATTGACTTTTCTATTAGTTTTATCCAATTTGTTTTCTATTTTTCAAAAATTGAAGATCTTCAAAGTTCTCGGCCTATGTATTATGCTCCACATCATTTCCCAAAGTTGTCACAGGCACTTTTGTTTGTTTCTGTTTTTGCATTTTAATATACTTTTAGGATTTTTATAGGGAAGAGGGGTAACTATGTTGACTCTATTTGCAAAGTTGAACTTGGAAATTTGACATGAATATATTTCAAAAACTAATGTAAGAGGGCCCCAGAGAAAATGCTTCTTTAGGAGCAATTAGTTTAATGTATTCAGACCTTTCCAGAAATGCCTGGCTCTTGGTTCTTTTGAATTTAGGACAGAAGATCAATTAGATTTCATCTGATCAAAGCAGCTAAACAATTTGTAGAAGAAATAGTATCAAGGGGTTTATCTATATGTCTTGTACTTTTAGAACCTTTATTACTATCTGAAAGAATATTTGATTCAAACCTTTATTTTTAACACCTAGAATTTACCAAAACAGTTTCTGACTTTGTATTGTTTCATGTTGTCCTTGATTTTCATACCACAAAAGATTAAAGATAATACCACTAATTATGAAATTTACAAAGAGCCCTTCCTGAGGATGATCTGCCAATGGTATTGTACTATCTAAAGACTTTTTGAGAAATAGCTTTGATAATGTATACTCATTAACAGGAGAATGCAGGAGATTAAAGGTAGCAAGGGTGAATAGCCTCTTATTTTTGCAAAACTTGTGCAACCTTTTATTCACCTACTAGAGCCATCTCTAGGTAATAATAAAAGAGAAGGTGTGCTGCAAATATGGACTCAAAGACAGAATAAAGACACAAGGAGCTATTTTCTCTCAAGAGAACTGTAGTATCATAGATTAAAGGTGGAGAGGCAGCCATCATTTAAAGCAGCTCATCTCCAAAAGATATTTATTCACAAATTGATTAAGAGTTGGAAATGAAAATGATTCAGTTGGTGGGAACATTATGGCAGCCCTTTAAAGTGTGATGGAAAAGATGAAAAGGAGACGCACTTACCCTTTCCTTAGCATACACACAGAGATCAAAAAGACCAATGATCTCTTGATAGACCTAATGAGACTGTGCTTCTATTTAGCTCTGCAGTTATTTCTAGTGACTTGGGAGGCATGTTCTGTCTGACAAACGTGACTATCACATTGCTAGAGGCAGCATCACATTTCATGAATCTCTTTTTGGATGATTTGATTGAGTTTTCTAAAATTATAATGGAAATTAATGATACTTACCCGGACAACCCTTGATCTTTAATTACTCTCCAAAGACTTGCCTCATCTCCACTATTACCCATCCCAAAACCCTTAATGGCATCTACTTCTCACTTTCTCTCCTATCTCCCATCAAATCTACCAGCAAAGCTTGTCGGCTCCATCCTAATCACTCCTCTACCTTTCCAAGTCTTCTTCCATTGCTGTTAGTTGACATCTCAATTGGGAACTGAGAACTCCCAACCATTCAGCTATCCAAGTCAAAGCAATGAAACCAATTAATGTGCTAGTAAATCAAAGGCCATTGAGACTTTTAGTTTCTGTGTGTAATTAAAAGGAGTAGCAAATTCATAAAAGAGTCAATCTCAGAAAAAAAAAGTCAAGACTTATTTAAAGATTGAAAGTGCTATGTGTCCCAAATCAAAATTGGAAAGTACAATGACTCTTGTCTTATTTATTTGAAGTTCTAGGTTCGCAATTAAGGTGATGAGAATGGCTCATTAAGATCACTCTTTGAATCATTAAAATTTTACCCTTTGTGAAAAAGACAGAACTAGTTGTTTCACTGTCATGGAATTCTCACATTCATGTCTGTGTCTTCTGTGGGCTCCACAATTTCCAAAACATACAGCGTTATTTTAGGTACTATTAAGAGAGAGAAAAATAATACTAAAGTGGGACCTAAGCCTGGGACATAAGAACACTGTGCCCTCAGTGCAACAGCAAACAAGAAATACACTTGCCTGTTTCATTTGGCACTGGACAAAGAAAAAAAGGAAAAATTATCTGGGAATTTGAATCATAAACTGGAACTTAAGCAAATCTGCAGTCTGAATTCTCACTTAGTGGTGTAGTCCCAAAAACCTCAAGCAGAGAATTCAAAACGATCTCAGGTTATCATTGGTTAACATTGTGCCCATAGTGATGGGCAGATTCTCTCTGAAGGAGCTCTACTTCCTTCTCGCCTATCATTCTTATTTCAGAGATGTTAAAACTGTTTAAATATGTGTGTCTTAGAGCAAACAAGATCCTTCATCATCTTGTCCACTTCTGGCCCAGCATGCCTTCTGTGTTCCACTCAACTCCATCTTGTGTAACTGTTGGACTTGTACTGGATTTTTAGATGAAGTAAGGACAACTGATATCACCTTGTTTTCACTGTTAAAGGTAACAACGGGTCAGAGGAAATTAATGATAGATTCTCAGACTCGGAATGGATCCCATTAAAGGTCATCTTTCTAATAATAACCTACTCTCTGCCAGCACTGTGTCTAAGACCATAACTGATTACTAATTCCTTTGTGCCTCCATGTACCTAGACTATCTCTCTTTTATTGCAGTTACTATACTTATGGCAATTATATACTTTAATGAATGTCTTCTCTCCTACATTGTGAGTTTACTGAAGATAACTTTTTTAACCAAATGGTTATCCAATTGTCACAACACCAAGCCCATCTTTATCTGACTAATTTGAGAGGTTTCACTTATCTTATATCAAATTCCATAGATATTTGGGTCTACTTCTTGACTTTCTATTATGTTCCATTTGTCTGCATATTTATGTAGTAATACCACACTCGTTTAATTATTAATGTTTTATATTATGTTCTTATATAATTTTTCTCCTTTTTCAAGGGTTTCCTATCTCTTATTGCTCCTTTTAATATGTAAACTTCAGAAACAGTATGGTAGGCAGAATAACGTCCTTCCTCCTCTCAAAGATATTCATGTCTTAATCCTTAGATTATGCTGTTGAAGGTTCTTATCCAAAAGCATGGTATGTCTATTTGTTCAGATCTGCTTTTGTGAATTGCAGGAGCATTTTAAGTTTTTGTCATATAGTTTTTACATTTCTTGTTCAATTTATTTTGCTATGTATTTTATATTTTCAGTGGCTATTGTAAATATTATCTTTTCTTTCATTATCTCTTCTAATTAGTTTGCATTTGTGTATGTAAACACAATGGATATCAATATATTAGTTTTATATATGCTACCTTACCATATTTTTCATTAATTATTACAGCTTCTCCAGATATACAACTATATTATCATCAAATAGGGATAGTTCTACTTCTTCCTTTCCAATTGTTATGCCTCCACTGGCTTTCTCCTGCTTGAGTACATTGACTAGTACCTTCAACACAATATTAAACAACAGTAGGCATAGAAGGCATTCTTGTCTTCTTCTTGACTTTAACACCTTTTTCCAGAAAAACCTAGTATTTCCCCATAAGTAGGATTATAGCCTATATAAGTACATTTAGAATCCATCATGTAGCTTATAGTTGAAGCCCTGTGGCTTCACAAAAATTATGAGGAAAAGAGTGAGAAGAGAGAGATCTGCAGACAAAGCTTTGGGGTTCACAAATTTTAAGGTGGTTGGAAGAAGGATTATTGTTTTGACTCAAATTTGTCAGCTTACTCAATTATTTTGGTAAGTTATAAATGTAATCTTAAATTATTATTGTGCACACAAGTAAGTTTGAACATTTTAGTAAACTTACCAATTACTATTTATTTATGTATTTAAAGTAATTAAGAATGACGGGCACCAGTTGTGGTGGCTTACACCTGTAATCCCACCATTTTGGGAGGCCAAGTCAGGCAGATCACTTGAAGTCAGGAGTTCAAGACCAGCCTGAACTATTAAAACAAGTTAGCCCATCAACAGTTTCTATATATCACAGTACCTTGCAGTGTGCTTTATGTTGGATGTATGGAAGGATGGATGGAAGGATGTTGGGCAGGTGGATGAATCAGATAGCTCTTCAAATGACTAACAATATAGCAAAAAAGCCAAGGGGATTTTTCAGGGTAAGACAAAATGGGGATGTTTTATATAAATGAACAGTCTTATATACAAAGGAGAAAAGGTAAAGTGGCACAGACAACTGATACAAATGTCTCAGGAGGATATTTGGTTATATATGTTATAAGCTTTTAAAAATTTCTTGCCTTTTTATCCATTTGTCCTGAGGATATATGGGGGTGTGGGAGGGATGGTTGCTGGAATCAGAAATGCTCACAAACAAATAAGCCTAAGAAGGTTCACATCAGTCTTATAAAGAATAACAAAGAATGAGCAGCAGCTTATATGTCCAGTAACAGAGATTTTGAATTATGTATGTATTATTAACTTATATATTTACTTGGATATTATCTGTCTTCATACTCAAGAATGAGAGGCAAAACTTTTTTCATCCACTGGGATATCCGCAGTGGATATATTGCAGAATCTGTATCTGTCTATCATCTCTCTTAATTTTTTTGGTTTAATTTAATATACAATTATTAAAATGTGCTTAGAAGTATTGTTTATGTGCCCATATCAAAAAGTTAGAAAATTTTCAAATTAATAGCCTAATATCACAACTAAAAGAAATAGAGAAGCAAAAGCAAACTAACCCCAAAGCTAGCACAAGACAAGAAATAACCCCAATCAGAGCTATGCTGAAGAAGATCAAAACAGGAAAATCATGTGAAAGATCAATAAATCCAGGAGCTGGTTTTTTAAAGAAATTAATAAGATAGGCCACTAGCGAGACTAATAAGGAAGAAAAGAAACAAGATCCAAATAAATACAATTAGAAACAACATAGAGTATGTTACCACTGATCCCACAGAAATATAAATAGCCATCTGAGACTGCTATGAACACCTGTATGCACACAAACTAGGGAACCTAGAAGAGATGAATAAATTCCTGGACATACGCACCCTTCCAAGACTAAACCAAGTAATTGATTCCCGTAACCAATAATGAGATTCAAAGTTGAATCAGTAATAAATAGCCCACTCACACAAAAAAAAAACCCATGACCACCAGATGGATTCACAGCTGAATTCTACCAGATATACAAAGAAGAGCTGGTACCATTCCTACTGAAACTATCCCAAAACCTCATTCTATGAGGCCAGCATTATCCTGATACCAAAACCTGGCAGAGACACAAGAAAAAAGAAAACCCTAGGCCAATCTCCTTGATGAAAATTCATGCAAAAATCAACAACATACTTGCAAAGCTAATCCAGCAGTACATCGAAAAGCTAATCCACCATGATCAAGTAGGCTTTATCCTTGGGATTCAAGGTTGGTTCAAAATACACAAATCAATAAATGTGATTCATCACATAAACAGAACTAAAGACAAAAATTACAAGATTATCTTAATAGATGCAGAAAAGACTTTTGATAAAATTCAACATCACTTCATATTAAAAACTCTCAAGGGGGTGGTTCCAAGATGACTGAATAGGAACAGCTCCGGTCTACAGCTCTCAGAGCAAGCAATGCAGAAGACGAGTGATTTCTGCATTTCCAACTCAGATCCCAGGTTCATCTCACTGGAGCTTGTCAGACAGTGGGTGCAGGACAGTGGGTGCAGCACACCGAGCATGAGTCAAAGCAGGGCAAGGCATCACCTCACCTGGGAAGTGCAAGGGGTCAGGGAATTCCCTTTCCTAGCCAAGCAAAGCTGTGACAGACGGCACCTGGAAAATCGGGTCACTCCCACCCTAATACTGCACTTTTCCAATGGTCTTAGCAAATGGCATACCAGGAGATCATCTCCCGCGCATGACTCGGAGGGTGCCATGCCCATGGAGCCTTGCTCATTGCTAGCACAGCAGTCTCAGATCAAACTGCAAGGTGGCAGTGAGGCTGGGGGAGGGGTGCCTGCCATTGCTGAGACTTGAGTAGGTAAACAAAGCAGCCAGGAAGCTCGAGCTTGGTGGAGCCCATCACAGCTCAAGGAGGCCTGCCTGCCTCTGTAGACTCCACCTCTGGGGGCAGGGCATAGCTGAACCAAAGGCAGCAGAAACCTCTGCAGACTTAAATGTCCCTGTCTGACAGCCTTGAAGAGAGTAGTGGTTCTCCGAGCACGGAGTTTGAGATCTGAGAACGGACAGACTGCCTCCTCAAATGGGTCCCTGACCCCCAAGTAGCCTATCTGGGAGGGACCCCCCAGTAGGGACAGACTGACACGTCACACGGCCAGGTACCCCTCTGAGATGAAACCTCCAGAGGAATGATCAGACAGCAACATTTGCTGTTCAGCAATATTCGCTGTTCTGCAGCCTCTGCTGCTGATACCCAGGCAAACAGGGTCTGGAGTGGACCTCCAGCAAACTCCAACAGACCTGCAGCTGAGGGTCCTGACTGTTAAAAGGAAAACTAACAAACAGAAAGGACATCCACACCAAAACCCCATCTGTACATCACTATCGTCAAAGACCAAAGGTAGATAAAACCAAAAAGATGGGGAAAAAACAACAGAAAAACTGAAAATTCTAAAAATCAGAGCTCCTCTCCTCCTTCAAAGCAACAGAGCTCCTCACCAGCAACAGAACAAAGCTGGACAGAGAATGACTTTGATGAGTTGAGAGAAGAAGGCTTCAGATGATCAAACTTCTCCAAGCTAAAGGAGGAAGTTTGAACCCATCGCAAAGAAGTTAAAAACCTTGAAAAAAGATTAGACGAATGGCTAACTAGAATAACCAATGCAGAGAAGTCCTTAAAGGACCTAATGGAGCTGAAAACCAAGGCACAGGAGCTATGTGATGAATGCACAAGCTTCAGTAGCCAATTCAATCAACTAGAAGAAAGGGTATCAGTGATTGAAGATCAAATGAATGAAATGAAGTGAGAAGAGAAGTGTAGAGAAAAAAGAATAAAGAGAAATGAACAAAGCCTCCAAGAAATATGGAACTATGTCAAAAGACCAAATCTATGTCTGATTGATGCACCTGAAAGTGACGGGGAGAATGGAACCAAGTTGGAAAACACTCTGCAGGATATTATCCAGGAGAACTTCCCCAACCTAGCAACACAGGCCAACATTCAAATTCAGGAAACACAGAGAATGCCACAAAGATACTCCTTGAGAAGAGCAACTCCTAGACACATAATTGTCAGATTCACCAAAGTTGAAATGAGGGAAAAAATGTTAAAGGCAGCCAGAGAGAAAGGTCGGGTTACCCACAAAGGGAAGCCCATCAGACTAACAGCTGATCTCTCAGCAGAAACTCTACAAGCCAGAAGAGAGGGGGGGCCAATATTCCACATTCCCAAAGAAAAGAATTTTCTATCCAGAATTTCATATCCAGCCAAACTAAGCTTCATAAGTGAAGGAGAATTAAAATCCTTTACAGACAAGCAAATGCTGAGAGATTTTGTCACCACCAGGCCTGCCCTACAAGAGCTCCTGAAGGAAGCACTAAACATGGAAAGGAACAACCGGTACCAGCCACTGCAAAAACATGCCAAATTGTAAAGACCATCGAGGCTAGGAAGAAACTGCATCAACTAACAAGCAAAATACCAGCTAACATCATAATGACAGGATCAAATTCACACATAACAATGTTAACCTTAAATGTAAATGGGCTAAATGCTCCAATTAAAAGACACAGACTGGCAAATTGGATAAACAGTCAAGACCCATCAGTATGCTGTATTCAGGAAACCCATCTCATGTGCAGAGACACACATAGGCTCAAAATAAAGGGATGGAGGAAGATCTACCAAGCAAATGGAAAACAAAAAAAGGCAGGGGTTGCAATCCTAGTCTCTGATAAAACAGACTTTAAACCAACAAAGATCAAAAGAGACAAAGAAGGCCATTACATAATGGTAAAGGGATCAATTCAACAAGAAGAGCTAACTACCCTAAATATATATGCACCCAATACAGGAGGATCCAGATTCATAAAGCAAGTCCTTAGTGACCTACAAAGAAGTTTAGACTCCCACACAATAATAATGGGAGATTTTAACACCCCACTGTCAACATTAGACAGATCAACGAGACAGAAAATTAACAAGGATATTCAGGAATTGAACTCAGCTCTGCACCAAGTGGACCTAATAGACATCTACAGAACTCTCCACCCCAAATCAACAGAATATACATTCTTCTCAGCACCACATCGCACTTACTCCAAAATTGACCACATAGTTGGAAGTAAAGCACTCCTCAGCAAATGTAAAAGGGTAGAAATTATAACAAACTGTCTTTCAGACCACAGTGCAATCAAACTAGAACTCAGGATTAATAAACTCACTCAAAACTGCTCAACTACATGGAAACTGAACAACCTGCTCCTGAATGACAACTGGGTATGTAATGAAATGAAGGCAGAAATAAAGATGTTCTTCGAAACCAATGAGAACAAAGACACAACATACCAGAATGTCTCGGACACATTTAAAGCAGTGGGTAGAGGGAAATTTATAGCACTAAATGCCCACAAGAGAAAGCAAGAAAGATCTAAAATTGACACCCTAACATCACAATTAAAAGAACTAGAGAAGCAAGAGCAAACTCATTCAAAAGCTAGCAGAAGGCAAGAAATAACAAAGATCAGAGCAGACATGAAGGAGATAGAGACAAGAAAAACCCTTCAAAAAATCAATGAAACCAGGAGCTGGGTTTCCTGAAAAGATCAACAAAATTGATAGACTGCTAGCAAGACTAATAAAGAAGAAAAGAGAGAAGAATCAAATAGATGCAATAAAAAATGATAAAGGGGATATCACCACTGACCCCACAGAAATACAAACTACCATCAGAGAATACTATAAATACCTCTATGCAAATAAACTAGAAAATCTAGAAGAAATGGATAAATTCCTGGACACATAGACCCTCCCAAGGCTAAACCAGGAAGAAGTTGAATCTCTGAATAGACCAATAACAGGCTCTGAAATTGAGGCAATAATTAATAGCTTACCCACAAAAAGAGTCCAGGACCAGATGGATTCACAGCCGAATTCTACCAGAGGTACAAGGAGGAGCTGGTACCATTCCTTCTGAAACTATTCCAATCAATAAAAAAAAGAGGGAGTCCTCCCTAACCCATTTTATGAGGCCAGCATCATCCTGATACCAAAGCCTGGCAGAAACACAACAGAAAAAGAGAATTTTAGACCAATATCCCTGATGAACATCGATGCAAAAATCCTCAATAAAATACTGGGAAATCGAATCCAGTAGCACATCAAAAAGCTTATCCAACATGATCAAGTGGGCTTCATCCCTGGGATGCAAGGCTGGTTCAACATACAAAAATCAGTAAACATAATCCAGCATGTAAACAGAACCCAAGACAAAAACCACATGATGATCTCAATAGATGCAGAAAAGGCCTTCAACAAAATTCAACAGTGTTTCATGCTAAAAACTCTCAATAAATTAGGTATTGATGGGACATATCTCAAAATAATAAGAGCTATTCATGACAAACCCACAGCCAATATCATACTGAATGGGCAAAAACTGGAAGCATTCCCTTTGAAAACGGACACAAGACAGTGATGCCCTCTCTCACCACTCCTATTCAACATAGTGTTGGAAGTTCTGACCAGGGCAATCAGGCAGGAGAAAGAAATAAAGGGTATTCAATTAGGAAAAGAGGACGTCAAATTTTCCCTGTTTGCAGGTGACATGATTGTATATCCAGAAAACCCCATCGTCTCAGCCCAAATTCTCCTTAAGCTGATAAGCAACTTCAGCAAAGTCTCAGGATACAAAATCAATGTGCAAAAATCACAAGCATTCTTATACACCAATAACAGACAAACAGAGAGCCAAATTATGAGTGAACTCACATTAACAATTGCTACAAAGAGAATAAAATACCTAGGAATCCAAATTACAAGGGATGTAAAGGACCTCTTCAAGGAGAACTACAAACCACTGCTCAACAAAATAAAAGAGAACACAAACAAATGGAAGAACTTTCCATACTCATGGATAGGAAGAATCAATATGGTGAAAACGGCCATACTGCCCAAGGTAATTCATAGATTCAATGCCATCCCCATCAAGCTGCTAATGAGTTTCTTCACAGAATTGGAAAAAACTACTTTAAAGTTCATATGGAACCAAAAAAGAGCCTGAATTGCCAAGTCAATCCTAAGCCAAAAGAACAAAGCTGGAAGCATCATGCTACCTGACCTCAAACTACACTACAAGGCTACAATAACCAATACAGCATGATACTGGTACCAAAACAGAGATATAGACCAATGGAACAGAACAGAGCCCTCAGAAATAATACCACACATCTACAACTATCTGAGCTTTGACAAACCTGACAAAAACAAGAAATGGGGAAAGGATTCCCTATTTAACAAATGGTGCTGGGAAAACTGGCTAGCCATATGTAGAAAGCTGAAACTGGATCCCTTCCTTACACCTTATACAAAAATTAATTCAAGATGGACTAAAGACTTAAATGTTAGACCTAAAACCATAAAAAACCCTAGAAGAAAACCTAGGCAATACCATTCAGGACATAGGCATGGGCAAGGACTTCATGTCTAAAACACCAAAAGCAATGGCAACAAAAGCCAAAATTGACAATGAGATCTAATTAAACTAAAGAGCTTCTGCACAGCAAAAGAAACTACCATCAGAGTGAACAGGCAACCTACAGAATGGGAGAAAATTTTTGCAATCTACTCATCTGACAAAGGGCTAATAACCAGAATCTACAAAGAACTCAAACAAATTTACAAGAAAAAAACAACCCCATCAAAAAGTGGGCAGACACTTCTCAAAAGAAGACATTTATGCAGGCAACAGACACATGAAAAAATGCTCAGCATCACTGGCCATCAGAGAAATGCAAATCAAAACCACAACGAGATATCACCTCATACCACTTAGAATAGCAATCATTAAAAAGTCAGGAAACAACAGGTGAGGGAGAGGATGTGGAGAAATAGGAACACTTTTACACTGTTGGTGGGACTGTAAACTAGTTCAACCATTGTGGAAGACAGTGTGGCAATTCCTCAGGGATCTAGAACTAGAAATACCATTTGACCCAGCCATCCCATTACTGGGTATATACCCAAAGGAATATAAATCTTGCTATAAAGGCCGGGCGCGGTGGCTCACGCCTGTAATCCCAGCACTTTGGGAGGCCGAGGCGGGCGGATCATGAGGTCAGGAGATCGAGACCACGGTGAAACCCCGTCTCTACTAAAAATACAAAAAATTAGCCGGGCGCAGTGGCGGGCACCTGTAGTCCCAGCTACTCGGGAGGCTGAGGCAGGAGAATGGCGTGAACCCGGAAGGCGGAGCTTGCAGTGAGCGGAGATCGCGCCACAGCACTCCCGCCTGGGTGACAGAACGAGACTCCGTCTCAAAAAAAGAAAAAAAAAAAAAATCTTGCTATAAAGACACATGCACACATATGTTTATTGTGGCACTATTCACAGTAGCAAAGACTTGGAACCAACCCAAATGTCCAACAATTATAGACTGGATTAAGAAAATGTGGCACATATACACCATGGAATACTATGCAGCCATAAAAAATGATGAGTTCATGTCCTTTGTAGGGACATAGATGAAGCTGGAAACCATCATTCTCAGCAAACTATCACAAGGACAAAAAACCAAACACCACATGTTCTCCCTCATAGATGGGAATTGAACAATGAGAACACTTGGACACAGGAAGGGGAACACAGGAAGGGTGGGGAGAGGGGGGAGGGATAGCATTAGGAGATATACCTAATGTAAATGATGAGTTAATGGGTGCTGCACACCAACATGGCACATGTATACATGTGTAACAAACCTGCACGTTGTGCACATGTATCCTAGAACTTAAAGTATAATAAAAATATATATATAAAAGAAAAAATAATAAAAACTCTCAATAAAGTAGGTATTGAAGGAACATACCTCAAAATAGTAAGAGTCATCTATGACAAACCCACAGCCAACATCATATTTAATGGGCAAAAGCTGGAAGCATTGCCCTTGAAAACCAGCACAAGACAAGAATGCCCTCTCTCACAATTCCTATTCAACATAGTATTGGAAGTCCTGGCCACAGCAATCAGGCAAGAGAAAGAAATAAAAGGCATCCATATAGGAAAAGAGGAAATCTAACTATCTCTGCTTGCAGACAACATGATTCTATATCTAGAAAACCCCTAGTCTCTGCCCAAAACCTCCGTAAGCTGGTAAACAATTTTAGCAAAGTTTCAGGATACAAAATCAATGTACAAAAATTACTAGCATTCCTATACAACAACAACAGCCAAGCCAAGAGCCAAATCATGAATTCAATTCCATTCACAATTGGTGCAGAAAGAATAAAATACCTAGGAATACAGCTAACCAGGGAGGTGAAGGATCTCTACATTGAGAATTACATAACACTGCTCAAAGAAATCAGAGATTACACAAACAAATGGAAAAACATTCCAAACTCATGTATAGAAAGAATCAATATTGTTAAATGCCATACTGCTCAAAGCAATTTACAAATTCAATTCCATTCCTATGAAACTACCAATGACATTCTTCACAGAACTAGAAAAAACTATTTTAACATCCATGTGAAACCAAAAAACAGTCCAAATAGTCAAGGTAATCCTAAGCAAAAAGAATAAAGCTGGAGGCATTATGCTACCTAACTTCAAACTATACTACAGGGCTATAGTAACCCAAACAGTATGGTACTGGTACAAAAATAGGCATATAGACCAATGGAACAGAATGGAGGGCCCAGAAATAAGGCCGTACACCTACAACCATCTGATCTTTGACAAAGCTGACAAAAAATAAGCAGCAGGGGAAGGACTTGCTATTCAATAAATGGTGCTGGTATAACTGGCTAGCCACATGCAGAAGATTGAAATGGGACCTCTTTCTTATACCATATACACCAAATACTCAAGATGGATTAAAAAATGTAAAACCCAAAACTATAAAAACCCTGGAAGACAGCATAGGCAATACCATTCTGGACATAGGAATTGGCAAAGATTTCATGACAAAAATGCCAAAAGCAATCACAAAAAGGCAAAAATTGACAAACTGGATCTAATTAAACTTAAGAGCTTCTTCACAGCAAAAGAAACTATCAACAGAGTAAACAGACAACCTACAGAATGGGAGAAAATCTTTGCAAAATATGCATTTGGCAAAGATCGAATATCGAGTATCTATAAGGAACTTAAGCAATTTACAAAAAAAAAAAACTGCATTAAAAAGTGGCCAAAGAACATGAACCAACACTTTTCAAAAGAACACATACATGTGCCAATAAGCATATGAAAAAAGTTCAATATCACTGATCATTAGAGAAATGCAAATCAAAACCACAATGAGATACCTTCTCACGTCAGTCAGAATGGCTATTATTAAGAAGTCAAAAAAAAATAACAAATGCTGGTGAGGTTGCAGAGAAAAGGGAACACTTAAACACTTTTGATGAGAGTGTAAATTAGTTAAAACATTTGATGAGACATTCTCAGTAAACTATCGCAAGAACAAAAAACCAAACACCGCATATTCTCACTCATAGGTGGGAATTGAACAATGAGATCACATGGACACAGGAAGGGGAATATCCCACTCTGGGGACTGTGGTGGGGTCGGGGGAGGGGGGAGGGATAGCATTGGGAGATATACCTAATGCTAGATGACACGTTAGTGGGTGCAGCGCACCAGCATGGCACATGTATACATATGTAACTAACCTGCACAATGTGCACATGTACCCTAAAACTTAGAGTATAATAAAAAAAATAAAAATAAAAAATAAAAAAAAAGAAAACATTTGATGAGAGTGTAAAATTAGTAAAAACATTGTGGAAAGCAGTGTGGCAATTCCTCAAAGGGCTGAAAACAGAACTACCATTCAACCCAGCAATCCCATTACTGGATATATACTCAAAGGAATATAAATCATTCTACCATAAAGACACATGCATGCAATGTTCATCGCAGCACTATTCACAATAGCGAAGACATGGAATCAACCTACCTGCCCATCAATAGTAGACTAAAGAAAATACAGTACATATACACGATGGAATACTATGCAGTCACGAAAAGGAACAAGACAATGTCCTTTGCAGGAACATGGATTATGCTGGAGGACATTATCCTTAGCAAACTAACACAGGAACAAAAAACCAAATACCACATATTCTCACTTATACATGGGAGTCAAATGATGAGAACATATGAACACAGAGAGGAGAAAAACAGACACTAGGGCCTACTTGAGGGTGGAGGGTGGGAAGCAGAGGAGGATCAGGAAAAAAATATATTGATTACTAGGCTTAGTACCCAGGTGATGAAATAATCCATATAACAAACTCCCATGACACAAGTTTACCTACAAAACAAAACTGCACATGTACCCCAGAACCTAAAATGAAAGTTTACTTTAAAGTTTTGTTTATGATATGAATGTGGCACCAGTTTAGTTCTGAATCTTCCCACTTCTTCTGGAGTCCAACAAGAACAACAAGGAGAGTGAAGAAGGAAAATCTCACACAATACACTTCAATGTAACTAGGACACAAAGGAAACCTGAATACTTAAAATTGTAGGTAAGTGTTTCAAAGAAGAGCCAAACAGCAAACCTATGCTGAAACAGCAAGCCCACCTTCAGGGGTGGCCCAGGTGAGAGCAGTAAGCATAGAGGAAGCAGAAGGGCACATAGATCTGGGAAATCTCTGCAAATATTCCCTTCCAGAAGGGTTCCTGCTGGGATAAACTCCAAATGAACCAAAGATTTGAATATAAAAAATGAAACCATGCAAGCTCTAGATAATAATACAAATTTCTTTATAAACCTGGAGTGGGGAAGATCTTCCTATGACTCAAAATCCAGAAGCCTTAAAATAAAAGTTTAACAATTATATTACACGAAATTTTTATAAAAGTTCAAAAGCAATGTGAAGAAACTCCTGATATATTGGAATGAATATTTATAACTTACATTGCAGACAAAGAGCTAATCTCCCAAATACATAAAAAGGTGTAGAAACATTAGAAGAAAAAGTCTTAACCCAACCCAAAAGAAAACACAGAACTTGAACAGATGGTTCACTGAAAAGAAATATTAAGCACATGAAAGGAAGTTCAATCTTACCGAAATAAAGAAATTCGAAGAAAGACCACATTGATCTACTATTGTCACCTACCAGAGTGGTGCAGAGAAAAAAGAGTTTGAGAATACACTTTGTTGTCAAGGCTGTGGATAAATAGGGCCTCTCATACTTTACTGGGGGTTGTCACAATGGAACAATGCCTAAGGGGTCAGGTGAAGAGGAATCTGGCAAGTTTATAAATGCATTTGCCTTTACACAGGCAATCCTACTTGTGGGACACCTACACATGTATGGAACAACATATGAACAAGGTTATTTATTGAGACACTGCATGTAGCTGCAAAATCCTGGAAAGAATCCCAGTGTTCACACAAAGGTTTCTATACTCTGCAGTTGAACATAAAGTTTGAAAGAGGTGCACACAATCAGCTCTCTTGAGCCAATGAGAGCTGGCTGCAGCCTTCCACTGAATATGAGTCTAATATAGGAATAAAACTACGTAATTGTTATTGATATGTATAAAATTGGGCATAACCCAAGACTGAATATATGGAGATTCACACCTGCTCCTCAGTACAAAATCTTAATATCATAAAACTGCTAGTTATTTAATATAATTAATTATAAATGAATATAAAATTCTAACTCCCATCGAAAATCTTATGTTTTTATTCAACAAAATGATTTTATGCTATTTTAAAGAATAAATATGG
The DNA here is from genome assembly GCF_000001405.40 of Homo sapiens. Lineage (NCBI taxonomy): Eukaryota > Metazoa > Chordata > Mammalia > Primates > Hominidae > Homo > Homo sapiens. Next base: position 137,906,966 of record NC_000003.12, read on the forward strand.
GCGAGGCCAAGATGGCTGACTAGAAACAGCAGCGTTCAGAGGCTCCCATTGAAAAAAAAAATCATAATAAGCGTGTGAATCCTTCACCAGCAACCAAGGTATCCAGATTCTCTTATCAAAATTGACTAGGAGGCTGGCATGACCCACAAAGAGGAGGAAGAACAATGTGGTGCGGTGGACCACCTGAGAGCCACACAGCGCGGGGGAGCCCACTCGCCCAGCAAAGGGAGGCAGTGAGTGAGCATGCTACCCAGCCAGGGAAACTGTGCTTTTTCCACAAAACTGTGCAACCCATGGATCGGAAGATCCCACTCATGAAACCATACCCCTGGGCCTAGCATCCCAACCCCAGAACATGTAGACTCTTAACACCCTCTCAGCTGGAATCCGCTTAAGTCTACCAAACTCCCAGGGGAAGGGGCAACCACCACCGCAGCTGCTGCTACCTGCTGTCTAAGCCATTTGAGGTCCTTGGGGAAGGGGCAACCACCACCGCAGCTGCTGCTACCTGCTGTCTAAGCCATTTGAGGTCCTTGGGGAAGGGGCAGTAGCCAGCACTGGGACTTGCAACTGCCTAACACACTAAGCTCCCTGGCAGGGGAAGAGGAGCACCCATCTCTATAGCCCAGGCTGTGCTTTTTCCCTGCTGGAGCCAGGGAGGGTGGACAGCTTGGTCCCAAGACTTCTCCCCAACAACCCAATACACTGGCTGTGGCAGTCTGTGGCCGGGTGCCTCTTCAGGCCTGACCCTGACCCATCCTTCCTCACTGGGTGGGGCTTCCCTGCAGGAACTCCAATAACTCCAGCCAGAGGCTCAGGGACAGAACCGGATCTCCCTGGTACTGAGCCCCTATGGGGGAAGGGTGGCCACAACCTCTGCAGACCAGCAGACTTAGCCTTTCCTCCTGGCAGTTCTGAGGAATCCGAGCAGCCCAGACGAGTGGGTTTCCCTTCAGTGAGGCACACCCCCTCCACAAAGAAAGTTCTTCACTAAAGAGGTCCTATTCCCCATGCCACCCAACAGGGGTTGTCAGACGCCCCGTACAAGAGCAATCCTATTGGCATCAGGTTGGTCCCCTCAAGGTCAAAGTTCCCAGAAGAAGGAGCAGGCACCCATCTTTGCTGTTCTCCAGCCTCCTTGAGTGATATTCCAGGTGCAGAAGCAAATCAGATGAATAGGGCCTGAAGTGAGCCCCCGACAAACTGCAGCAGCCCTACAGAAGAGGGACCTAATCATTGAAAGAAAAACAAACAAGCAGAAAGCAACAACAACAGCATCATCAACAACAACAAAAAGGCCCCCACAAAAACCCCATCCAAGTTTCAGCAGCCTCAAAGACAGAAACTAGACAAACTCATGAAGATGAGAAAGAATCAATGGAAAAATGCTGAAAACCCAAAAGGCCAGAGTGCCTCTTCTCCTCAGAATGATCACAATGTCTCTCCATCAAGGGCACAGAACAGCATGGAGGATCAGATGGACAAATTGACAGAAGTAGGCTTCAAAAGATGGGTAATAAAAAAACCCATTGAGCTAAAGGAGCATGTTCTAAACCAATGCAAAGAAGCTGAGAACTTTGATAAAAGGTTAGAGGAATTGCTAACTAGAAAAACCAGTTTAGAGAGGAACATAACTGACCTGATGGACCTGAAAAACACAGCACAAGAACTCTGTGAAGCATATACAAGTATCAATAGCCAAATTGACCAAGTGGAAGAAAGAATATCAGAGTTTGAAGACCACCTTGCTGAAATAAGGCATGAAGACAAGACCAGAGAAAATAGAATGAAAAGGAATGAGCAAAGCCTCCAAGAAATATAGGACTTCATAAAAAGACTGAACCTGCAATTGATTGGAGTACCAGAAGGAGACCGGGAAATGGAAACAAGCTGGAAAACACTCTTCAGGATATTATCCAGGAGAACTTCCCCAACCTAGCAAGACAGGCCAACAAGCAAATTCAGGAAATACAGAGAACACCATTAAGATACTCCACAAGAAAATCAATCCCAAGACACAAAATCATCAGATTCTCCAAGGTCGAAATGAAGGAAAAACTGTTAGGGGCAGCCAGAGAGAAAAGCCAGGTCACCTACAAAGGGAGGCCTATCAGACTAACAGCAGACCTCTCAGCAGAAACTCTACAAGCCAAAAGAGATTGGGGGCCAATATTAAACATTCTTAAAGAAAAAAATTTCAACCCCAAATTTCATATCCAGCCAAATTAAGCTTCATAAGTGAGGGAGAAATAAAATCCAGACAAGCAAATGCTAAGGGATTTCATTACCACAAGGCCTTCCCTGAAAGAAGCGCTAAATATGGAAAGGAAAAGGCAGTACCAGCCACTGCAAAAACACACGAAAATATAAAGACCAATGACACTATGAAGAAACTGCATCAGCTAGTGTGCAAAATAACCAAACAGCAGCATGATGACAGGATCAAATTCACACATAACAATACTAACACTAAAGGTAAATGGGCTAAAGGCCCAATTGAAAGACACAGACTGGCAAATTGGATAAAGAGTCAAGACCTATCCGTGTACTGTATTCAGAAGACCCATCTCAAGTGCAAGGACACATATAGGCTCAAAATAAAGGGATGGAGGAAAATTTACCAAGAAAATGGAAAGCAAAAAAAAGCGGGGGTTGCAATCCTAGTCTCTGACAAAACAGACTTCAAACCAACAAAGATCAAAAAAAAACAAAGAAGGGCATTACATAATGGTAAAGGGAACAATTTAACAAGAAGAGCTAATTATTCTAAATTATTCTAAATATATATGCACCCAATACAGGAGCACCCAGATTCATAAAACAAGTACTTAGAGACCTTCAAAGAGACTTAGACTCACACACAATAATAGTGGAAGAATTTAACACCCCACTGACTGATCAATGAGACAGAAAATTAACAAGGATATTCAGGACTTGAACTCAGCTCTGGATCAAGTGGACCTAGTAGACGTCTAGAGAACTCTGTACCTCAAATCAACAGAATATACATTTTTCTCAGTGCCACATGCCACTTATTCTAAAATTGACCACATAATTGGAAGTAAAACACTCCTCAGCAAATGCAAAATAAATGAAATCATAATGAACAGTCTCTCAGACCACAGTACAACCAAATTAGAACTCAGGATTAAAAAACTCACTCGAAACCACACAATTACATGGAAATTGAACAACTTGCTCCTGAATGACTCCTGGGTAATTAATGAAATTAAGGCAGAAATAAATAAGTTCTTTGAAACCAATGAGAACAAAGACACAACATACCAGAATCTCTGGAACACAGCTAAAGCAGGGTTAAGAAGGAAATTTATAGTACTAAATTCCCACATCAGACAGCTTGAAAGATCTCAAAATAATACTCTAACATCACAACTAAAAGAACTAGAGAGGCAAGAACAAATTAATCCAAAAGCTAGCAGAAGACAAGAAATAACTAAGATCAGACAAGAATTGATGGAGATAGAGACACGAAAATCCCTCCAAAAAATCAATGAATTTAGAAGATGGTTTTTCAAAAAAATTAAGAAAATAGATAGACCACTAGCTAGACTAATCTAGACTAATAAAGAAGAAAAGACAGAAGCATCAAATAGACAAAATAAAAATTGATAAAGGGGATATCACCACTGACCCCACAGAAATACAAACTACCATCAGACAATACTATAAACACCTCTATGCAAATAAACTAGAAAATCTAAAAGAAATTGGTAAATCCCTGGATGCATACACCCTCCCAATTCAAAACCAAGAAGAAGTTGAATCTCTAAATAGACCAATAACAAGTTCTGAAATTGATGCAGTAATTAGTAGCCTAACAACAAAAAAAATCCAGGACTAGAATAGATTCACAGCTGAATTCTAACAGAAATACTGAGAGAAGCTGGTACCATTCCTTCTGAAACTATTCCAAACAACTGAAAAGGAGGGGCTCCTCCCTCATTTTATGAATCCAGCATCATTCTGATACCAAAACCGGGAAGAGAAACAACAAAAAAAGTAAACTTCAGGTAAAATATCCTGAGCATCTATGCAAAAATCCTCCATAAAATACTGGCAAACTGAATCCAGCAGCACATAAAAACATTTATCCACCACGATCAAGTCAGCTTCATCCCTGGGATGCAAGGCTGGCTCAACAAACACAAATCAATAAACATAATCCATCACATAAACAGAACCAATGACAAAAACCACATGATTATCTCAATAGATGCAGAAAAGGACTTTGATAAAATGAAACATCTCTTCATGTTAAAAACTCTAAATAAACTAGGTATTGATGGAACATATCTCAAAATAATAAGAGCTATTTATGACAAACCCACAGCCAATATCATATTGAATGGGCAAAAGCTGGAAGCATTCCCTTTGAAAACCGGTACAAAACAAGGATACCCTCTCTCACCACTCCTATTCAACATAGTATTGGAAGTTCTATCAGGGCAATTGGGCAAGAGAAAGAAATAAAGCATATTCAAATAGGAAGCGAGGAAGTCAAATTGTCTCTGTTTGCAGACAACATGATTGTATATTTAGAAAACCCCATCATCTCAGCCCAAAAACTTCTTAAACTCATAAGCAATTTCACCAAAGTCTCAGGATACAAAATCAATGTGCAATAATCACAAGCATTCCTTTGCACCAACAATAGACAAGCAGAGAGCCAAATCATAAATGAAATCCCATTCGTAATTGCTACAAAGAGAATAAAATACCTAGGAATACAGCTAATAAGGGATATGAAGGATCTCTTCAAGGAGAACTACAAACCGCTGCCGAAGGAAATATGAGAGGAAGAAAACAAATGGAAAAACATTCCATCTTCATGGATAGGAAGAATCACTATCATGAAAATGGCCATACTGCCCAAAGTAATTCATAGATTCAATGCTATTCCCATCAAACTACCATTGACCTTCTTTACGGAAGTAGGAAAAAAACTATTTTAAATTTCATATGGAATCAAAGAAGACCCCATATAGCCAAGACAATCCTAAGCAAAGAGAACAAAGCTGGAGGCATCATGCTACCTGACTTTAAACTATACTATAAGGCTACAGTAACCAAAGCAGCATGGTACTGGTACCAAAATGGACACATAGAAGAAAGGAGCAGAACAGAGACCTCAGCAATAACACCACACATTTACAACCATCTAATCTTCGATAAACCTGACAAAAACAAGCAGTAGGGAAAGGATTCCCTGTTTAATAACTGGTGCTGGGAAAACTGGCTAGCCATATGCAGGAAACTGATACTGGACCCCTTCTTTATACCTTGAGAAATTAACTCAAGATATATTAAAGGCTTAAATATAAAACCCAAAACCATAAAAACCCTAGAAGAAAACCTAGGCAGTACCATTCAGGACATAGGCATGGGCAAAGACTTCATGACAAAAATGCCAAAAGCAATTGCAACGAAAGCCAAAATTGACAAATGGGACCTAATTAAACTGAAGACTTTCTGCACAGCAAAAGAAACTACCATCAGAGTGAACAGGCAACCTACAGAACGGGAGAAAATTTTTGCAATCTACCCATCTGACAAAGGCCTAATATACAGAATAAACAATGAACTTAAATTTACAAGAAAAAAGCAAACAATCCCATCAAAAAGTGGGCAAAGGATATGAACAGACACTTCTCAAAAGAAGACACTTATGCAACCAACAAATATATGAAAAAAAAGCTCAACATCACTGATCATCAGAGGAATGCAAATCAAAACCACGATGAGACACCACCTCACGCAGTCAGAATGGTGATTATTAAAAAGTCAAGAAACAATAGATGCTGGTGAGGCTGTGGAGAAATAAGAAGACTTTTACGCTGTTGGTGGGAGTGTAAATTAGTTCAACCATTGTGGAAGACAGTAAGGTGATTCCTCAAAGATCTAGAACCAGAAATACCATTTGACCCAGCAATCCCATTACTGGGTATATACCCAAAGGAATATAAATCATTCTACTATAAGGATACATACACACATATGTTTATTACAGCATTATTAACAATACCAAAGACATAGAACCAACCCAAATGCCCATCAATGATTGACTGGATAAAGAAAATGTGGTACATATACACCATGGAACACTATGTAGCCATAAAATGGAATGAATGAGATTATGTCCTTTGCAGGGACATGGATGAAGCTGGAAGCCATCATCCTCAGCAAACTAACAAAGGAACAGAAAACCAAACACCACATGTTCTCGCTTGTAAGTGGGAGTCGAACAATGAGAACACATGGACACAGAGAGGGGAACAATACACACTGCAGCCTGTTGGTGGGTTGGGGGTGAGGGGAGGGACCTTAAAGGATGAGTCAATAAGTGCAGCAAACCACCATGGCACACATATACCTATGTAACAAACCTGCACGTTCTGCACATGTATCCCGTTTTTTTTTTAGACAAAATTAAAAAAAAGAAAATGATGTTTTGGTATTCCATTCTGTTTTTAGAAAACTTTTAAGTATGTTTCGAACAGCTTGAGCATGTGATTCTACTGTTTTTGAGAATATATTTTATAAAATCTAAATATAGATAAAATATTTCTTATGAAAATTAGTTTCTAAATTAAGATGTGCTGTCAGTGCAAAATACTCACCAGATTTTGAGGATGTTGTATGATAAAAAAAAATGTGAACTGTCTTATTGGTAATTTTTTATATTGATTAGATGTTGAAATGGTTGTATTTGTATATATTGGGTTAAATAAAATACATTATGAACATTAAGAAAAAGAATAATAAAAAAGAATAATCAATGAAAATTATCAAAAATACTTTTTAAAGCATACAGAAAGGTGACTTATTCTAGCAGATATTAAAAATTACTACAAAGTCACTGTGGCTAAAATGATATTAACATAAAATGAGATAAATAGATCAATGGAATAGAGTACAAAATGTACAAAATTTAGTAGAAGATCTAATTATATACAAGATCTTATTTGATAAAGGTGGCATTTCAGTGGCGGGAAAGATGATTTAATAAATGCTGTTGACAGAATTAGCTTTTCATTTAATGTTTCTTATTGCAAAATATAACATACATACAGAATAATGCATAAAGTATATAGGTACAGAGTAGGAAATAATTATGGAGTGAACACGCACATATCACCACCCATGTCAAGAAGCTGGACGTTGCCCATCTTCCCATCCTGTTATGTTTCTCTTGGATGACAATCTCCTCCCTCTCCCCAAAAGGTAACTCTTAGCCTGACTTAGATGTTAATCAATTTCTTGCTTTTTAAACATAATTTTTCCATACACATATGCATCTCTAAACATTGTGAGATATCAGTTTCCATCTTTTTGAAACTTAGTAAGTCACACTGTATGTATTTTTTGCTTCTTTCACTTAAAATTATATTTGTGAGATTGCCCCATGATGCTTTGTGAAACTATGGTTCATTCATTTTTCTAAAGTCAGGTTTATTGAGGTATAATTTACATTTAAAAACTCACCTTTTTAAAAAGGATGCATAATTCTATGTGTTTTGACAAACATATGCAATCATGTATCCATCACCACAATCCAGATATAGAATATTTCTGTTACCCCAAAAAGTTTCTGTGTGCCCATTTGTAAGTCCCTTCTCCTACCTTCAGACCCTAGTAACCGCTAACCTGGTATCTGCCCTTACAGCTTTGCTTTTTCTAGAATCTTATATAAATAGAATTGCACAGAACATAGGACTTTGTTTGACTACTTTCACTTAGCATAACGCTTTTGGAATTCATTCGTGTTGCGTCTCTCAACAGTTCACTCATTTTTATTGCTAGTAACATTGGTTTGTATGGACACATCCCCGTGTGTTTGTGCAGTTCTGTCTATGCAGTGTGTTTATACCAGTGGATATCTGGGTTTCTTTCAGGTTTTGCTGATTATAAATAAAGCTGCAACAAATATTTGTATACAGGTCTTCATGTTTTCATTTCTCTTGGATAAATATACAGGAGTAGATAACTAGGTCACATAGTAAATGTACATTTGAATTTTATAAGGAACTGTCAAACTGTCTCCCAAAGAGCCTATGCCTTTTCCATTCCCATCAACAGTGTATGCTTAGTATCCTGAAAACTAGGTATTGCTGGCTATTTTTTATTTTTTTGTTTTTTTAAAACATGTTTAATAATAAATTTTAATAAAATATATTCAAAATATTATTTCAAAATATAACAGAATTTAAAAATTATCGATGTAATACTTTTTTTGAGATTGGCTCTTGCTCTGTCACTCAGGCTGGAGTGCAGTGGAGCAATCACAGATGACTGAAGCCTTGACCTCCTAGGCTCAAGCTATCCTCCTACCTCAGCCTCCTGAGCAGGTGTGCACCACCAGGGCCTGCTAATTTTTGTATTTTTTGTAGTGACAGGGTCTCACTATATTGCCCAGGCTGGTCTAAAACTCCTGTGTTCAAATGATCTTCCCGTCTTGGCCCCCCAAAGTGCTGGGATTACAGACTTGAGCCACCATGTCCAGCCTATATTTTGTTTTTTGTACTAATTGTTTGAAAATTATTGTGTATTTTATACTTATAGCTCAACTTAGCTCAACACATTCCCAGTGCTCAATAGCCACATGTGGCTAGTGGCTATCCTATCAGATAGTGAAGGTCTAGACATTACTAAATTACTTGCCTAAGTTTTGCTACCAATATATGAGCATTCCAATTATACATCTTTATCAACAGTTGGTATGTCAGATATTTTCAGTTTTTTGCTGGCTATTTTGAAAATTTCAGTTTAGTCATTCTAATAAGTGCCTAGAGGCATCTCATCATGTGTTTTTAAATTATTCATTCTTTCATTTACAGCAATATTCACTGTTTTTGGTGTACAGTTATTTGAGTTTTGGCAAATTCATATATTCTTTTATTATTATTATTATTATTATTATTATATTTTAAGTTCTGGGTTACATGTGCAGAACGTGCAGTTTTGTTACATAAGTATACACGTGCCCTGGTAGTTTGCTGCACCCATCAACTCATCACCTACATTAGGTATTTCTCCTAATGTTATCCCTCCCCTAGCCACCCAACCCCCAACAGGCCCTGGTGTGTGATATTCCCCTCCCTGTGTCCACATGATCTCCTTGTTCAACTCCCACTTACGAGTGAGAACATGCGGTGTTTGACTTTCTGATCTTGTGATAGTTTGCTGAGAATGATGGTTTCCAGCTTCATCCATCTCCCTGCAAAGCACATGAACTCATCCTTTTTTAAGGCTGCGTAGTATATTCCATAGTATATATGTGCCACATTTTTTAATCCAGTCTATCACTGATGGACATTGGGGTTGGTTCCAAGTCTTTGCTATTGTGAATAGTGCCTCAATAAACATACATGTGCATGTGTCTTTATTGTAGAATGATTTATAATCCTTTGGGTATATATCCAGTAATGGGATTACTGGGCCAAATGGTTATTTCCAGTTCTAGATCCTTGAGGAATCGCCACACTGTCTTCCACAATGGTTGAACTAATTTACACTCCCACCAACAGTGTAAAAGCATTCCTATTTTTCCACAACCTCTCCAGCATCTGTTGTTTCCTGACTTTTTAATGATCGCCATTCTAACTGGCATGAGATGGTATCTCATTGTGGTTTCGATTTGCATTTCTCTAATGACCACTGATGATGAGCAGTTTTTCATATATTTGTTGGCTGTAAAAATGTCTTCTTTTGAGAAGTGTCTGTTCATATCCTTTGCCCACTTTTTGATGGGGTTGTTTGCTTTTTTCTTGTAAATTTGTTTAAGTTATTTGTAGATTCTGGATATTAGCCCTTTGTCTGATGGATGGATTGCAAAAATTTTCTCCCATTCTGTAGGTTGCCTGTTCACTCTGATGATAGTTTCTTTTGCTGTGCAGAAGCTCTTTAATTTAATCAGATCCTGTTTGTTAATTTTGGCTTTTGTTGCCATTGCTTTTGGTGTTTTAGACATGAAGTGTTTGTCCACGCCTATGTCCTGAATGGTACTGCCCAGGTTTTCTTCTAGGATTTTTATGGTTTTAGGTCTTATGTTTAAGTCTTTAATCCATCTTGAGTTGATTTTCGTAAAAGGTGTAAGGAAGGGGTCCAGTTTCTAGGATTTTTATGGTTTTAGGTCTTATGTTTAAGTCTTTAATCCATCTTGAGTTGATTTTTGTAAAAGGCGTAAGGAAGGGGTCCAGTTTCAGTTTTCTGCTTATGGCTAGCCAGTTTTCCCAGCACCACTTATTAAAAGGGAATCTTTTCCCCATTGCTTGTGTGCATCAGGTTTGTCAAAGATCAGATGGTTGTAGCTGTGTGGAGTTATTTCTGATGCCTCTGTTCTGTTCCATTGGTCTATATATCTGTTTTGGTACCAGTACCATGCTGTTTTGGTTACTGTAGCCTTGTAGTATAGTTTGAAATCAGGTAGCGTGATGCCTCCAGTTTTGTTCTTCTTGCCCAGGATTGTCTTGGCTATGCGGCCTCTTTTCTGGTTCCAAATGAAGTTTAAAGTAGTTTTTTCCAATTCTGTGAAGAAAATTCATATATTCTTGTAACCACCACATGAAGATACACAATAGTTCAATCATCAAAAACATTCCTTTGCACTGTCCCTTTGTTTTCAACCCTTCTCTCCATCCCAAGTTCTGATCTGTTTTCTGTCTTTATAATTTTACCTTTTCCAGAATCTCACTGTGGATTTAATTAGCATATCCCTAATGAGCGATGCTATTGAGCATATTGTCTTTGTGAAGTAATTATTCAAACATTTCACCTATTCTTTAAAAGATTGGTTTTTTATTATCAATTTATAAGGTTTTTTTATATTCTGGATCTAAATCCTTCATCAGATATGTGTTTCACAAATATTTTCTCTCAGTCAGTGGCTTTTTATTTTGTTAACATTGTCTTTTGAATAGCATATGTTTTAATTTTGATGAAATCTAATTTATTGAATTTTTCTCTTATGATTCCTACTTTTTGTGTCCTATCTAAAAATTATTTGCCTAAACAAAGATCACAAAGAATTTCTCCTATATTTTCTTAGAAGTGGTATAGTTTTTGGTTTTACATTTAGGACTATAATTTAAGTATTATATATGGTGTGAAGTACAGGCTGAATTTTATGTTTTTACAAATGGATATTCAATTGTTCCAGCACTATTTGTTGGAAAACATTTCTTGATTTCATTGAGTCATCTTGGCCCCTTTGTTAAAAATCTATTGTGCTGTTTTTCCAACTGGGAGAAGGCAGAGATCTGCAAGCCAGGAAGAGGGCCCTCATCAGGAACAGAAGTGGCCCGCACTTGATCTTAGACTTCCCAGCCTCCAGAATGGGGAGAAATAAATGTCTCTTGTTTAAGCCACCCAGTCTCTGGCATTTTGTTATAGCAACCCAAGGTGACTAAAACAAATTTTGGTACCGAGAAGTGAAGTACAGCTATAACAAGTTCCTAAAAATGTGGAAGTGGCTTTGGAACTGAGTAATGAGTAGAGGCTGAAAAAAAATCCAAGGGTCCACACAAATGTATGTATACTCTGCAGTTGAACATAAAGCTTGGAAGAGGTGTGCACAATAAGCTTTCTTGAGCCCAAAATGGAAAGCTCATGTCAGCATAAAGAGCTCATCTTCTCCCTAAAAGCAGGCTCTAACTGGAGACCCGGTGATAATCAGAGTCTGCTTGAGCAGTGAAGACCCTTAAGGCAGTTATGTAGACAGATCAAATGGCCTCTCCCTCGTCGGGTACCAAAGGTCCCTTAACCAGTTAAACTAAGAGGGGGAGTATTTATAAGGAACTGCGGTATCTCTAAGGTAGATAGTACAGCCTGGCTTCATTAGGAATAAAACTGAAAAGCCTCAGGATCCCAAGCTCTGCCTCTACCATCTCTCTCCCAACCCTAGTGTCTCTACTTCTCATTTAATATCCCTTTTTCATCTTTCTCTTTCTTTCTGCTGAGTCATTTTTACTAATTAAGCATGCTCCTGACCAAACACAATCACCTCAAGGCTACTGAATTTTATATCCACAACTGAAGGGGTCAGTTGAGACTATCTAGAATCACCATCCAAATTTGCAGGAGCCAAATTCCAATGAGATGAACTTGGATCAGAGGTCCTATCTTGGTGCAATGAACTCTGGCCAAGCCCAGGCTTGTGAGTGGGTGAAACAGATTCTCAGAGAAGGGGATTTGCAAATGCTAAGACATTCTAAACAGTGGCTTTCACAAATGGCCCTAACGGATGTATGCTGATGCAGCCATTTCACAGTAAAAATTGTCTCTATCATTTGGCTACAATTTTTCTCCCACAGATGGGACTGGAATGAGAACACCTACTTTTGTTTCGGTGGTATTCTTTTTTCTCCACTCTTGTAGCTGATCACCGAATTGACACATTTAATGATCATTAATAAATAAACACACTGAACCAGGTTTAGTGTGACCTCAGAACCTACTCGTCTTTCTGGTTACCTTGCATATCTTTGTTCTTGTTCATCATATGTTAACTTTCCAATTTAACTCTCAGAGAGTGTTATTATTTCCATCACTTTCAAGTTTTGTGGAGAACCAACTATAGAACCAAGTCATTAACATTTTATTTTTTCAAATTAGTTTGTCGTGCATATAAATCTTAAAGAAGGGTCAGAGATTTTGGAGGAAGAGTCACAAAATGGTTAAGAAATATGAATACAGTTAACCTGAAAAACTCAGAACAGAGTTTTAGATATGTAATCCACGTTATCTTTAGAAGGTGAAAAACTGAGCAAAAAGATAAGACCGAAAATGGAAAACTCACTTTAAATAATCATGATAACCCATATGCTATCTGTGTTGCACATTCATGTATGTGATATATAGAAATAGATATGGAAACCACATTGGAATTGGAGGTAGAGATAGACATGGACATCACAGAGAACAGGCTCAGAAAGAGTGGGAGCCACTGCGTATGGGTACCTTCACAGCACCTAGACCACTCCACTTGGGGTAACTTGACAACTACAACAGCTACATTTCACAACAGAGCATTTGCCAGTCTGGAAAGAGCTAAAAACCCACTAAAACTCCTGCCTTGGTTTCTCATACTCTATCAGAGCCAACAGATTCATGCCCTCATTCAAGTGAAAGATAAAAGACAAGGCCTTTTCCTTGTCAGAGAATTAAATGGTAAATACAAGTGTTTAACTCTTCTTCAACCTAAAATGGGGGAGAAGGGGAGAAAAACTATTTTGTCCATAGACAAACAGGGAAGACATGGAGAAACTTCAAGATTTGGGAGCATTAAAAGTGATGCAAAGCCCATTTAATGGACACCCCCGGAGCTTTTTTTCCCCCAAGCACCGCAATTGATTGCCACGAGATTATGATGCCATTAAAATTCACTCTGCCCATAAACTAATGCTGCGGAAAATGCTGACGTTTATAGCAGTTCCTACAAGGGACATATTTCAGTGTGAAAGTAAGTCCTAATGTAAGAACTTTATCTCAGTAAAGCAACATCTAGGATGGGGGGAAGGAGGAGGAGGAAGAGAGGCTGTCCAGAGTGCTGTGAGTTTTATTTCTCTCAATAATGGGTGTATAGATGCTAAATTTCGAAGACTTTTTAAAATAAATCTATTGCCCTTTGACAAAATCAATCCAAACCCCATAAACCAAGAAGTCATCCACTTGATATTAATGAGCCCACATTTGCATTTATTTGTCTCTTACACTAGACAAACCATTAATTTCATGTTTATGTTTCCTTTGAAGTCTGAATGCTCATAGATAGATGGCCTCATCGAATCTCCTGCTGGTACATTAATATTTCGCTATAAATGATAAATTTTATCATTTTCCACAACACCCCTTTTTACTTTAAGAAAGCTGTGAAAATACAAGCAATAAGTCTTAAGGTCTGAAAGCACAGCTTTTTTTTTAATACTCTTCAGCAGAGATCATTAAAATAGTGATATCTTTAACATCAAGATACCTTTGATGGCCTCTAGGACTTAGAAACCAACATGATATATATCTCATCAACTCATCAACCTTTCTTGGGTAAAAGATGGTTCATTTGGCTAGGGCTGGCGTGCAGGTCCACTCTTGACCAAGACTCAGTGCCTAAAGTTTTTACAGAATTTATCTGACAATATTTTCATTTCAAATATGAGCCTAATTTATTGGTATTCAAAGGAAAAGTATTTTCAAAAGATCGAGGCAGAAATGTCCACCACCAGCCTTGTGTTCTCACTTGGTAGGGCATAGGAATGGCAAAGTACCAAGTAGAGGGTCAAGGAGTTCTAGATTAAATGTGTTAAATATTAATAATATACAATGCATTAAGCCATAAAGATGCTCACAGTTTGGTTCTTCTATTTGATGATGATGATGATGATGGCAATTGATAAATATTTATTGAGCTCTTTCTGCATGTCAGACACTGAGCTATAGGCTCTGGAACCATCCTCTCAATAATTCTGGGAAGTAGTTGCAACTGTTATTCCCAGTTTATAGATGAGAGAACTGAAGCTAAAAAGGGTGTAAATAATGTGTCAAAGGTGTAACTGTTATTTAGAATGGTAGATCCATTTGCCTCTTTGCCACTGTGCTGTTACATTCAGATCCACCAAGATCTCCTAAGGATGGTTCTATAAATGCCTGAAACCTTTCATTTAGGTCTATACCATCCCTTTTAATTCTGCTGTCATAGTAGAGTTAAGAAAGAGACCCTAGAAAGGAATTTCCAGGTGATTAACTTTGGTGACATCACCTGTAGTCAGCCTGAATCAGGAGCATGGAAGGACTGGAGCATCTCTCAACCTTTGGTCTGGAGCATCTTATGGGCACATTCTCTCCCTTCTCCTGTCCTTCAAGCAGCCTCTTTTCCATTACTGGCAGCTCCACAAGTCCAGTCTCACCCACAGACTGTCACTCAGCTTTCTCAGATGTGTTCTGTTTCTCTTCCTCAACCCCATCACCTAAGTGTACTTACCCTTTGCTTATATGTATAAAGTTTTTACTATATTTCATATTTTGCTTTGATGTTTCATTAAAATTAATGTGTAGCTTTTTTATATATCTTATAAATATGCATTCACACCCTTTTTTTAGATTAATATTACACATTTCTTTTGAGGGAGGATGGGCAGGAATTCTATCCTTGACCAGAATCCCCATGTTCAAACTGATTCCATAAAAGAGACTATTTGCATTAGCTAAAAAGTCATCATAATAAAACATTTATAAATTATTATGATGCCAGGTATTTATATATTTTATTTAGCTTTTTTTTTTAACTTCTGAGCCAAATCTGTGATTCAGGACTGTAGTGAAATGTTTAACATGCAAATGTAAGCTTTGTTATTAAAATAATGGATTGACCAGAAATTAGAAGGTAGCTTATTAGTAAAGTGACCAAGAAATCCTTCTCTGTTTGGAAAAAGTGG
The DNA here is from genome assembly GCF_000001405.40 of Homo sapiens. NCBI lineage: Eukaryota > Metazoa > Chordata > Mammalia > Primates > Hominidae > Homo > Homo sapiens. Next base: position 137,922,412 of record NC_000003.12, read on the forward strand.
TCGCAGGAATAAGTAGCTCAGTTACTGGTGGACTAGAATTACCCCTCCTGCATCATCCACGAGCAAGGAAATAAAAGAAAGCAGCCAACCTTCCTGGCCACAGAAAAGGCTACAAGAGCGAACTATGTTGTCTTTTTGTAACTAACTGGTGATTTGGGGTGAAGGAAAATCATCAACAGCAAGAAGGAACATTAAGAAGACTTGTTTAGGCATCAAGTACACATGGACACAACAAAGAGAACAATAGACACCATGGCCTACCTGATGGTGCAGAGTAGGAGAAGGGTAAGGACTGAAAAACTATCTATTGGGTGTTATGCAGATTACCTGGATGAGAGTTATCTGTACACCAACCCTCCACAACATGCAATCGGCCCATGTAACAAACCTGCACATGTACCCCTTGAACTTAAATAAAAGTTGGAAAGTAAAAAAAGAAAAATTATCCAATAATTTTAGAATGAATGGATTACAAAATACTTACAAATATTAGTTAAATAAAATTTCAAAACAAAGAAACAAGAATGAAAGTAAAATATTTCAAGAGGAGAAAGTAAAACAAAATCACTTAAGAGAAGAGACCACACTGGGAGATAAAATAAAGGAAAACAGATACTGCTAAAAGAAGTCACTCATATATGTCAATGGCAGGCTTTTAAAGTGAATACAAGGAAGAGGAATAAGTTTTTTAAAAATTAAAAGGATTACAGAGAAATTGAAAGCTATAGAAGACTCAAAACCCAAATCCATAAAAATCTATATTACTCATAAATACAACAAAGGAAATTATATAAAACATAATTGTATGATTTAATTCACTAAAGAAATATTAAAACATATGAAAATGAAAAAAAAGACTTGTTTAGGGGCTTTTGATGCCTATCTGATCTGCATTCACAGCACTTAACATGTGTCGAAGCTTACTTACTAGGTTGCAGGCACCCTTTTAAGTGCTTCACATTTGATTCCACAACTACCCCTTACACTATCATTATCCCCATTTCAAAGATAGGAAATGTAAAACCCTGGATGTAAAGCCCTGATGATAGCTAATTTGCCTAAGGTCACATAGCTACTGGAGAGAGAACTGGGATTCAAATCCAGGAGCCCGCTCTTCACTCCAACACTATATTGCTTACTTAATGGTTACAGATTAAGCCCAGAAAGGAAGCCTGTCTCAATACACTAGATATAGTTACTGTGATTATATATTTTAACAAATGGTCCTTTTATTAAAAAAAAAAAAGATATCTAAAGAGAAAACCATAATAATCTCTCAGGTAATTATGGCCACAGCCAAAACCAGTCTTTCTAAACCTAAAGACTCTCATAAAGGCCCTATCACATAACTTCTCCACTTCCCAGTAAAGCATTGAGGAGGAAACAACAGGCTTTTGAGTGCTGGACATTCTATCTTATACTTGAGAATTATACCCAAAATAACCTAGGACTCTGTATGGGTCCTAGGTTATTTTGGGTACAACTAGTTGGAGCAACTAAATTTTTTTAAATTGTTTTGTGATTTTCCTTCTGAGAAAGCAGCTACACTAAGACAAATTAGCTTGTCTGTGATCAGAATTAATCAGATTGGATCTAGAGTTCTTATTAATATAAGTCTAAGGCTTTGGCAAATCTCCTCAGGGACAATAAGGAGGATAGGGAACTCTGGTACTGACTAAACAGTCTTTACTTTAATTCCTCTTTTCGTTATGTCTTCATGTTTCTTCACTTTAGGGAAAAACTTATGCCATCTTTAATTTCCTTTAAGGAGAACCCTCAAGAAGATGACAGTACACCATGGGGCTGGAGAAGTTAAAAAATGTCCCTTAGAGAAGGCAGGATATGAACTAGGGCTTGAAAGAAGGGTGGAATAACCAGTGGCCTTATTTTTCCATTGAACTGACCCACTAATTGACTGTAACTATGCTACATGAAACTACCGCATCAAAATCCGGAAGATTTTGATCAAAATGTTAGTTAGACTAGTTCTCAAGGTCTTGTTGCAATGCTTGGCTCCAAATAGTGTTTTCTTGATGCTGGTTAGGTGACCATAGATCGTTTTGTCTGGTAAACTAAAAACTACCCTAACCAAGCCAACTTCCAGAAAAACACTAATTCAAAACATAACAGGGGGCTTTGTACTGCTGCCTGATTGAAAACAAACTAAAAGAAAACAAATTATGAGAGTAAACATTTTTAAATAAGCAATACAATTTGAAAAAATAAATGTAAATAAGCCTAATGGCATTGGCATTTCCACAAGTACTGATCCTAACACAAAGTCAATTTGTCTCCATAGCAGGGGAGTATCTCCAGAAGGAGACAGTAAGGATTTCTGGGCTTAGGTTCTCAACTGTAGAGGAGCAACTCCCTCGGCGGGGCCCTGCCCTGAGCCATTAACCACTCATTAGTGTGGATCCAGAAGCCCAGGCCCTTATTGCTCCTCACTCCTCGTGGGTTCCAGGCCTCAGATGGCCACCTGCCCTATGGTTTCCCTTACCTCATTAATAATATCATTAAAGAGATGCAACAATTGAGAGCGTCTTTAATTTTTTTTACCTCCATCCACTCTCTTCTTTTCCCACCAACCATTTCAGGTTCTCCATTGGATTTCCTGATTCTGGAAGCAAGGCTGAAATTCACTGTAGTCTATTCACTTTGGACAGAGAAATAAAGAAAAGAACAGGAAAACAAAATTTATTTTTTTTAAAAAAAGAAATGTTAACACACAAGGCTCAGTGGATACACAGCAAACAAAGTTCTTTTTGTCCTGTAACAATCACCTCGAGAAGTAGGTGCCATTGTGTTGGGCAAGGTTGCAGCACAGGGCCCACTGTGTGGGATGTGAGTGAGTGTGTCAGCGCCTCTGCTGCCAGAGCCTGTTCTGTCCTCAGAATGGCGCCCATTGTGCCCATGTTCCTAGAAGCACTCCAGCTCACCAATGGAAAACACTCGCTCCCACCTTCCCCCAACCTCTGCTTTGCCATCCAAATCTACTGTTTTGGATATAATGCAGACCTCCAGCATTCGGGGTCCTTCTGCCCTGTACTTCTGAAACAAAAGCTATTATACTGCACCATGAAAGCATGGACACAGAGAAATAAAGCAGCCCAGAAGACTAGCCTAAGAGGGGGAGTGTGAGCTCCATTTAAAGTTAAAAACCCAAGGAAAACAAAACACTTCCAATTAAAAATGGGTTTTCATGCCTTTGTGTATACACATATGTGTATTCATCAGAACATTTCATCCAAATGCTCATGACAAAAGCGAGTGACCTGTCCTTGCTTTCAGAAACCAAGAGAGGTGTAGCAGGAGAAGAGGAGCAGAAAAGAAGGAATTCTAACCTTGCTAAATAAAGCTTATTCTAATTAATGGGCTCCAACACAGAGCTGGGAAGGAGGAAGGGTGTCTTCTTACTAAGAAATGGCAGATAAGAAATACAATGTGTTTCATGCATCCACAGAAATGAAGGATGCAACCAGAACATTTGTTTACAGGGTCCACCCTTTTAGGAGAGAAGCAGCAGAAAGCAGGTGGAGTTTTGCTTTCATTGTGGGAAATTCAGTGCTCATCAAAAATGCTGAAGTCACTACCCGCGGCCAAGTGGCTGATGTGTTGGATTTGTCATCTAACTTTCTGAGAAGCTCAAGGAGTTTAGAAAACTTAGGTGTCAGGGAAAAAATGCTGAGCATAATCTTCAGGTTTTACAGTGACCCTGAGAAATTATGTGAGACTTACTCCGGCTTTGGGCATCACACATTCCACACACATGTCCCAGGTAGGTCAGATACGATATTTTCTTAAAGCTGTCCAGAGCGGAACATCTCATGACTTCCCCCAGTCACCCATTCTTGTACCAAATTCACCTCTATTGCTTTGCCCATGCTGTTCCCTCTGCCCAGAATCCCTTCCTTCCTCTCTTCATCTAACTCTTACTCAATTCTTCTCAACTTGGTTTTGACCAACACCATGCCCTCCAACTCCAAGACTGGATGAGGTGCACCTTCTCCCTTAGGCCTCTACCTTAGTCCTATCCGATGATTTATCAGGTTATAGAGAAAGTATTTCCTACTCCACTGGGAGCTTTCTGCCTCATTGCACCTCACAGCACTAATGACATATACCATATCTGACAAAATGCCTATGCTAGGTAAACATTTGACAAGTGAACAACTAATGACTGGAAATTCTTTCTTATTCCAGTTCTAAGTCTCTTTATGCTACCACTTAAGGTCAAGATCATCAATTCAATCTCTCTTCTTCCTCAGGACCAGAGTGTCCCCTTCCATAGGCTGAAGAATGAAGCAGACTCTGAGGGTTGTTCTTTAGTGGCCACAAGCTAGGCTTGTCTGCTGGAAGCAGGGTGCAAATGGAAGGTCTATGAGGACACCCAGGTCCAGGGACAGATCTGCTTTCTAATCACAAGAGCAAAGCCAGAGGTCACCCATCCTGCTGCAAGCAGAGGGCACTTAAATCCAGAAATAATTGAAATAGGGTCAGCTCAAAGGAGTGAGCACTGTAAACTGAGGCCAAGCCAGAGTTCAGAACTTGAGTGCCAGTCTAACTGGGATGAGGACCAAACTTTAGCAGGCAGTAGGTGAACAGCAAGAAGCATCAAGGAGATTACAGACCTAGGCATGGCAAATGGTATTTTTTTCAAGCACAAGAAATCCAACCCCTTGGACACAGGATAACATAAGGCTGGATTTAGAGCTGGGGGTTAAGTGTGAATATTCAAAAACATTAGAGAAGTGTGAGACAGGCTGCGCCATATATCATAATCTCACTTAGTCCTGTGCTTTCCAAGACAGTCACACACATTCAGGCCTTTGGGGGTTTGAGATACCCAAATATATCCTCTTCCTGAGCACGGAGCACACACAGGACACTACTTGAAAGGGAAGAAGTACTGATTTTACTAATCAGTACCCATAATCTCCCAACACAGGGCTTTCTGGCCAAAACTGGAGTGGGGAACATAGCTTGTGGCATGAGACCAAGGTGACATTTCCCACTTTCAACCAAAGACCCGGACCTTGGGACCCATAGTCCCAGATATTCCTGTAGTGATATCTAAGAGCCCAGAACAAGTTGTAATTTCATTTCCCAGGAAACTGTATGGATTCTTCTAGCCAGCCTCTAGCTTGACACCACAGGAGAAGGACAAAGTGAGTCAGTTGCACTTGGGCAGTTAGGAAGAAACAGCAGGCCTTGTTCTGCTATTGAAATACAGTCATTCTACCCCCCAGTAAAATGTGGCTTATTAAATATCAGTCCCCCATGAGGCAGTTGAAGCAGATAAGGGAGTACAACACGCCTTTGGCCAAGGCAGGAATAGAGAAGCTATTGTTTCATGTTCCAGGTTTAAGAACAAAGAATTACATAGACCTATATGTTTCCTCTAGCTTCATGATATAAGTATTTACATCCCATACAGTCAAGCCATTAAGCCAGCACCAGAATCATAAATGAAGCATCAACACCAAGATAAGGTATCTTAAATACCTTATTACCTTAAATACCTTATTCCAAGATAAGGAATCATAAATGAAGCATCAACACCAAGATTTTACGCATGGAAGGTGATAACACACAAAAATATGTGTGAGACATATGGAAAGATTTGGTTCTTTCCAAATCAACCTAGAAGGCTTGGACATGGAGATAGTGTGTTTAGAAGCTTTTAAAAGAACAATGTCAAAGCATGTCCACTTTGGAGAAGAGTTGAGTTGGAGCACTTCCACCACAGAGGTGCCTAAGAAGTGACAACTCAACGAAACAAGCAATTTTGTATCAAAACTACTTTGGCAGCCACAGCAGATTGTCTTCAGAATTACCAGATTGTCTTCAAGCATTAAAATTTTTTAATGTAAGTAGAACCTGAAGACAATTCTATCTTTCTACAAATTCCAGAAATAACTCATCTTCCTCCCAAACTGTTCTTCATCTTGAGTTTCCTAATGGTACCACCATTCACCAGTCACTCAAGTCAGAAATCTGGGAGATTACTCTTGCTCTCTCAACCTTCATATCCAACCCACAATCTACATCCTGTAGATTTCATCTTCTAAACACGTTGTCCATTTATTCTCTCCCCTCCATCTCCATTGGCAATGTGTGATCCCAGAGCCTCATCTCTCTCTTGCCTCTCCCTGCCACAGGTATTGTCCCTCACACTTACTCCCGATCCCTTCTTCACGCTCCATCTTAAGTGAACTTTCTTGAATGCAAGCCAGAGTCATTCCCTTGCTCATGTTTGGGTTGTTTGAGGGTTTTTGTTTGTTTGTTTTTGTTTTTTGGGGGGTTTTTTTGTTTGTTTTTTTGCTTGTTTGTTTGCTTTGTTTTCCCACAGCTTTCACCTTTCCTTCTGGTTTTAATGAGAAGTCCATATCAGAATCAATTAAGGAGCTTTTACAGACCTACTGAATAAAAGTTTCCAAGGGCTATAGGAGATAGTTTTTAATGGGGAAATGGATAGTTTACTATGGGGAGCAGACTGACGGCACATAGAAGAGTTGCTAAGCAGCCTGAGATGGAAGACTGTGCATTTTTAGTCTTATCTGCAGAGTTATAAAAACTCCTCCAACAGGGATCACCATTCTGTTGCTGGAGTTGAAATGGTAACAGATTACATGAATCTGCATACCATCATCAAACTAATCTCTAAATCATAGCACCAACTGTGCCACTTAATGATTCACTCGCTGTCCACCCAATTCAGCACCTTACACAGTATAACCTCAACCTGCTTTTCCATCTTTATCTCCTACACCAAATCCTCCAAACAATTAAATTCTTCCCTGCGTCCTGTAAAGTCCCTGATTCACACCTTTGCTCACAGTCTTCCAGCCTTCCAGCCATCTGAAGTTCCCCCCAACCCCCAGTCACATCACACCTGAAGTCCCTGGTGGGTGGCAGTGAAAGGGGGCTGCCCAATTAAAAAAAATAGGTCTCCCCTCTGTTTTCCTTCTTGCCAAGCTGTACAAGGACTTTAGTAAAATGTTGTTTGTGATTATATTATGCTTTGGGAGATAAAGAGGCCCATTGTGTGGGCTAATTATCGTGAACAAACATAGGAGCAAATGTAGCACGCTTTCACTGGGCATCAAGTACTTACATGAGAATACTTTCAGTGTCTTACCAAACTTACTAAGGAATATAAAGAAGTGGAGCCAATAAAATTTAGACTCCTGCTTCTCCTAGGTAGGCCTTAGGTACAAATCAGCCAATGAGAAATAGTCACCAGCTTCTGGAATAACTACCCTAAGGAGAAAAACACTGTAAAGAGACACAGTGGTTCACACTTGTAATCCCAGCACTTTGGGAGGCCAAGGTGTGTGGATCACATGAGGCCAGGAGTTCCAGACAAGCCTGGCCAACATGGTGAAACCCCATCTCTACTGAAAATACAAAAACTAGCTGGGCCTGGTGGTGCTGGCTTGCAATCCCAGCTATTCTAGTGGCTCTGAGGCAGGAGAATCGCTTGAACCTGAGAGGTGGAGGTTGCAGTGAGCAGAGATGTGACCACTGCACTCCAGCCTGGGCAACACAGCAATTGTCATCTCAAATAAATAAATAAATAGTAAAAAGAAACAAAAAAGAAATGAGCTACACTCCTGTAGTCCCAGCTACTCTGGAGGCTGAGGTGAAAGAATCACCTGCACCCAGCAGGCGGAGGCTGCAGTGGGCTATGATCGCGCCACTGCACTCCAGCTTGGGTGACACAGCAAGACCCTGTCTCAAAAGAAAGAAAAGAAAAAGAAAAGAAGAAAGAGAAAGAAAGGAAGAAAGAAAGAAAGAAAGAAGAAAGAAAGAAAGAAAGAAAGAAAGAAAGAAAGAAAGAAAAAGGAGGGAGGGAGGGAAGGAAGGAAGAAAGAAAAGGAAGAAAAGAAAGAAGGACGGAAGGAAAGAAAAGAAAGAAAGAGAAGGAAGGAAGGAAGGAAGGAAAGAAAGAAAGAAAGAAAGAAAGAAAGAAAGAAAGAAAGAAAGAAAGAAAGAAAGAAAAAAGAAAGGAAGGAAGGAAGAAAGGAAGGAAAAGAGAAAGAAAGAGACAGAAAGCAGGAAGGGAGAAAGGAAAGAAAAGAAAGAGAGAAAGAAAGAGGAGGGAGGGAGAGAGGGAGGGCGGAAGGAAGGAAAAGAGAGAAAGGAAAGAAGGAAAGCCTTGGTCCTGTAGTATCCTTTCATACTGCATCCTGCTAATCAGAAGATGTGCTAAAGTCTCTGAAGAGGCAGAGTCCAGCAGCTGTCTGAAGGGTCATCACCATCATGTCTGTCAATAGTTGCATTCATCCTGGACAAGACCCAGGAAGATTAGAGATGGTGCAGCTAAGCATCTTTGCCACTTTCTTTATTTGCTGCTCTAACAAAGAGGACTTATTTTGGTTTGGTTGGTTTAAAGTTTCTGATGTTAAGAGTGATTGATTAGACTGGGCCATGTAGGTGAGTTAAGGAGGATTAGGGTAACAGATTTCCTCAGCCCTTAACTCTTCTAGATAACCCCAGCAAATAGCTTCATTGACCCTACCTTCTCCTTCTTCCAGGGAGCTTAGCACTTGGACTACAGTATATAAGAGCTACAAACATGCTAATTCAGTCCCCTCGAATCTGCCTTTCCACACACAGTCTGGATGCTTCTTAGGATGAGACATATTTGAAAGCACATTTGAAGAATAATGTTTTCCAGTTAGGATATAGAATGACATCTGCACATCACACCTAACTGCCCAGAGTTATGGAGGCTTAACCAGTCCACAGCCATCTGCTCTGCCTTTCACTATACAAGGGGCAACTGAAGTAGAGGAATATGGGCAACAGGGAGAGACAGGAGCCAGTGCAAGCAGTCGGAAAAAGTAGTGTGTTCCTACAGTGACAGAGGAAAGCAGTGACAGAGGAAAGCACCTGAACAGAGGAGGACAGGGAAGGCTTCTCCAAGAAGCAGGTGCCTCAGCTGAGCTCTGACGGAGAGACTGGGTCTCCTGGGGACATGCCTTCAGCCCAGATATGGGCAAGATATGGCTGGGTGTACTTTTTTTAAAGTATCTTCATGTCTTCCAGAGTGAATTCCTGCTGCCAACAATAATTTTTTTTTTTTTTTTGAGACGGAGTTGCGCTCTGTCACTTTTTTTGTTTTTTTTTTTTTTTTGAGACAGATTCTCACTGTGTCACCCAGGCTGGAGTGCAGTTGTGCAATCTTGGCTCACTGCAACCTCTGCCTCCTGGGTTCAAGTGATTCTTCTGCCTCAGCCTCCCAAGTAGCTGGGATTATAGGTGCTTGCCACCACATCCAGCTAATTTTTGTATTTTTGGTAAAGACAAGGGTTCACAATGTTGGCCAGGCTGGTCTCGAACTCCTGACCTCAAGTGATCTGCCCGCCTCGCCTCTCAAAGTGTTGGGATTACAGGCATAAGCCACCACGTCCAGCCAACAATAAATTATTTAATTAGGACACATGAAGATTCTATGACCTAGAACTGGGACAGACGAGTGGCTCTATATCTTAATAAAGTGATATTATCTTATGCTACAATTAGCTCTACTCACTATTGGAATGTCCGTCTAAATACTATTCTTATCACATTAATTTCCTGCTCAAGAATTTATCAGGCTTTTTAACGTCCTTTGAAACTAACCTAACCCAACCCAACTTTCAATGCCATCTCCATGTGTAATGCCCAAAATATCTCCCAGTCTTATCCTTTGGCTTCAGCCAAACCTGTTGCCTGATCAGCTTTGGTACAAAAATTCTTATTTCCTCCTATTTACCCTTGATTGGTCTGTTCCCATTATTTGGACAGGAAAGGAGGATGGAGGTGGGAGTACAAAGGGAGTGGGGAGGGAGAAGGAGGAAAAGATAATAGAGAGGGAGGGAATATTAAGAAATAAAGAGAAAGGGAATAAGATGTTTGCACTGAGCTACCTGATTCCATCCAACTCCCCAGCATGTATTTTGTGCTCTTCCTCCACGCAGCCCTTTTCAAGGAGGCAAATCAATTGTTTGAAAAACTTTCAGTAAGTACTGAGTGTTTACCTTCAAGGTATTATTCTGCTTTGTGATTTCTAAAGTCATCTCTACCCTGCAGAAAATGATATAAAAAGAAGACAAGTTAATTTTTAGCCACAGATGCAGAGAACAAGACAAGTCTTCTTATGGAGTCCTGGTCCTCTACACAATTTTGAGTTCTTTGTGCATCAATGTTTCATTTTGCTCATCCTTAGTCCTCAGAGAAACTACACATGTTAATAAGTTATAAACTGAAGCAGAGATGCAGGACACTGGGTTTCAGCAAAGTTCTCACCCACGCAGTCATTTCTTTTTTTTTTTTGAGACAGAGTCTTAGTCTGTCACCCAGGCTGGAGTGCAGTGTCCCGATATCAGCTCACTGCAACCTCCACCTCCTGGGTTCAAGCCATTATCCTGCCTCAGCCTCCCCAGTAGCTGTGATTATAGGTGTGTACCACCATGCCCAGCTAATTTTTGTATTTTTAGTAGAGGTGGGGTTTCACCATGTTGGCCAGGCTGGTCTGGAACTCCTGACCTTGTGATCCACCCACCTCGGCCTCCCAAAGTGCTGGGATTACAGGCATGAGCCACTGCACTCGGCCCTCTTTTTTTTTTTAAAGACAAGGTCTTCCTCTGTCACCCAGACTACAGTGCAATATGTGATCATAGCTCACTGAAGCCTTGAACTCCTGGGCTTAAGTTATCCTCCTGCTTCAGCCTCCTAAGTAGCTCGGACTGTAAGCATGCACCACCATGCCTGGCAAATTTTCTTATTTTTACAGAGATAGGGTCTTACTATGTTGCCCAGGCTCCTCTCAAACTCCTGGGCTCAAGCAATCCTCCTGCCTTGGCCTCCCAAAGTGCTGAGATTACAAGCATGAGCCACTTTGCCTGGCCCAGTCATTTCTTAAATAAGTGCAAAACATTGGCCCTATATCGATAGCCATTCTTCTTTCCTTCTTAGATTTGGCATCCCCCCAAAATCCTGCCCCTGAAGCCTCCTCACATGTGTACATCTAATGACAAAGCACCAAATGAACCCATAAATAATTCAATCTAAAGCCAAAGACAATTCTGAATGATTTGCCTCAACAGAATTAACTGAATTTGTCAAATGCTCTGATGTTCTATAAGCATAATTGCACTTCATAATTTGTTGCCACACAGTCACTAGGAGACAGAAGTGCTGAATTAATTGTACCATTTTGTGACCTCTTGACTTTTTACATTAAGACCAAGTTTATTTCTCAACATGGGAAGATTCATTTATTTGTATAGAATAATTTCAATAATAAACCCAGAGCATAAGTGAGCGGTGTGCACAAACAGCCGCTGTCAAATGGCTTTGTGATCACACCATAGTTCAGCTTAAAGGCAATTTGTGTCAAATGCATTAATGGAGGATGTGATGAGTGTTTGATTTGTTTTGGCTTTGTGGCCAAATAGCATCATTTCTCAAGGATTTGGATATGTGTTTGTGACTAGGTGAAACTAGTAAGTCATGTTCACCTGGAGGGTCATTTATGGGGTCTGGATGCACTCTGGGAAGAGACAGGCTTTGCTGTGGACACATCTAGGAAGATCACTCATGCAGGGTGCTCCAGATCCCAAAGAGGCCATAGAGCATGTGCTGTTTTTGAGTCCACAGGGTTGTATTATTTTCCAAAAGCTAATAGTAATGTGATTTATTTTCATGTAAGTGAGGAGTAAGGAATGTAAAAAATTGAACAAATCTAAATCATTCATGGCCTCTTCTAAGTCAGAAAAATTAGTTTTTCAGATGCTGTCTACTGTTTAGTTTTTTTTTCCATTGATGATCTTGAGTATGAATGCTAGTTAATCCTAAGACATTACACTGTGATAAAATTTATGTTATTTCTACTTATAAATTCTATTTAGCTAGTTTGTTCCAATGAATTATTAATTAAAATGATATATAAGTAGTAATATGGCTTTAAAAGTGATTAAAATATACATTACCAAGAAATTAATCATTTGAAAATTACTATATCAGACGTTCTTAAGAAACTTGGGACAGATTCGCAATCAGTACAGTGTTCTTTCTTATTTCCCCTGAAAAATGGGAAAATTAAGCTAAATATCTGGTACACGGAAAAGATCTGACATTACCATTACCCAGAGGTTTCTGGGAATGGTAGGGCAGCATCCAGCAACAGCAGCCTGGAGGGTGGAGAACACACAAATATTTAGGGGGAGGACAGGATGCTGGCACCAGGGAGCCTCAGAATAAGCAGCAAGCCGTTAAATCTCAGGCTTGAAAAACGGTGCCTTTTGATGAGCCATGCTCTGACCGAGAAATATCTTTCCTCTTTTAAAATGTAGAGTTTCATGTCTGATGAGCAAATTTGCATGTATGTACTCAGAAGCCAGAAGGAAATATGGAAACACTCAATATACTACTAAACTTCTTTGATTACCACAGCTCTTCTTGAGATTTTTAAAGTGATATAGTCCAAACCTAGGATGAAGTTGTTTTTTCTGCCACCTGTATATAAATGTTTTATAAGGCAAATTAACAGTGCAAAAATTTCAGATAGAAATTTCATATTGAAATCATTGTTTTCTTCTTTTTTTAATTTTACTTTCTGTTCCAGGACACATGTGCAGAATATGCAGGTTTCTTACACAGGTATACATGTGCCATGGTGGTTTGCTGCACCTATCAACCCATCATCTAAGTTTTATGCCCTGCATACATTAGGTATTTGTCCTAATGTTCTCCCTTCCCTTGTCCCCCACCCCCGACAGGCCCCAGTATGTGTTCTTCCCCTCCCTGTGTCCATGTGTTCTGATTATTCAGCTCCCACTTATGAGTGAAAACATGTGGTGTTTGGTTTTCTGTTCCTGTGTTAGTTTGCTGAGGATGATGGCTTCCAGCTTCATCCATGTCCCTGCAAAGGACATGATCTCACCCTTTTTTATGACTGCATAGTATTCCATGGTATATATGTACCACATTTTCTTTATCCAGTCTATCACTGATGGGCATTTGGGTTGGTTCTATGTCTTTGCTATTGTAAATTGTGTTGAAATAAACATACATGTGCATGTGTCTTTATAGTAGAATTATTTATATTCCTTTGGGTATATACCCAGTAATGGAATTGCTGAGTCAAATGGTATTTCTGGTTCTAGATCCTTGAGGAATCCCCACACTGTCTTCCACAATGGTTGAACTAGTTTACATTCCCACCAACAGTGTAAAAGCATTTCTATTTCTCCACAGCCTCACCAGCATCTATTGTTTCTTGACTTTTTAATACTTGCAATTCTGACTGGTATGGGATGGTATCCCACTGCGGTTTTGATTTGCATTTCTCTAGTGATCAGTGATGATGAGCTTTTTTTCATGCTGCATAAATGTCTTTTTTAAAGAAGTTTCTGTTTATATCCTTTGCCCACTTTTTGATGGGGTTGTTTGGTGTTTTCTTCTTGTAAATTTGTTTAAGTTCCTTGTAGATTCTGGATATTAGACCTTTGTCAGATGGATAGATTGCAAAAATTTTCTCCCATTCTGTAGGTTGCTTATTCACTCTGATGATAGTTTCTTTTGCTGTGCAGAAGCTCTTCAGTTTAATTAGATCCCATTTGTCAATTTTGGTTTTTGTTGCAATTGCTTTTGGTATTCTAGTCATGAAGACTTTCCCCACGGTCTATGTCCTGAATGGTATTGCCTAGGTTTTCTTCTAGGGTTTTTATGGTTTGGGGTTTTACATTTAAGTCTTTAATCCATCTCAAGTTAATTTTTGTATAAGGTATAAGGAAAGGGCCCAGTTTCTGTTTTCTTCTTATGGCTAGCCAGTTTTCCCAGCACTATTTACTAAATAGGGAATCCTTTCTCCATTGCTTGTTTTTGTCAGGTTTGTCAAAGATCAAATGGTTGTAGATGTGTGGTGTTATTTCTGAGGTCTCCATTCTGTTCCATTGGTCTATATGTCTGTTTTGGTACCAGTACCAGGCTGTTTTTGTTACTGTAGCCTTGTAGTATAGTTTGAATTCAAGTAGCATGATGCCTCCAGCTTTGTTCTTTTTGCTTAGGATTGTCTTGGCTATATGGGCTCTTTTTTTGGTTCCATGTGAAACTTAAAGTAGTTTTTTTCTAAATCTGTGAAGAATGTCAATGGTAGTTTGATGAGAATAGCACTGAATCTATAAATTACTTTGGGCTGCATAAGTTTCAAAAACATCAGAAACAGTCATTTATATAAAAGCAGTGGTATGTTAAGTACATTTGCATGTTGCTAATCTGAAGGATAAACTCTCCAAAACAAGCACATATGTAGCCAAGAATCCAGAAGCAAACATGACAACAATCTTCCCATTCTTCAGCACTCAGATTAAACCCCACCTCCTCCGAGAAGCTGCACACCTTGCTCCCAGGGAGTTGTTGGCTCATGCAGACACAGTACTGGGCACTCATTTGGAGATGATGTTCATTTCTGAATCCCTCACCCCCACCCCCTTGATCTGAGAGCTCTCAGAGAGCAGGAACCATGTCTTTTATCTCTTTGTTGAAGCATGTCCTCCTGCCATGAAGAAGGAGCCAATAATTGCAAGAAGAGAAGAGGGGGGAGGAAGAGAAAGGGGAAAAGAGGATGAGGCAGGAGAAGATGGAGGAAATTAAATAAAGAAGGACAGAAAAATCTTCTAAAAGGAAAAGTAGAACCACCCCAGATTATCATTTTTTTATGACAACAAAGTACTACATTATGAAAAATTATGTGCTAATGTAAAGAGTGATAGAAGAGAGCAGAGACAACCAGCAAAAGACCTCTATGAAGCATGTGCTGTTTTCTCTGTGCTCCAGTAATTTAACACAGCAGCCCAGAGCCACTAGGGGCAAACAAACCATACGGGGACAAGACTGAGTAGTTGCTGGATATAAAATACAGGGTAAAGTGGGAGCTTGGTCAGAGATGAAAAGCATGGGAACCGAGTTATAATACTTAGATCTGGCATTCAAGGACTTGCTTAAGGAGGACTGGGGCCAGAATCCTAACTGGGGCCAAGTGAATGGCACCGGTCGACAGGCTTAAAGAAGGGCAGGAGCAACAAGACAAGGTCATTATATTTACTCTTACCTTCTATTAATCTTCAATTATTTCCATTTTTGCTCAACTAATTTTCTGGAAATATCAGTAAGGCCTAGAATGGTAATACAGCCAGTATATCTAAAGATGGGAGGCAAAGTGTCACCAGTTGGGTTCTCTAGAAGCAGACACTTGAGATGGAGTTTGAGTTTCCAAGATTTATTGGGATTCCAAGGGAGGACGTAGGATTGAACAGAGGGAGAAGTCAAACTGCAGCACATCCCTGACAAAACCTTAGCCAATGTGAAGGGGAGCTCTGGAGGAAATATTGTTGATCATAATTGTTCATGTCAGGTCAAAGTGGCCAAGCTTCTATACCCCTGTCTTGCTCTGTCACCATATGCAGCCTATCCTATAAAGGTATGACCTCAGAAAACTTGGCTCTCTATAGATGAGCCCAACCCTTCAGGAGTTGATGGCAGGAAGTTTATGCTGACCACCTCACAACTGAAAGGGAAACTGAGTGGTGCATCTCTGTATTATTCATAGTCCACCCTTTGCACTGCTCAAATCCACTTCTCATATGCATTTAGGGAACATCTATTCAAGGATTCTATTGGGTCTCTCTACTTAAATGGAAGTTCATTAGAGAGTCTCATGGGATGAATTGTGTCCACCCAAAATTCATATGTTGAAGCTTTAAACCCCAATACCTCAGAAAATAACCATATATTTCTAGATAAGTTCTTTAAAGAGGCAAGTAAGCTAAAATGAGGTATTTAGGGTTTATCCTAATCCAGTATGACTTGGGTTCCTTTTTTTTTTTGGTCAGAGTTTCACTCTTGTGGCCCAGGCTGGAGTGCAATGGTGCAATCTCAGCTCACTGCAACCTCTGCCTCCCAGGTTCAAGAGATTCTCCTGCCTCAGCCTCCTGAGTAGCTGGGATTAATTTGGACACAGACATGCATGTTCACAGAGGAAAGACTATATGAGAACACAGCAAGAAGGTGACAATCTGCAAACCAAGAAGAGAGACCTCAGAAAAAAGCAAACATACTGACACCTTGATCTGGGACCTCTAGCCTACAGAAAAGTAAGAAAATAAATTTCTATTGTTTAGGCACCCAGTCTGTGGGACAGTCATCCCTCCATATCTGCAGGTTCCATATCCCTGGTTCCACACCGTAGATTCAACCAATCACGAATCGAAGATATTTGGGGGAAAAAATAAAATATAAAATAACACAACTATTAAAAGTAATACAAATAAAAACAATACAACAACTATTTACATAGAATATACATTGTATTAGGTACTATAAGGAGTCTAGAGATGATTTAAAGTATACAAGAGAATGTGCATAGGTTATATGCAAATATTGCGCCATTTTATATAAGGAATTTGAGCATCCACAGATGTTGGTATCCTTGGTTCTTCCTAAAACTAATCTCCTGGGTTTGGTTTCAGGGATGACTGTATTTTGTTATGGCAGGCCAAGTAAACTAATATAGACGGAGATAGTAGGATGAACTACAGCCCTGCCACTGCGGTTGGTCTCAGGACCACAGTGGATCCTCACTGTCTCCCTCCTCCACTTTCTATTCTAGATTCTTCTCATCTTCAGCTAGCACCTCTGCAGGTTTCAGTGGCTTCCTCTGGTGGATTGACCAAGACACTCATGCTCAAGTCCCTCAAGCCACTGGTTACCATACCCTTCCCAGGTTGGGCTTACTCTTCCTGTTCACTTTCAGTCACAATTGGTCAAGGGAGCACCAAAAGGAACCCAAGTGAATCAGCTGAGTTTCATGTAATGTCCTCTCTGATTACGTTAGTAACAACAGGCTACATCCTCTTGGTAATCAGGAAGTCACCATGCCAAGACAGTAACTCTTTTTCTGTACTGCTGATCCCCAGACACAAGGATGCCAAAGTGCCCAAGCAGCAGCCATAATAGCACAATAGCTTAAAATTAAATGGGACCCTTACTATGCCCTCCAGTGAAAGTGGGTACTCTGGAAACTAGGGCTTCTGACCTTAGAGAGCCCAGAGTCTCAAGGACTTGAATCACAAAGTCCCTCAGTAGATCCTTGGGAGTGATGGTAAGTGGGGTCATTCCTGCTTCTATTTATTTGTTCAAAGACCCATGTGTTCTTCCTACTGGAGACATAGCAACCTATTTTAAAAGTCTTTGATTCCATGCATACACTGTGTCTTGAAGGATGGCACTCTGTCCTCAAAGGATATTACCTAATAGTTGGAGTTTGGCTATTTCTTCAGCAGGCTGCTCCAATGCTTTATCAGGCCGTCAGCACATGAATGGCCCAATATGTGAAATGATCAGTGTGTTCCTTGGTCATGGGCCCACTCCTGTACTTTCTTTGTTGTAAAATGGATCCCCTGGTGTGACACAGTATGCGGGGCTTGAGTCAGTGGATCAAAATCTATAGACCGTCAGGTAGTGGTGCAGCTTGAAGCTCTACAGACAGGAAAGCCAAACCTATACACAGAATAAGTGTTTGTTCCTGTGAAAAACAACCTCTGGCTCTTCCTGGAAGGAAGGAACCCAATGGCCTCAACAGCCTGCCTTCAAGTAGCTAGTTGGCCTCCTCAAGGGATGGTGCCTTCAGGAGCTCAGAATTAGTGTCTGTTGGTGGCAGGTTGATTTTATGTTGTGCAATAACTATATCAGTCTTGACAAATAGGAGTCCCTGCTGTCGGGCCAATAGGTAGTCTCCACCTTGGCCATCATGGCCAGTTTGTTCACGTGCTCATCATGCAGGTGGCCGATGACAGAGAATGGCTCTTTTCAATGGACTGGGTCATTTGGCTTACCTGGGTTGTTTAGTGCTTCCTCTATAGCAAACACTTTCTGGTGAGTGATAAAATGTGATACAAAGATCTTCACACTTTTGCCCACTCCCATATGTCCTTTTACATGCCCTTCTTCCAGATGTTCTTATTCGCAGTCTTCTAATATTTTCCTTACAGTCCCTTGACCTGCTGGTCAGGCCATTCGCCACTGCTCATGAGTGGTAGTCTTACCTTAGACACTTATCTTTCCATGAAAAGTGGATTCCAGGTCTACCACCCAAAACTATGGCCATTGGGAAAATATTCTGTCACCACTGTCTTTCAAGGCAACACATAAGAAAGGTTAAAGTGCAGCTACTATCCCTTTTAGCCTGTGTGCATCTACCATGCCAACCTCTTCATACACAAAGATCAAGATTTTTCTCCTATTTCAGCTGGTTGGACATGATCCTCCATACAGGTCACAGTTCTAGTAAAACAGTGACGGGTGTGCTGGGGGTCAGTTTGCTTGCATCCTCTCGTCCTACTCATTCTGGTCCCAGATATACAAGTTCCATGTTACAAAAAATTATCGTTGAGACCACCCGACCTATGGCCTGGTGGGTCCGACAGGGCACAATTCATGAGGAGCAGTTCCAGCCTTGTAGTCATATGGTGGCTCATGGTCAAGCAGTCTGTCTTTACCAGAGCTTAGTGGCACAACAGAAGTTGCTTTTTGAAAGACATATAATTTTCTGCTATAGATGACATAGCTTTGCTCCAGAAATCCAGGGGCTGTGTTATGATTCTCCTACTGGAGCTTGTCACAAACTCCACAGAGCATCTTTTCCTATCACCAATATCTCCATCTCCAACATCATAGGGTCTGCTGAACTGTCGAGCTGAAAGGTGCAGCGCCCTTTTCAGCTCTGGGGCCTATTAAATCTAGCAGTCTTTTATGCTACTCAGTGTATATACCAGATAAGTATCTCTTGATGTGGAATATCCTGCCTCTAAAACCTAAAGAGTCCCACCAGGTGTTGTGTTTACTTCTTTTTGGTAGATGATGCAGGACGCAATAATCTTTTTACTTTGAATGGGATATCCCAGCAATCCCCTAATCATTAGACTCCTAAGTATTTTACAGATGTGGCAAGCTGTTGGATCTTCACAGGGCTTATCTCCCATTTCTGGAGCACCTGTGTTTACCAAACACTCCAACTTGTTGTCCAGGCTGATCAGCACAATGCCACTGAAGTAATGGACCAATGTGATGCTCTGCAGAATGCTTAAAAGGTCTAGATCTCTTCGGGCCATATTATGACAGAGAGTGGGAGAGTTAGAAAAACCCTGGGGGGAAGCTATCAAGTATATTGTTGGGTTTTTCCATGTGAATACAAACTGTTTCTGGTCCTCATTTCTGGTTGGGATAGAAAAGAATACATTGGCCAAATTCCTGTTCCGCATCATGTACCTGAGGTCATATCCATTTTTTCTAACAAAGATACCAGATCTGACACAGGGGCTGCAATCAGGTCCATCACTTGGTTGAGCTGAAGATAGTCCATTGTCATCATCCAACATTCATCCAGTTTCTCCAGGGGCCAAACTAGTGAATTAATTTGAGGCATTATGGAGACCACCTCTCATGACCCTATTAGATCAGGAGTCGGCAAACTAAGGCCGAAAGACCAAATCCAGCCTGCCCCCTATTTATGTAACTAAAGCTTTACTGGAACACAGTGGCACCCATTCCTTTACACATTTTATGGCTATTTTTATGCTGCAGCAGCAAAGTTGGATAGTTGTGACAGAACATATGGCCCACAAAGTCTACATTATTTACTATCTGTCACTTTACAGAAAAAAGAATTTGCCAACTCCTGCTATAGTTCCTTAAAGGTGACACTTATCTCCACAATTCACCCTGGGATGCAATATTGATTTTGGTTTATGACTTGGCCATGGTATAATTGGATGATTTCAGAGATTTCCATGTGGCATTCTCTACTATGATACCTTTTACCCTTTCCTACCATGATAGCTCTTTCCCCAAAGACCAAAAACCCAATATTGAGGTTGTACAAACTGTCAAGTGTGTCAGTCACAATTATACATTCAGGAACTGAGTAAACGACTACTGAGTGAGTTCTCAGACCCAATGGATCCAATGTAAGATCCCACATGACCCTACTCTAACAGAGGGTCAACAATGACATTTTAGGTCTCTAGGTATCAATGTCAACTCAGAGCTGGTGTTCAAAAGTCCTCAAACTATCAGAGTATTTCTCTTTCCCCACATTCAATTACCTGAGAAAGTGGCCGAAATCCCTTTGAGGAAAGAATCATTATAGTAAAAAATTGCCATAGTGTTGTAAGGACCTTCCTCCCAGAAACCTGGCCACTGCATCAGTCAATAGACTAGAAGTCTACAAACTGGCTGGTGTCTGGAAACTAGGAAGTGAACATAACTTTTTATTGGAGCAATCACCTTCAGCCTTCTAATTATCCATCTTTGATTTATGCTGCTAGTACAAGCTAAGTAGTACCTTTGTCAGATGTCCATTCGTTTAACCTCTTAGGACACCATATTCAATTCACCATCTCCATAACCCTCTGTGGAGCACGTCCTCTTGGCTTCCACTCTAACCTTACTGGTTGTTGCAATGACTGTAATTCCCCCATATTTTGGAGACTAAGCACCTCAACCTGACTACAGCTCTTTTACGGTCCTATCATCCCCATTGCCATCAGTGAGTCAAATTTTATAACATCTTTTATCATCGGCTCCAGCCTATAGGGGATAGCTACCACTGAACATCTTAGTGATGCCAAAGGCCCTCTCACCAATGCATTTCTTTTTTTTTTTTTTTAACTTTTGTTTTAGGTTCAGGGATACATGTGCAGGTTTGTTATACAGGTAAATCGTGTGTTGCAAGGGGTTGGTGTACAGATTATTTCATCACCCAGGTTAAAAGCATAGTACTTGACTGGTAGTTTTTTAATCCTCACCCTCCTCCCACCCTCCACCCTCAGGTAGGCCCCTCACCAGCACATTTCTTTTGCTGTTCTTAAATGATGTGGCCTCATTTAAGAAGACCAAAAAGAATATGCTGGAACATAGCCATTTGGCTAGCCTTCCAGCTGTGCAAAGTATACCTATTCTAGCATGCCCACTTTCCTGAGCTGTTTAATCCCTTTATCCACCATCTGCCAACGCAATTCTGGCATTTAAACTTTTCTAAGCATAGTGCATTGCTTCTTTCATGCTTCCAGGAGCCATCCTAGTAGCAAATTCTTACTTAGTCAGGGGTCCTTGCCAGGATGTTAAATCCTGAATGTCAGGAGAGTACTTCCAAGTCAACAAAGTCTTCCCTATTCAATTTATGTTCTGGGCCCCCTGATCAAACACTCTCAGAATGTAGTCCCAGGATACATTGACTACATCTTGCAGCCTTTTAAAAGTAGAATATTTTTGCTTCCTTATCAGGACCAGCACATTCTCAGCTGGGATGTACTGAGACCAACCCTGCTTATAGGCCTAATCCCCAAGAGGGGAAGTAGGAGTGGATTCTGAGGGGGTGGTACCCACTGCCTTTTGGAGAAGAGGTGTCTGCATCCTCTTCCAGCACAGAGGAGTGCTAGCACTTACCAGAGAGTGTTCAGCCACTTTTGCAGCCTCAGAAGTTTCAAGGCAGTCTAGGAAGCCAAAATGCTTAGAAGCATTGCCCAGATGTCTTTATCTCATGTGTCAGAGTCCTAGGATTTCCTAATCAGGGCCCTAACTCCGGCATAACAGATCTGCTTTAAGTGGACATTTAACTTTCTTTGATATTCAGCCACTGAACCTATAAGGTTCTAAGCTTGATCCTTGGCTTCCTCTTGTTCTTCAAGCAAGACAAGGGGGCTTCTTTGTATATAACCAAGGAGACTCTTTGGCTTTCACACCTGCCTTTCAATTGCCTGCTACTTGTCCTGCACTGTTCATTATCTTAGTGTAGGCTATCACTGGCACTTAGCAATAGCTATCCAATACTGTTACCCTTAGAGCTCCTGTTTCTTCATACCTTTCAAACAGCCTGACACATCTTGTCTGCTAGTATATTCCTTTCCACTGTACAATACCCCCAATTCACCACTGTTTAACAGTTGGACCTCCATCTTATACCAGATGCTGTCTGTGATCACCCACCAACAGTGATAAGCTCCTCACTACAGACAGGTGGTGAATAATCCTACTCCAAAACGGTATCTCATTGCCGACACTCTTTAACCAGCCATTACTGGTACCAACCATTCCAGCTTGGGTTCTCTGGAAGCAGATGGGGAGACAAAATTTAAGGTGTAAGGTGCTCATTGGGGACCAATACCTTTGAAAGGAAGGGGTGAAAGCAGGATTAGCTTACAATGCAGGTCTGATTGGGCTGGAAATGTTGGGCCTTTATACTGCCACCTTGTTAAATCACTGGATGTTGGCTGTTAGGGAAGTTGTAACCTCAGCTATTTACAGCTGAGGCCAACCCTTGAAGGTACTCACAACTGACAGTCACCTGCTAACCACACTTCCTGGTACACCCAGAAAGCAAGTCCTTCATTGAAGAGGAATCTGGGTGGTTCATGCCCAGGTCTACTGCACAAAGATTTTCAGTTACTACTCGTCAATATCCATGTTCCCTTTTTTTCATAATACTAAAACCATAATTTTTACTTGAGCAGAGTAATCGCTAAGAATAAACACTATGTTTTCCAGCCTCCCTTGCAGGAGTCATGGCCATGTGGCCAAGCTCTAATCAATGAATTGTGGGCAGATGTTTCACATAACATTCCCAGGAACCTAATCTTCCTAAATAGATGACTGCTACTTATCCTTTATCCTTTTCTTCATCCCTTCCTCATTAATGACCAGAATGCAACATGATGTCAGAGTCTGCTATAGCCCTCCTGGGACATGAGGTGATTGTGCAAATAAGGCCACATGTGTGACCAACAGGATGGAGGTGGCCAGGTCTCTGAGGACTTTGTGAAGCAGAGCTACATACCTTCCCTTGATTCCCTGTCTCTGGACCCTCAAGAGACACAAATAAATTCTGTCTTATTTGGATCATTGCTATTTTGGGTCTCTGGGTTTTTGTTGTTGTTGTTGTTGTTGTTGTTGTTCTTTTTTTTTTTTTTAGATGAAGTCTCACTTTGTCACCCAGGCTGGAGTGCAGTGGTGTGATCTCGGCTCACTGCAACCTCTGCCTCCTGGGTTCAAATGATTCTCCTGCCTCAGCCTCCCAAGTAGCTGGGATTACAGGTGCCTGCCACCACACCCGGCTAATTTTTATATTTTTATTAGATACAGGGGTTTTCACCATGTTGGCAGGCTGATCTCAAACTTCTGACCTCAGGTGATCCGCCCACTTCAGCCCCCAAAGTGCCGGGATTACAGGCGTGAGCCACCACACCAGGCCTTGGGTCTCTGTTTTTTAATAGCCAGATCTAATTCTAATTGATACAGATGGATCCTGGCTAAGCATTTCCCAGGTGTAGGTTGCTCATAGGGAAAAATTGTCCACTTTGGAGGAGACTCAGCTATGTTATACAATGACTGTATTGGATCTCTAGCTAAAACGATATTGCCTTAAAATCATATTCTCATCATAGCACTAAGATGGTCAGAGCTTTGGCTGGGGCATTAACTTGAACCTTTCTTGAATGTCCAGGGATGCCAGCCTGGAATGTAGGTGTGGGTTCCTTTATCCCTGATCATTCTAGGCCTGTGATAACCTATAACTACTAGGATGACTCCCTACCAAGTCTCCCCTCCAGAAGCCACCTTTCGCTTGCAATGTCCTGGCTTTCAGATGCTGCTCTGGTAACAGCCTCTTCCCCTAGATTGTTAAGATTTTCTTCACCAGTGGTGGAGTCCCAGGATGTCCTTTCTAGGCACGCATGAGAATAAGCAAAATATTTAGTCTTCACTTTCTTTTTTCTCTTTTGTTTGTTTCTTTTTTTTTTCCTTTTTTGCCAGCGATATGACTATTTTTCATCTACTACAAATTCTTTAAGTTCTGATGCCTAAATTTGATTTTCTGTTTTACGGTAGCATTTGTAATTAAGTTTCAAACTTTGAATCAGCTTCCAGATGCAAACCTACCACTCATCTTTTGTGTGATCTTGAAAAAACAATTTGCCCTCCCTGAGACTCAGTTTCCTCATCTGTTAAATGAGTGCCAGTTTTAGCCGATCATCTGCAACTTACCTTTGCGGGGGCGGGGCGAAGGGGGGATTGTTTGTCCTATTGCATCCGTAAGTTGCTACTGCCCTCTAGTGGTCATAAGATGATTTGATTTCCTCCAAGAAAGTAGCCCCGGGGCCTGAAGGCTTCCTGGAAACATGAAATGCAATCTTCAGAACTCAACCATGTAACAGGCGAGCTGTATTGTCACATCCTATTAGGATGCCACAGGGAAGGGCAAACTAAGAAAAATGCAAACATTAGGTGAACTGTGGGATAAATGTCTAATTTAAAACAGAGAATAAATAAATCTCACAACTACCATCACAAACTTGGCAATACCTTAAAGGTGTCAGTGACATAAAATAAGCCAAAACTGGTAGGCAAACTCTATGTTCTTTGTAAGATTTCAGAATCCTCTCTGGTATATCTTAGCATGTACCAAGATTGGGAATCAGAACTAAAACAGCTTTCAACTTATCCTTGCTATACAGTGGCTCCTTTGTTGTCCATTTTCATAGCCCTAACCACCTTGCACATGGTCTAATATTTAGGAGACATTTAGTCAACTTTATGCAGAAGGAAAATAAATCCACACAGTTGCATATGTCAAATTGCTCATCCCATAGGGAGAATATTAACAGCTGATATTTAATAAGGACTTAACTCTGTGCCAAGCATTTAATATGCAATCACTCATTGAATTCTTATGACACTCCTATGAAATAGATGTAATGATTACCATAACCTCTTTACTATAAGGAAACTGCCCAGGCTCATAGCAGAATTGCATTCACTCCCCTCTTGAAGTCAGGCATCACCACGTGATTCCAGTGAGCCAATGAAGTGTGAGTGGAAGTGGCCTCGGTTCAGGCCCCCATGATAGCATTTAAGAGTTACATGACCTTGGGCACATTTCTTGACTTTTCTGCACCTCAATTTC
Source organism: Homo sapiens (assembly GCF_000001405.40). Lineage (NCBI taxonomy): Eukaryota > Metazoa > Chordata > Mammalia > Primates > Hominidae > Homo > Homo sapiens. The sequence continues at coordinate 137,947,418 of NC_000003.12, forward strand.
TAACTGTGTGATTTTGAGCAACTTACTTAATCCTCTGTGCTTCTGTTTCTTCATCTGTAAGCTGAGAGAAGCACTGTCTCACCTGGGTTTGTGAGGATTCAGTGAGATAGTGTGTAAAGGAGTTGGCAAGTGTAGACAGTCAATAAATGCAGTAATGTTTTTATAAAATTATCAGGATTTTTTTTCTTTTTTTTTTTTTTTTGAGATGGAGTCTTGCTTTGTCACCCAGGCTGGAGTGCAGTGGCGCAGTCTCGGCTCACTGCAACCTCTGCCTCCCGGGTTCAAGTGATTCTTCTGCCTCAGCCTCCCGAGTAGCTGGGACTACAGGCGTGCAGCACCACACCTGGCTAGTTTTTGTATTTTTTTTAGTAGAGACAGAATTTCACCATATTGGCCAGGCTGGTCTTGAACTCCTGACCTTGTGATCCACCCACCTCAGCCTCCCAAAGTGCTGGGATTACAGGCATGAAACACTGTGCCCAGCCAAATTGTCAGGATTTTAAGAAAAGCTATGCATTTATATTAGGAATATTTTTGAAGTTGTTTAAAGGTGAAAGAAGGAATTTCTATGGCACAAATGA